>NC_000022.11:16955716-17276569 GCF_000001405.40 Homo sapiens
AAGCTCCTTTGGGGCCTTTGCTTACCCTGGGCACTCCTGCTTTTTTGTGAAGCTTCAAACACTCTTGGCTTCATTTGAGAACAACTCACAGCCTTTTATTTCCAGGCTGCAGTGGCTCTTTGCCTTCCTGGATCACAGCCAAGTGTGTGCAGGGGGAGGAGTGGGTGGAAAGGAAGCTCTGGTCAGGCCTCCACAGTGACACCCTCCCTGCCCCAGGACCTACCTGCATCTGACTACAAGAGCCTACTTCATGGAAGAAGCTATTGAGCCCTTGTCCATGCTAGCACAGGTTCATGACAGAGACTGTGGGGCCATGGCAGGGCCCCCTCGAGCCCCATTCTGTACTGCTGCCCACATCTCTCTCTCCAGTGATTCCACCTACTGCATTAAGTCTGGGGCCTTCATGTGCTGTAAGTATCATTCATCTACTGTGACCTCTGAGCACCCACATTGCCAGGCATCCCTGGGCTGTTGAGGGTACAGAGGTGAATGAAGAAGGTGAACAAGAAGGGGGAGAATGGCCTGGGACCAGGGACCCACAGGACACCACTACCCTCTCTGTGAAGGCGCTGTGTGGTCTCCAGCTTTGACTTGAACCTGGTCAACTACTTCCTGTTCCCTCAGGCTGACAGCAGAGAACCGCTGCTCCAGCGAGGTGGGTGCTGTCCTGAAGGGTGTTGAACAGGCAGGGGCCTGAGCCAGGCGCCACACTACCTCATCCAGAGATTGCTGTGCTTCCCCTTCAATGCAGGAACTGCAAGATCCTGGGTGACATCACTGCCCCACTTGCTGGTGCCAGGCCAGGACTGTGGACTAGCACTGAACCAGCACTCTCTGGAGTGTCCCAGGAGAGCCGTCCCAACCACTGCTAAGCCCGCAAGGGTGCTGCCGCCTAGGCCCTATGGGAACTGCCCACACAGGTGGCCTTCTCCTGCTGTCTATCTGCAATGTCCCCTCCCTTTTACCCAAGGAAGGTCTGTGTGCTCTTTTACCAGCAGTGGCCTAGGGAGGGGCCCAAGGCTGAGCCGGGCTCTCCCAGAGTCTGGACCATGTCCACCCTCCATAGGGCTGAACGGAAGCCATTTCCAAGGACAGCAGCATCCTCACCTGTGGAAGAGCAGACACACCAGGATCCTGGATTTGATCTCCTGGGTGGAGATGCATCCAGTCCCAGCCAAGCACTGGTTCGATACAATATTTCCCTTCACTTTGAGCCTTTTAAAAAAATCCATCCATCCATTCATTCATTCATTGCTCAGTGCTCGGAATATATCGGTGGCCCAGGCACCTAACCCCTTACTTCAGAGGAACAGACTTTGAATAATGAATTATGCAGTTGTTTAGTAAGTGTGCTGTTCTACGAGTGTGAATGGCCAAGTGTCAGTGGGAGGTTAGTTCTACCTCCTAACTGTGCCTGTGACTCCACCCTTTAGAGTTAAGGGTGGTATCAAAATATTTAACAACTGGAACAGCAAAGGCTTTGGCCAGCAGGATGAGTTTCAGCCATGGACAGCCAGAGCAGTAGCTGAGGGCTGAGCGAGGGCAGTCCAGTGATCTTCTTGTGCCTTGACCATGCTATAGCCTCTTTTCTATGAAGAGAAAGACCCTTGTTCTCAAGCAGTATGAAACCAGCCTCTCTGAAGCCTTTGAAAGCTGTTGCTCTTCCTGTATGCTGTACCCTCGATTTCCTCACTGCATCTGGGCAGCATGATAGGGACCCATGCTGCTCCTTGGTAAGGAGAGGACATACCCCTGTCCCCATCACTTGAGGTACAGCATGGAGTGACAGCCCTGTGTGCTGAAGGACTTGCCTAGTTCTGAGGCTGGGAGGACCTAGAGGATGGAATGGAAGAGAGAGGAAGGGTGCACAGGATGGGGGGTCCCAGTGGAATACTGTGGAGGGGACTCACCTCTCAGGTGCACTTGAAACCCAAATAAATAACTGGAAATGTTTCAGACCCAAGAATTCTGGACTGCCCACAAACACCTGTTGCAGATGCCACATCCCTCTTTCCTTGCATCTGAGAAGCTGGGGAGGTTGAGAGGGGGTTGTCACATCTCCAGAGCTGGACTTGGCATGGGTCAGGGCTAGCTGGGAGGCAGCCCCCTGTTTCTCCAGAACTCGAACCCATCTCCTTCCCATGGACACCATCCCATCCAGGAGCTGGAGAGGAGCACATGAGCAGCCACACTGGCAGGGCCCAGGACCAGCTGTCACCACAGGGCCATGGTGCACCTACCATGCCTACACCTAGCTCCTTACCACAGGCAACAACCCAGCCTGGAGCTAGAGAAACGCAGGAGCAGCCACACTCGCAGAGCCCAGGATCAGCCCTCACCACAGGTTTCCCACTCCAGAGCCCGCACCCGGCTCCTTTCCTGGGCCCCACCCCATCCTGGAGTTGAAGCAGAGAAGTGGGGCATGTACGGGGCTTGGGAGCAGCCCTTACCACAGGGTCCGCAAGCACCATTCCTACAGTGCCATTTGGGAGAACATGGAAGGTAAAAAGGCACCAGGGACCTCAAGGGCTGCCCCACTTGTGCAGTGGGTGGAGCAGTGGAGGGGAGTTGTGAGATGTCAGACCTCAGGAACCTGTTGCCAGGGGCCCAGTGGACACAGACACAGATGAAGCCCTCTCAGAACCACCTCTAGACTCCCTTCTAAGAAAGACGGATTGGCAGGTGCTAGCACAATGTCCAGTTTACAGATTAGGAAAGTAGATTCTGTGATAAAGAGAATTTATTTTCTCTCTGAGCCAGGAAAAGTACCTATTTCCTATTTAAGATGAAGTGAACAGACTGGCACAGTGGCCTTCCTGGGTCATTGGAGAAATGATTCTGAAATGGTTTTCTTGTTGACAGTGTGTGTCTGTGCCTGCCCAGGGCAGCCAGGTGCTCAGGCTCAGCCTAAGGTGAGACTTGAGTGAGTGTGGGCTCCACTCCCAGAAAGACCCAAGCAGCCCACCCTGGGCTGTATTCCTCATGAACTTCACTACCGTCCTGCTCCAGTGCTTCAGTACAAAGGAGCCTGCCAGCACGAGGCCTGTCCAGTGACCACAGCAGAAATGATAGCCTCTTGAGCACACTCCTGTCACCCCCAGGTGTGCTCACAGGGTAAATACACATAACAAAAGTTTTAAAAGAAAATGGAATAACTTCAGTGATTAGGCACCAACAGTGATTTGAAAAATGAAATGTCGGCCGGGCACGGTGGCTCACGCCTGTAATCCCAGCACTTTGGGAGGCTGAGGCGGGTGGATCATGAGGTCAGGAGATCGAGACCATCCTGGCTAACAAGGTGAAACCCCGTCTCTACTAAAAATACAAAAAATTAGCCGGGCGCGGTGGCGGGCGCCTGTAGTCCCAGCTACTCGGGAGGCTGAGGCAGGAGAATGGCGTGAACCCGGGAAGCGGAGCTTGCAGTGAGCCGAGATTGCGCCACTGCAGTCCGCAGTCCGCAGTCCGGCCTGGGCGACAGAGCGAGACTCCGTCTCAAAAAAAAAAAAAAAAAAAAAAAAAAAATGAAATGTCAATTTTAAATGGTACCAAGACAAGAACTTAAGACTGGGCTTCTTGCCCATTTTCTCTTAATGAGAAACCAAACATTCTGTACAAAATGATTCTAAACAGCAAGATACAAGTAGCCAACAAATACACAAGGACACACACCGCTGGACCAAACATACCAGCCTGACTCTGCAGTGGGCTCTCAGCAGGCAGACGGCCATCGTCCCAGGCCTCAGGGGCCTGGTGTATCCCAGAATGATGCTCTTAGTGCTCTGCAGGTCAGCCTCCCCTCCCCCACACTTCCCAGATCAAGGCCCAGGCCCAGAACAGAAGTGCTCACTTCCCTGTCCTGCATGTCCCTGGGGGTCACAGTCATGTGGGTGATGCTGTGCCAGGGCCTGGGACTAAGATGACAGCCTCACAGCACGTTGAAGGACCACAAGGCCGACTACAGCTGAGCCTATGTTCCCATAACCAGAATGGTTGTGCTTCTGCCGTAGGAATGTGGTCTATTTTAATAGTTTGAAATGAAGAAGTTGTCCATATCAAGCCAGAAAGGGACTAATTGGCCAAAGCTCTCGTGCTGCTCATCCCTTGCGATGCAGAGCCTCCAGAGAGAAGTAACAGAGCAAGGAGCTCCGAGACCAGCAGAGCCTCAGCCTAGGAAGGGGCCAGACAACATCGAATCCAACCACCCACTCCACAGATGGGAAAGCAAAGTCCTAGGGAGATGTCCTTGCCCGTTTCTCATTGTTCCCACCTGACTGCTCTCTAACTTTGCAGGTGGTGGGGGTGGGTGAAGACGGCTCCCCTGGAGAGCCCAGCAGGACAAGCCCCCATGTGAGCTGCACTGGCTGAGGTGTCCCTTTTTGGGGTCTCAGTCCTGGCCAGGCCACCAGGGGAGGTGGACTTTAACCTCAAGATAGGTCCAAGGACCCCTGTATTAAGCTGAGTTGACTTTTCCTTCTGGGATGGTGGGTGGAGGGGGGGATACATGCTAGACATGGCTGGAGTCCAGGCTTGGGAGTAGAGCTCTGCTTCCAATAGGCCAGTGTCCTCTTCTCTTGTCCTTCTTTCCATCTCCACCCCTACTTTCACCCTCAGGGTTTGGTGGTCACAGGAACCAAGAGCTGGAAGGAACCCCTCTGGAGATGGGACTTGAACACCTCAGTCTCTGAAGCCTCCACCAAGTTCATGCACACCATGCACACTCAGAACATGCAGCACTTTCTTAGCAGCCTGGGATCAACAGGGAAGGTGGCTGGGCTGGGAGCTGAGATCAATACTGGGCCCCACTGTAGTCAGCTGGGGACAGGGGATGGCAGTTAAGAGCTGTGCTGTATGGGACCCCTTGTAGAGGACCTTACAGGGACACAGTCAGGGCTGGGCCAGTGAGCCAGCACCCTGCACACTCTGCCCAGTGTGGTCACACAGCCATCACCATTCCACCCGTGGGAGCACAAAGGCCCGGCCCCTGCAGTTCTGAGCAGCTGGACCTGCCCTCCAAAGCTCCTGTGGCCCCTCAGCACAGGCTTTTCCAGTCTGTCGTTCCTTCCTCCACTGCAGCCTGGCCCTGCCCTCCTTCCCTGCAAAAATCTGACCTAACCTCTCAAGACTAATTCAGGCACCCCTTGTCCTAAAAACCACCTTCTCTGCCTCCACTCCCTGAGGAGTTTTCACTTCCTGTGCACCCCATCAGCATCTTCAGCCTATCTTGGCCATCACCACTGTCTGTGTCCTTGTCCTTTCCCTCACTGATGTGACCTTGTCACGTTTGGGAAAAGGTCTAATAGATTCCCCGTGTCCTCAGTGCCTAAGCCCGGGGCCTTGCCACCTGAGCCTTTGAGCTGCCAGGGGAGAGGGCTCCTGCTGAGGGATGGATCCCCAGAAGCCAGCCAGGCCCCTGGTCTGGTGAAGTGTGGTGCTCACAGGTGCTGACAGGGTGTGGAGGCCGCCTCCATCAAACCCTGTGGGCAGTCATTTTTTGGAGGAGGAAAGTCTGTTCACCCCAAGGTAGGATGAAGTGTCCGCTCTGCCCTGTTCATTCTGAAACTCTTCGAAATTTTGGTCAAAAACTTTCAACAAAAAATTCAGATCCCTACCTGAACTTTGGCACAAGAAGCCCTGGGTGAGGGCCTACCTTCTGAACCTGCGATTTGAGAATCTCTCAAGTCACAGGAGGAGGAGACTGGCTTCTCCTGTCCCCATAGCCAAGTTTGAGTCCAATGTGGCACTGGAACGCCAAGGAAGAGGGCGAAGTGAGAGGGAAACACGGCCTGGCACAGCCTCAGCCCCACCCCAGGCCGTCCTCCCTGCAGGCTCTACCCGCGTCCCAGATGCCCCTCCAGCTGGCCTCCCACACTGCTCCCATGCATAGCAGACCCCCCTTCACCTTCTGCTCCTGTATTCCTTTCACCACTGATGGCATGCCCCCAGGGCCCCTGGCCACATTTCCCCACTTCTCCCTGGCTGTCTCCCCGGCCTTGCCTCCCATGGGTTCCCTCTGTGCCCTCCCCACTGCTCTGCCCCTTCACAGAAGGTCACGTGCTGCACCACCTGCACTGCGGAGTCCCGGGCCCTGCCTCGGGCCCCTGCCTGTCCCAGGAGCCCCTCAGCCCTGAGCCATCTCCATCTGCACATGCTCCCTTCCTCCCTCACTCCCTGCCCCATCCCACCCCTCACCCTGCAGGTATTTCCCCCATCAGTTGCTGCTTTGCCCAGCTCAGATCAAGCCTTCTTAGGCAGGCAAGGGCCCCCCAAGGGGCATCAGCAAAGAGCAGCAGAGCCAGCCTGCAGCTCCGGATTTCTGGGGCCCTGACCCTGGTCCTTGTCACCCCAGTCTCTGGAGCTCCAGCCCTGCTTCTTGTGGCTTTCGGCTGTTCGTCTTCATGTTTTCCCTTCCTTTTGCCCTTCCCTCTCTGCCTCTCCCACCCGGGAGCAGCTGCCATACTCTGGCCTCAGTCTGAAAGTGGGAGCCCTTGCAGGTATCAGCTGCCCTGCTGGTCTAAGGATCTAATTCCTTTGCTTCTCAAGACCACCTTTAACCTTCCTTCTCAACTATTCCAACGTTTGATGGCCTTGCCTCTCCCCTGACCAAAAAATGCCAGGGCTGAAAAGGTCCATGTCCACTGTGGCCTGTGGGCCTTGGGTCCCCGGGTCAGCAAGGTAGCTCCTCATGTTCCAGGATTGAGGGAAACAGCCCAGAGGCTAGAAGGAAGAGGCTGAGGACCATGAGTAAGTGTGAGAGTGGAAATCTGTTGGGAGCCCGGGTCTGAGGGGCAGGAAGAGACTGAGGATGCTTGCTGGCAACTGCTCCTAGCAAGGGGGTGAAGGTGGGGACCATGGCCAGCCAAAGGCACAGGTGGGCCCCAAGCAGGCAAAGGATGTATATTGATCAGGCCTCTGCTCTCTATGTAAGGGATGCGGTCCCTGATATTACAGAGCTTTAGAGTGTGGCGGAGCAGCTCTGAGGCACTGTCCTGGCCCCACTCTGGTTTTGGTGGCCCGAGTCACAGCTTGGCGCCCCTGGGAGGCTCTGAGGACTGCCGCAGGCACATCTGTTCATGCATGGTCTTCTGCAGGGCCTGGGTCTTCTCCAGATCCACCTGGACATAGTCCACCTTCTTGCCGGACGTGACAGAGCCTATGGATGGCTGAGGGACAGAGGGTGGAAGTGGGAGTGGCAGTGTCTGTGAGTTCCTGGTGAGGAAGGGCAGGCCAAGGAGTGGGCTCTCTCAAACTTTCTCAGGGGGAAGGAACCTCTGCCTCCTGCTCTCAGCAGCCTGGGGGGCCTGGGCTTTAAAGCCTCAACTCCAGGCTAACCTCTCCTCCTGCTGGATGCCATAGCCCTGGCCAGCACTTCTCATCTCCCACCTCGCAGGAAGAGCCAGGCCCTTCTCTGGCCCAAGGACTGGCCAAGGCCTTCCCCTCTAAACACTCATCCATGGCAGGAAATTTCCCAGGTGTCAACAAGCACCAGCCTAGGCCTTTCCAGGGGTGCCCTTGGTGAGCCCTATCTCCCCAAGGGGCGCAATGCACAGAGATGGAGCTCTCCACCCTGCTGTCTAGACAGGCTGGCTACATGTGCTTTCTCGGGAGGCTTTCCTGGACCCAGGAGTTCCTTCTGAGGTCCCCCGCATCAATGGCCGGGCTCTAGAACCCTCCCACACAGTGAGTTCTCCTCACAGAAGAGTTTGGCCTGGAGCCAGGTTGCCGGTCCTGGGTCTCTCCTGATTTATTCCACAACCTCCACAGATCAGGTCTCCACACAGTCATCTGTCTCTAATGGGGAGTCGGGGCAGGCTGATGAAGGCACCACGCTGAGAGGGAAGGAACAGGAGCCCCGAGATCCAGATCAGAGCACCACTGAGCATAAGAGCCAGGCACTGGGCTGGGAGTGGCAGCCCAGCAGCCCAGTGCTGCCGGTGCTGAAGGGCCTGGCCCCACAGTCTCTCCCCCAGGGCCCAAGGGCTCTGCCCAACCCCAGCTCCACCCCAGGCACCTTGCTCGGCTGGAAGTCCAGGGCCGCGTAGTGGATGTTACCAGTGCTCCTCGGCGGGGCTGAACTGCTGGTGCCACCGGAAACAGGAAATGCAGATGCCGGGTTCTGCTGTCACAAGGAGGAAAATCCTGCAAATGAGTTCAGGACACAGACCCAGCACCCAGTGGAACACACCTGTGGGCGTAGCTACGAGCCCACTGGGTCCTACTCTGAGCCATGCACTGGGGCACTCTCTGCTCATTCAAACCCTTTCAGCAGTCCTGTGAGCCAGGTGTTACTACTGTGCCTCTCCTTCACACACTGGATGCTGCACCCAGTCAGTCATCTGAAACTCCCACCCATGGCCCAGAGTAGGTCCATCCTATGAAGCAGCTGCCTCCCCCTCCAGCTCCCAGAGATCGGCAGTGCCCACCACCTGAGGCTGCATGGAGCCTACCCCCTTGGCAGCTCTCCAGGAGACACGCAGGGTCCCGCAGCCTCCTCTCTAGAAGGCTGCCACCTTGCTGGGACATTCCTGAAGTCTGGCTCTGGTGAGAAAAGTGGCCGCCCTGGGCTCTGGGTTTTGGCTGCTTTGCTGGCTGGCTCATTCTTCCAATATCTATGCAGCAACTATCAAATGTTGGTCATGATGCCCTCTTCAGTGCCAATCTAAGGGGCATCCTGTGTTCCACCTGCATCTCCACGTCTCTCACAGCCCTCACCAGGGTGAAGCATGTACATGTGTGTCTCCCCATGGCGAAGCAGACACCTCCAACTCTGCCTCTTCCAGGGCAGGGCACCACCTGTATCACCGTCATGAGGGCGAGGTGGGCTGCCTCTGCTCTTCAAGTTCCAGACTTCCTTGAGGGGAGACCATCATCTTCCTAACCCTAATGATTGCCTGATACACCTGTGCTCAAGAAGAGCTTGCAATAGGAGACCAAATCACACCTGACTGGGCTGGGGTGAGTCAGCTGAGGTAGCTAAGCTGGGAAGCGGGGACATGAGTGTGGGTCCCAGGGGACTCTGATAGGAGCCTTACAGTGACCCCCAAGGACTCACCGGGAAAAGATACCTCTCTCCACTGTCTTCTGAGTCTGTGTTGGTGATGCTCTGCGTGGAGATGGGGTGTTGGGAGGAGCTGGAGTCAAAGGTGTGGCTGTCATGGGAAGAAGGCAAGGAGTACATCCTGGGTGGGGCTCAGGGCTGCTGTCAGGGCTCCAGCCTCCAGCTGGGCCCTGACTTCAAGCATCCAGGCCTCACACTGTTACCAGATCAAGAACTGATAGGGACAGGGATCATTATTCCCCCTTTACAGATGAGAAGGCCGTCACGCCTCATGAGACGGAGACAGGATCAGCCATGTCCACATCGACATGAGCATCCAGTTATCCTGACCACAAGCCAATGACCATCCCACTCACTCCTCCACCGGCCCGGTCCCAAGCTCCTGTTTCCACTGACAGACACTCACCTGGTCCCAGACCAGGGCTCTGTGACAGGTGGCTTGAAGGAGAGCTCATTGATGACCCTGTTGTTTCTCAGGTTGGGCGGTGTTGGGTTGGCTGGAGCAGGAAAAGAACCTTGTCATCAGCCAGTGATGACACCACACCCATGTCCACTTTGCTACAAGGCCCAGGTGTGCTTAGAAAGGCCCACCCCGTCCACCCAGTCCACCCAGCTGTGTGCGGGGGACTGAGGCTTGGCAAGGCTCTATCGGCTGGGTCATGCTGAAGGGCCTTAGAGTTCTGTTCTCAGATTCCAGATCGTATGCTCCTCCCACTGTATCTATAGCCACTGTATTTTCAGAATCCAAAATGGGGACTCATAGTCTGACAATAGATTTTTCTGCCTAAATTTGACTTGATATAAAAAACAGACACAATGTTTGAAATGGATTTAGTCCCCATGCCTGCCCCTGCTTGCCTTGGACAGGGCTGTGTAGCCCACCATGGAAGCAGGTAGACACCATGAGGTGCTGAGGCTCCAGCGCCACTCGCTGGGTCTGGTTCCCTGTGGCCAGACCCACAGGACTGATCCCCACCCAGTTATCCCACTCCTTCCTTGAACCCCGTGCTGGGCCAAGGCCACAGGGTGAGGTCATGGCAGCCTGGAACCTGAGCTCTAGCTCTTCTTCCTGGTCTACACGTGGAGGGCACAGACCAAACTTCACTGGACACCTGCTGTGAGCCAGGGCCACTGTCCCAGACACTCTCCTTCCAAACAAACCCGGGAAGTAGGAGTTACTATCTCCATTTCACAGAGGAGAAAACTGAGGCTCAGAGAATTCACATGACTTGCCAAAGTCAGACGTTCCACATCCAGGATCCACCTGACACCTAAGCGAATGCAGAGTCCCTGGACATTGTCAAGAAATAGAATGGGGAAAGACTTACCCTTCTGGTTAGGCTTGAGGCTGCGGTTGACAGGGGGCAGCTGGACCTCATGTCCCTGGCTGAGGTCTTGGTGCATAGAAAGCTCTGTGAGTGGGGAGCCAAGCAGGTCAAAGCGAACAAGACATGAGCCCACAGGGATGCAGACACCCTGGGAATCATCGCCTGCTTGCTTCACAGCCGGCAGGGTAGGGGAGCCTGGGTTCATGGGCACACAGCTGCCCTCAGAAGCAATGCTGTCTGACAGGCCCACAAGCGTTCTTCCTGGCTAGGAAGAGGACAGTGAAAGAAACACAGCTATCACCAGCAAGAACAAGATAGGAATGAGAATTTCTAGACAAGGCCAAAAAGAGTCATGACGGGGTGTTTTGAACGAAACTTTTGATCACCTTGGCTGGGGGCTGCTGTCTTCAGCAGCCACCTGCGGCCCAGATAGAAGTGCCCCAGCCAGGAACCCCATGGATGGGGCCCCTCTGGGCAGCCTCAGGGGTCAGACTTTGGAGCAGCTTCCATGACACAGTCAACATGTAAAAGTGGAAGAGTTTTCAGTTCTTACAGGTCCTGGGAGGTTAGGGAGTAAGAGGAGAGAGGGTGGCAACTGGAAGTGTATCTTGCAGAATGGGGTGTGGGATCACTTAATTAAGGTCAGAGTAAATGCCTGGATGGTCCATTTAAAGGGAGCAGCAAGAAAGTGGCGAGCCCAGTCTGCTGCATGGGGGAGGTAAGTCTAAATTCCCATCTCTGGCCACTGACTGAAGCCACATGGGTGTGGTGTAGAACTGGAAACCATCAGGGAGACTAAGTCCTCTGCCTCTGGTCTGAGAAAGTTAAAACTCCATTCGATGTGGATGCCAAGGCAGCATACAATTATAAGAGTTCACTACATGGGGAGGGCTACACTTTGAAGCTATCAGAGTGACCTTGGAAAGACTCTGAAATCAAAGTAGAGGCAAGAAAAAAATGAGATGTCTGGGCACTTCTAGCTCTCAGGACCCCTTGGGGTCCAACTACAATTTGTGACAAATCTATGGGATAAAATATCTTTAGTGGCTGGGTCCACTCAGGTTTCTGGATGCTGGGCCCAGGCAGAAGGCAGCACAGGCCGTGCACCATGCAGGTGTGGCTCAGCACCCAATGTCCACGTGGGTTTCCGGATGCCGGAGCCAGGCAGAAGGCAGCACAGGCCATGCACCATGCAGATGTGGCTCAGCACCCAATGTCCACTCAGGTTTCTGGATACCAGACCCAGGCAGAAGGCAGCACAGACCATGCACCATGCAGATGTGGCCTCGAGACCCATCATCCACCTCAAGTCCTGACTCGGCACTGGCAGGTCAGCATCTCAGGCCCTGATCAAGGCAAGGATCACATCAGATGTCTTGGCCCTGGAAGGTGACGTATGGGGTGAGGTGCACTTCCCCAGACAAGGAGATTCCTCTCCCCCAATGGCTGTGATTAGCAGACAAGGTATCAGGGAGGTATAGGGAGCCTGGGGCTCACTCGGGCTCCTGGGTGACCACCAAGCTGCAGGCAGAGCTGCCACAGAGTTGCGCAATGCAGCAGACCTAGGTACAGCCTTCCTCCAGCTCCTGCCTCATCTGCCCTCTGCCTTGGTTACCTAATTCCCACCATCTTTGTAAGAAGCCTGACGCCAGGCCTTGTTGCTTGTCTGACACCTTGGAGAACTGTGGTTACCCTTTCCAGGTGGCAGCCTGGAATCCATCCACCTCACCTGACTCTGAGTACTGCCCTTGCCTTGAGGCTCACACAGAAGCACCCCTGCTCCAGAGGATCTCCTGGATAAGGTTGCTGAATCAGATCACCCACCACCCCAGCAGCCTGTCCCCTCTGCCTACCCATACCAAAGGCTCACAGGGAAGCACTCCTGCTCCAGGGGACCTCATGGGTTAGAGCACCTGCTTAGAGCACCCAGAACCCCAGCATTCTGCACCCTCTGCTACCCACAGGGCTGGTAAGACTTGTGATCCCATCTACTTAAGTACTCACTTTCTTCCAGACCTGGATACCAGTATCTCACTTATCCAAAAACTGAACCTATGGTTCTGAACTGAGGCAAGAACCTAGGCAGCCTCCTAGGAGGGAGATGCTGTCACCCTTTGGGGGATGTGCTTTTAGTTCCATGGAGTGTGACCTTTACCTCCCTGAGCCAGTCTGGGGACCCCTGGTTAAGCCATACTCACCAGGAAAGAACAGACTCCCTCATGCATGGACTCAGCAGGCCGGCTGGCATTCCCTCCACCATGCTGGGTGTACTTGCCGGAGGAAGCTACGACAGAGGAAGGAGATCCACATGCATCACAGCTGATCCATGTGTTGATGCCTCCCACGCCCTCCCCAGTGCTGCTTAGGGTCTCGCTGATGCTCTAGAGGACACGACTCTCAACCCCAAATGACAAAGCGTTACCTCTAACACATCCCTGCTCCCTACCACAACTCCTCCTGGGCTTCCAGGTCCAGCTCCAGTGTTACCCACACAGTGTCCCTCCTGGATGCCTGCCCTCAGGACACACCTTTTCCTTCAACTCCTACAGCACCCACCACCCATCCCTTTCACCCACCTGCCACCTCCAGGAATAGTAAAGAGTGCTTATACTGACTTCTGCATGTCGGTTTCATTTTATTTTACACATAAATGTGAGCTCTGAACAGCAAACATGTTTTATATATACCTCTATCATTTCAATTTCACAGCACAAGGGCCTTGCTCAAATTGCTGAAACACTAAAAAGACTGCAAAGAACTCTAACCCAGGATCCAGGACCTCAGGGTGAGGCTCATCTTTACCACTTATGACTTTCAACCCTGAATAAGCCTAAGTACCATGGGCCTCATATAAAATGGAGAAAACAAGGCTTTGCCCCACCAGACTCTCTCATAACAGGAAGAATAAACAAAGGCTTTGCAAGGTATAAGAATGGATGCAAAAGGAAAGGAGTTACTATTGATCTATTTGTTTTCATTGAGGAGAGGAGGTTATATGCAGATATAAAATACTCTCAGTGGAAAACAAATGAGAAAAGAATCTAGGTATTTCAAATACAAGTTTAGGCTTCAAACAAAGAGACCCAAATATAGGCTGGAAAATATTTTGAAGATCTCATTTTGTTTCAACAGTCTGTTAGTCCACACTGGTTTGGCTCTAGTTTTGGACTGATCTCCTAAACTTCTGTTTTAAGTCTTTACTCGGATTTAAACATACATACACTATGATGATTTAGAATTCCAAACCCATAATGTGCTGTACTGTAACTAAGAATGTTCTGTCTCCCTTAGTGGAGGCCAAGTCTGCCAGTCTTGCCACTGGGTGTCTATTAACAGCCTCCAGTGCTGGGGGACCCAGTGGTCAAGGTCCAGGCAGGAGATGAACTTGACTATCAGTGACCTGAGTGGCTCCCAAGTCTCCCTTGGCCATGGGAGACCAAGGACTAGCTAACCACTGAGAACCCGGTGCCACCTCCCCTCTCCCTCTGGGTCTCAGTGAGGGCTCATACTGACCTTGGTGACATCGGCTGTTGTCTACTGCAGGAAGGGTATTCCGCCTGGGGATGGCAGCAGCAACAGACCACCTGCTACTTTCACTGACTAAAGGTCTCTGCTGAGGGCTGCCCCACTGACATGCTTCTGCCTGACTTGCCTTGGGCAGGGGAAGGGAGGCTATGGGCCCAGGAGTGGCCACCACCATGGCATAGAGGTTCTTGTCTAACGTGACTGTCCTAGGAATCTGGTGCACTGAGAGTGGGGTGGCCGGAACACCACTATTGTTCACCAGGTGGCCCCCAAACTCCTGGAACAGGGTGCTTCTGGGTGCCTTGAAGGGGTACACACCCTCATTATCCGCCTCAGAGCCTGTGAGGCTGCCTCTGGTGTGGCCATGGGAGGCCAGGCTCCAGGGGATTCTGTGGGTGCTGCCTCTGAATTCTGCATTGTGCTGGCTGGGCTTGGAAAGGCTATGGAAGCCATGGATGTGACCGCTGACCCCATCAACACTGTATCCACTGTGCTGGGCAAGATTTTGCATGGCTGTGTTTCTCCTCATGATGAATGGGGCCTCAGAACCCTGGGAGAAGCTGGCACTCCTAAGAGAGAGAAAGAAGGGAAGGGGCAGGGGTGAGAGGAGGCCAGGACTGCCCCAGGGAGGCAGGCGGGGAAGTTCACAGCCCAATGTAGTGAGATGATATGGAGAAAACACAGGAAGAGGAATTGGGCAGACCTGAGGTTTGTCTAGTTTGGGAGTTTACTACCTTGTGGCCTTGAGTATTTTCCCTTTCTGAATTAGTTTCTCCATCTGTAAAATGGTGATTAAAAACTCACTTTGCAGGTTGCTTAGAAATCAGACTCTAGTATATCTAGAGTCTAATTCAATCAAGGCAAGACCTTATTCCTCTCCCCCAATGGCTGTGATTAGCAGGGTGGTCAGTTTCACCCCCACAAAACAGAGCAGCAAGCCAGGTACACTGGCTACTGGTTCCCTGCTGTGAGCATTGCAGAATGTGCACAACTGAATGCCCAGGCTGAGAGACGGTGGGGAGAGCTTTGAAGTGGGTGGCAGGAAGCAGCAAGCGAGTCATCTCATCTCTGAGTGTCAGTGTTCCCCTCTAAAGTAAACCAGCTCATGGGTGTCAATGGGTAAGTTATAAAGAACTATTCAGACATAAGCAACAGATCCATCTTCTACCAGGTTTTACGGTGGTTAGAGAGGCAATTCGAAGGAAAAGTTTCTCTCCCCAGAAACCTAAACATCTATAGAAAAAATGGTTTCCTGTTTGGCAACTCTATTTGGATAGAAAAAGGTTTGAAGCCAGGCACGGTGGCCCACACCTGTATTCTCAGCACTTTAGGAAGCCCAGACAGGCAGATGGCTTGAGCTCAAGAGTTCGAGACCAGCCTGGACAACATGGCAAAAACCTGTCTCTTCCAAAAAAAAAAAAAAATTAGCCGGGCATGGTGATGTAGTCCCAGTTACTTGGTTGGGAGGCTGAGGTGGGAGTATGGCTTGAGCCCAGGAGGCCGAGGCTGCAGTGAGCTGAGATCATGCTACTGTACTCCAACTTGGGCAACAGAGCCAGACCCTACCTCGGAAAAAGAAAAAGTTTTGAATTATTAAAACGTAAGTTTTGGGAGATAAGGCAAGTAGTAAAAAGAGAATCAATGAATGAGGAGGGAGCTGTGGCAGTTTCCAGCGCTGCCACCGATAAGCTCTGTGTGCCTTCCTGATCACCCCAGACACGACCCAGCGTCACAGTGATTTCCAAGGGTCCATCTTGCTCTGCAACTCTACAGCCTTCGGCTTTATGAGAGTGGTTTTGGAACTGGGTTCTACGTTCTGTGTGGGCGCTCTAGGAAATTGCAGGATGTAGTTCTGAGCAAGTATGGATCTAGGTCTTCTTCCCTATCTTTTATATTATTATTCCTCCTAGGATTTAATGTGGGGAAAAAAGTAAGACTGGATCCTTATAGCAGGAGTTCTCAGCCTCTTGATGGCCACAGGCATCTTTGAAAAGCTGAGCAAAAGCTCTTGGGGTGTCTCCCCAGAATGAGGCATGTCTCACACACATGCACATTTGCATGCGGTTTCTAGGGGTCACAGCCCTCTGAGACCAATCCATGGAACTGCCTCACTGGTATGCTCTCAGCCTGTGGGGAGCTGTTCCTTGGGGACATGGCCACAGCTGGCCCAGAAGCTTAGAAAAATGAAGGGAAGCAGGTGTGCAGGCCAGGCTACCTCCTCTGCCAACATGGGCCACCGAGCTTCACAGCCTTCCTTCCTGGGCCTCTGCATTCCTTCTCCCTTTCTATTCCTCTCCACACACAAGACCAAGCCAACAGCATGGGCCTCCATAACTGAACACGTCTCTAGAGCATGCTGTGCTTCACCAGCAGACAGGAGAGCAGGGGAAGATGCAGGATCCTCGTGTTTGTATTTGTCTTTGGTGCCTTTCACTTGGTCTTTTGGAGTTTTCAGCTCTCTGGTGGATATGCCACCTGGATTTGCTCCTGTGATGTTTGCTCACGCCCCACTTTCCATCTGGGCCAGGCACAGTGGACACAGACGCCACCTGCCCTGCAGGACAGGCGTCACAGCAGTGGAGGAGGTGTCACGAACACACACCACCACAATCAGGTGGGATGAGCACACGGCTGCAGACAGATCTGGATGAGCCCTCCCTGGTGGTGGTCAAGAGTGCCAGGAAAGCCTTATGCAAAGCCTTCCATCTGAGTGAGCCCGGAAGGATCTGCAGCAGCAGGCCAGACAAAAGTTGAGACAAGGGAAAAGCTGTTCCACTTGGAAACAGCAAGATGCAGAACACAGCCTGGCAGTTCAAGGGGCTGCAAGCTGCTCAGGTTGAGAGATGACAGTGGAGGGGCCAGGCCAGCACTGAAGGGATCAAGAGCTTCGGAAGGATGTCAAGGTGGGGATGGGGTGGGGGAAAGCACCTCAGGTGTCCTGCGGTAATCTCACGCATATTCAGAATATGCCCATCATCTTCCTCCTGAAATCTACTTCTCCTGACTGTTCTGTCTTGGGATTGGCTCCAGCCTCTCAAGCCCAAAACATTGGAGTTACCCACACTCTCACTCAATCACCAGCCAGCCTTAGTGAGCCCACCCTACTCATTTCCTCCTGATCCTTCCTCTGGACCACAAAAGGTCTCATAACACGTCTTCCTCACATCTTCCCAGGGCCTCTCCAGCTCTCTCCATCCTGCTATTACCTTCCTAACCTCCCAGCTTAAACATCTCCACCACTGTCACAGTGCTTTTAGGATGAAAAACCCCCAGCTTTATTCCATCCCATCTCTCCAGTCTTTTCTTCCTAGTTACCCTTCCCACCTAGGATCCACTCAAACCAGACGTCACTGTGTCCCCAGCGTGCTCCTCTCAGTGACACTTCTGGGCTTTGTCCTGTTGTCAGCTGTCCCTGGATGGCTTCTGAGGTCCCTCTGGCAAGCTCCTACTCCACTTATCCTTCAAATTCAGCTCAAAAGGCACATTTTTAAAAGCCTGTCTTAGATCCTCTATCTCCAAGCATAACCAATCACCTGCATAACTGTTCTTGGAGCAGCAGCAAATTGCTATCTGAGTCACACTCCATTGTTATTTATCTTCTCCACCAGACTATGATTTCCCTGAGGAAGGAAACCCTGTCTTATTCATCTTTCTTTCCTCAGCACCCAGGTTAGTGCTTGTCACATAGCAAATAATGAATAAATGTTTGCTGAAGGAACAAGCAGATGAATGAAAAAGTAAATAAAGAAAAGTGGGGTGCTGCCATCCTTTTTCCTGAGCTTGGCCCAAACACTTTGGACCAGCAGATCCAAACTCTTCCTCCTTAAACCCCACTTTCTTATGTCCCAACATCTGCCTGCCCCAGGTCCCTTACTCCAGCTCAGATACTCACCCCTGAGTACGTCCCACATGGTCTAAACCCCATCCCTGGGTGTATATGCCTCACCTTGCCCTGGAATGCTTCTCTCTGATGCATCAAAATGTTACACCAAGTCCAAAAGACTTTCTATCTACAAAAGAATTACTGGTCCCTAACTCTCCCTCTCATCTTAAGCATACCCTTCTCTGTGCCCCCATAGCACCTGGGCTCCCATCAGCACATGCACTCACTCTGTCTGGTGTGTGTTATCAGTGTGAGTCTCCCCACTCCCAGCAGACCCTGTGCTCTTCCTCCCTGTTCCCACAGCACCTGGGCTCCCATCAGAACATGGACCTTGCTCTGTCTTGTGTTGGTTTCTGGGTCTGTGTCTCTCTACTCCTAGCCAACCATGTCCTCCAAGACAGCAGAGGGCCACATCCTGTCCCATGGAATTATGCCTGGCTTATGGTAGATGACACTGATGCATTTTGAGCAGGACTATATCAGGTAAAAGGTAATCAAGGGAAGCCAACATGCCTGAAATTACCTACTAAAAGAACAGGAGCACTGTGCCAACAACACCCAGGGCTCTGGACACCCTGCTCAATCCCTGCTGCAGTGTGCTCCCCTTGGGCAAGAATCAGGAGGAGAACTCTGAGGACTCCATTACTGCCATGCACACCCATGTGAGGCCAATGTTACTATGATGTCCTGCATTGCTTTTGTTGGACGGATAATTGGGAGCAGTGGATTTGGAGAGACGCTTGTCTTCCAGGACTGCAGGCTGACAGAAGCTGCATAAAACAGGTAAGACCCTGTGTCAGGTGCATGACATGTGATGCCACTTTAAATCTTCCTAATAGGTCTGAGAAACACATGTTACCCCTGCATAGCAGATGAGGAAGGCAGAAATGGCCAAGTTGGTACAGGGAGACACTAAAGCACTAGTGTGCAGGGTGCTTCCTGGAGTCAACAAGCAGTTTGGGAGTAAACACTCACTCCAGCCAGCAGCGCAGTGCACCTGCCCTCCTGTCCTAGGCTTCTGGCTGCACAGAGGCTGGTGGCATGTGGGGCTGTCACACCACCTCCTGCATATTCTTTGGTGTCAATATCAACCCAGAGCTCTCCCCTGACTTTTAAAAATGGTTTCCTAGGTTTTGTAGCCACTTCCTTTTGCACTTGGTCACTGCATTTAAATAAATAAACACTTTAAAAACCTAAATGATGGGTGGCTGGCAAGATGGCCAAATAGGAACCGCTCTGGTCTGCAGCTCCCAGCGAGATCAACGCAGAAGGTGGGTGATTTCCGCATTTCCAACTGAGATACCTGGCTCATCTCACTGGGACTGGTTAGACAGCGGGTGCAGCCCACAGAGGGTGAGCCGAAGCAGGGTGGGGCGTCACCTCACCAGGGAAGCACAAAGTGTTGGGGAACTCCCTCCCTTAGCCAAGGGAAGCCGAGAGGGACTGTGCTGTGAGGAATGGTGCATTCTGGCCCAGATACACTTTTCCTATGGTCTTCACAACTCACGACCAGGAGATTCCCTCGGGTGCCTACACCACCAGGGCCCTGGGTTTCAAGCACAAAACTGGGCAGCTTTTTGGGCAGACTCCGAGCTAGCTGTAGGAGTTTTTTTCCATACCCTAGTGGCGCCTGGAATGCCAGAGTGACAGAACTGTTCATTCCCCTGAAAATGGGGCTGAAGCTAGGGAGCCAAGTGGTTTTTAGCTCAGGGGATCCCACCCCCATGGAGACCAGCAAGCTAAGATCCACTGGCTTGAAATTCTCGCTGCCAGCACAACAGTCTGAAGTCAACCAGGGACACTGAAGCTTGGTGGGGGTAGGGCATCCGCCATTACTGAGGCATGAATAGGCGGTTTTCCCCTCATAGTGTAAACAAACCCTCCAGGAAGTTCTAACTGGGCAAAGCCCACCACAGCTCAGCAAAGCCACTGAGGCCAGACTGCCTCTCTAGATTCTTCCTCTCTGGGCAGGACATCTCTGAAAAAAAGGCTACAGTCCGAGTCAGGGGTTTATAGATAAAACCCCATCTGCCTGGGACAGAGCACCTGGGGGAAGGGGCAGCTGTGGGCGCAGTTTCAGCAGACTTACAAAACGTTCTGCCTGTGGCTCTGAAGAAAGCAGCATATCTCCCAGCACAACGCCCGAGCCCTGCTAAGGGACAGACTGCCTCCTCAAGCAGGTCCCTGACCCCTGTCCCTCCTGACTGGAGAAACCTCCCAGCAGGCATCGACAGACACCTCATACAGGAGAGCTCCAGCTGGCATCTGGCAGGTGCTGCTCTGGGATGAAGCTTCCAGAGCAAGGAACAGGCATCCATCTTTGCTGTTCTGTAGTCTCCACTGGTGATACTCCACTGGTGATATCTGCCGGTGATACAGAGTCTGGAGTGGACCTCCAGCAAACTCCAGTAGAGCTGCAGCAGAGGGGTCTGACTGTTAGGAGGAAAACTAACAAACAGAAAGGAATAGCATCAACAACAACAAAAAAAAACATCCACACAAAAACCCTATCCGAAGATCACCAACATCAAAGATCAAAGGTAGACAAATTGACGAAGATGAGGAAAAAACAGTGCAAAAAGGCTGAAAAGCCAGAACACCTCTTCTCCTCCAGAGGATCACAACTCCTCACCAGAAAGGGAACAAAACTGCACAGAGAATGAGTTTGACCAACTGACAGAAGTAGGCTTCAGCAGATGGGTAATAACTCCTCTGAGCTAAAGGAGCATGTTCTAACCTAATGCAAGGAAGCTAAAGACCTTGATAAAAGGTTACAGGAACTGCTAACTAGAATAACCAGTTCAGAGAAGAACATAAATGACCTAATGGAGCTGAAAAACACAGCATGAGAACTTCATGAAGAATACACAAGTATCAACAGACAAGTCCATCAGGCAGAAGAAAGGATATCAGAGATTGAAGATCAACTTAATGAAATAAAGCATGAAGACGAGATTAGAGAAAAAAGAATTAAAAGAAATGAGCAAAGCCTCAAGGAAATATGGGACTATGTGAAAAGACCAAGCTACGTTTGATTGGTGTATGTGAAAATGACAGGGAAAATGGAACCAAGTTGGAAAACACTCTTCAGGATATCATGCAGGAGAACCTCCCCAACCTAGCAAGAGAAGCCAACATTCAAATTCAGGAAATACAGAGAACACCACCAAGATACTCCTTGAGAAGAGCAAACCCCAAGACACATAATTGTCAGATTCAGCAAGGGTGAAATGAAGGAAAAAATGCTAAGAGCAGCCAGAGAGAAAGGTTGGGTTATCCACAAAGGGCAGCCCATCAGACTAAGAGCAGATCTCTCTGCAGAAACCCTACAACTCAGAAGAGAGAAGGGGCCAATATTCAACATTCTTAAAGAAAAGAATTTTCAACCCAGAATTTCATATCCAGCCAAACAAAGCTTCGTAAGTGAAGGAGAAATAAATTTCTTTACAGACAAGCAAATGCTGAGAGATTTTTGTCACCACCATGCCTGCCTTACAAGATCTCCTGAAGGAAGCACTAAACATGGGAAGGAAAAACCAGTACCAGCCACTGCAAAACCATACCAAAATGTAGAGACCATCAATGCTAGGAAGAAACTGCATCAACTAGCAGTCAAAATAACCAGCTAGCATCATAATGACAGGATCAAATTCACACATAACAATATTAACCTTAAATGTAAATGGGCTAAATGCCGCAATTAAAAGACACATACTGGCAAATTGGATAAAGAGTCAAGACCCATCGGTGTGCTGTATTCAGGAGACCCATCTCACGTGCAAAGACACAGATAGGCTCAAAATAATAGGATGAAGGAAGATTTACCAAGCAAATGGAAAGCAAAAAAAAAAAAAGCAGGGGTTGCAATCCTAGTCTCTGATAAAACACACTTTAAACCAAGAAAGATCAAAAGAGACAAAGAGGGCTTTACATAATGGTAAAGGGATTAATTCAACAAGAAGAGTTAACTATCCTAAATATATATGTGCCTAATACAGGCACACCCAGATTCATAAAGCAAGTTCTTCTGGACTACAAAGAGACTTAGACTCCCACACAATAATAATGGGAGACTTTAATACCCCACTGTCAATATTAGACTGATCAATGAGACAGAAAATTAACAAGGATATTCAGGACTGGAACTCAGTTCTGGAACAAGCAGACCTAACAGACATCTACAGAACTCTCCATCCCAAATCAACAGAATATACATTCTTCTGAGCACCACATAGCACTCACTTATTCTAAAATTGACCACATAATTGGAAGTAAAACACTCCTCAGCAAATGCAAATGAAGGGAAATCATAACAAACAGTCTCTCAGACCACAGTGCAATCAAATTCGAACTCAGGATTAAGAAACTCACTCAAAAATGCACAACTACATGGAAACTGAACAACCTGTTCCTGAATTTATTTACTGGGTAAATAACGAAAATAAGGCAGAAATAAATAAGTTATTTGAAACCAATGAGAACAAAGACACAATGTACCACAATCTCTGGGACACAGCTAAAGCAATGTTCAGAGGGAAATTTACAGCACTAAAGGCCCATAAGAGAAAGCAGGGAAGATCTAAAATCAACACCCTAATATCACAATTAAAAGAACTAGCGAAGCAAGAGCAAACAAATTCAAAAGCTAGCAGAAGACAAAAAATAACCAAGATCAGAGCAGAGCTGAAGGATATAGAGACACAAAAAAACCTTCAAAAAATCGATGAATCCACGAGCTGTCTTTTGGAAAAGATTAACAAATTAGATAGACCACTAGCCAGACTAATAAAGAAGAAAAGAGAGAAGAATCAAATAGACACAATAAAAAACGATAAAGTGGATATCACCACCGACCCCACAGAAATACCAACTAGCATCAGAGGATACTATAAACACCTCTATGCAAATAAACTAGAAAATCTAGAAGAAATGGGCAAATACCTGGACACATACACCCTCCCAAGACTAAACCAGAAGGAAGTCGAATCCCTGAATAGGACAATAACAAGTTCTGAAATTGAGGCAGTAATTAATCGCCTACCAACCAAAAAGAGCCCAGGACCAGATGGATTCACAGCCGAATTCTAGCAGAGGCACAAAGAGGAGCTGATATCATTCCTTCTGAAACTATTCCAAAAAATAGAAAAAGATGGACTCCTCCCTAACTCATTTTGTGAGGCCAGCATCATCCTGACACCAAAACCTGGCAAAGACACACAAAGAAAGAAAATTTCAGGCCAATATCCCTGATGAACATCAATGCGAAAATCCTCAATAAAATACTGGCAAATTGAATCTAGCAGCACATTAAAAAGCTTATCCACCATGATCAAACTGGCTTCTTTCCTGGGATGCAAGGCTGGTTCAACATACGAAAATCAATAAATGTAATCCATCATATAAACAGAACCAATGACAAAAACCACATGATTATCTCAATAGATGCAGAAAAGGCCTTCAATAAAATTCAACACCCCTTCGTGCTAAAAAATCTCAATAAACTAGGTATTGATGGGATGTATCTCAAAATAATAAGAGCTATTTATGACAAACTGACAGCCAATATCATACTGAATGGGCAAAAGCTGGAAGCATTCCCTTTGAAAACTGGCACAAGACAAGGATGCCCTCTCACCACTCCTATTCAACATAGTATTGGAAGTTCTGGCCAGGGCAATCAGTCAAGAGAAAGAAATAAAGGGTATTCAATTTGGAAAAGAGGAAGTCAAGTTGTCTCTGTTTGCAGATGACATGATTGTATACTTAGAAAACCCCACTGTCTCAGCCCCAAATCTCCTTAAGCTGATAAACAACTTCAGTGAAGTCTCAGAATAAAAAATCCACGTGCAAAAATCACAAGTATTCCTATAAACCAGTAATAGCCAAATCCTGAGTGAACTCCCAATCACAATTGCTTCAAAGAGAATAAAATGCCTAGGAATAGAACTTACAAGGGATGAGAAGGACCTCTTCAAGGAGAACTACACACCACTGCTCAAGGAAATAAGAGAGGACACAAACAAATGGAAAAACATTCCATGCTCATGGATAGGAAGAATCAATATCGTGAAAATGGCCATACTGCCCAAAGAAATTTACAAATTCAATGCTATTCCCATCAAGCTACCATTGACTTCACAGAATTAGAAAAATCTACTTTAAATTTCATAAGGAACCAAAGAAGAGCCCATATCGCCAAGACAGTCCTAAGCAAAAAGAACAAACATGGAGGCATCATGCTACCTGACTTAAAACTATACTATGAGGCTACAGGCACCAAAACATGGGACTGGTACCAAAACAGATATACTGACCAATGGAACAGAACAGAGACCTCAGAAATCACCACACATCTACAACCATCTGACTTTTGACAAGGCTGACAAAAACAAGCAATGGGGAAAGGATTCCCTATTTAATAAATGGTGTTGGGAAAACTGGGTAGCCATATGCAGGGAACTGAAACTGGACCGCTTCCTTACACCTTATACAAAAATTAACTCAAGATGGATTACAGACTTAAACGTAAGACCTAAAACCACAAAAACCGTGGAAAAAAACCTAGGCAATACCATTAAGCACACAGGCATGGGCAAAGACTTCATGAATAAAACACCAAAAGCAATGGCAACAAAAGCCAAAATAGACAAATAGGATCTAATTAAGCTAAACAGCTTCTGCACAGCAAAAGAAACTATCATCAGAGTGAACAGGCAAACAACAGAATGGGAGAATATTTCTGCAATCTATCCATCTGACAAAGGGCTAATATCCAGAATCTACAAGGAACTTAAAACAAATTTACAAGAAAAATCCAAACAATCCCATCAAAAAGGGGCCAAAGGATAATAGACACTTCTCAAAAGAAGACATTTATGCAGCCCACAAACATGAAAAAAAGCTCATCATCACTGGTCATTACAGAAATGCAAATCAAAACCACAATGAGATACCATCTCATGCCAGTTAGAATAGTGATCATTAAAAAGTCAGGAAACAACAGATGCTAGAGAGGATGTGGAGAAATAGGAACACTTTTACACTGTTGGTGGGAGTGTAAATTAGTTCAACCATTGTGAAAGACAGTGTGGCGATTCCTCGAGGATCTAGAACCAGAAATACCATTTGACCCAGCAATCCCATTACTGGGTATATACCCAAAGGATTATAAATCATTCTACTATAAAGACAAGTACACCCGTATGTTTATTGCAGCACTATTCACAATAGCAAAGACTTGGAACCAACCTGGATGCCCCTCAATGATAGACTGGATAAAGAAAATGTGGCACATATGCACCGTGGAATACTATGCAGCCATAAAAAAGAATGAGTTCACGTCCTTTGCAGGGACATGAATGAAGCTGGAAACCATCATTGTCAGCAAACTTACCCTAGAACCGAAAACCAAACACCACATGTTCTCACTCATAAGTAGGAGGTGAACAATGAGACCACATGGACACAGGGAGGGAAACATCACACATCGGGGCCTGTCAAGGGGTGGGGAGATAGGGGAGGGATAGCATTAGGAGAAATACTTAATGTAGATGATGGGTTGATGGGTGCAGCAAACCACTATGGTGCGTGTATACCTATGTAACAAACCTGCACGTTCTGCACATGTATCCCAGAATTTAAAGTATAATAAAAATAAATAAATAAATATAAATATAAAATATAGTAAGGAGTAGAAAAAAACTAAATGATGCCCCTTAAAAAAGTTCAAAAGTAAGAAAAAACCAAACCCCAAATTAGAAGGAAATAAATATTACAGTTCATAGCAGCAATAAATAAAATTTAGAGTGAAAAAAATAAAATATCAATGAAACAAAAACTTTGCTTTTTTGAAAAGATAAACAAAATTGATAATCCTTTAGCTAGATTAACAAAAAATGAGTCAAGCCTTAAATAAAATCAGAGCCAAAAAAGGAGACATTACATCTGATAAGACAAAAATTCAAAGGACCATCAGAGACTATTATGAGCAACAATATGCCAAAAATTGGAAAACCTGGAAGATACAGATTAATTCCTACACAAATACAACCTAGCAAGGTTGAATCATGAAGAAATAGAAAACCTGAACAGACCAAGAAGTCACAAGATAGACACAGTAATAAACTCCCATCAAAGAAAAACCCAAGACCCGATGGCTTCCCCGCTGATTTCTACCAAACATATGAAGAACTAACATCAATTCTTCTCAAACTATTCCAAAATGTTGAGGAGGATGGAATACTTCTAAACTCATCCTATGAAGCACTATCCTGATACCAAAAACAGACAAAGATACAACAAAAAAAGAAAACATCCCTGATGTTTATAACAATATATTATAAAGATAATTAATCTTGATCAAGTGAGATTCATTTCAGGGATGCAAGGAGGGTTCAACATATGCAAAGAAATGAACATGATACACCACATTAATAGATTCAAAAACAAAAACCATATGATCATTTCAAAATATGACAAAAAGTTATTTGATAAAATGCTACATCCCTTGACAATAAAAACTCTCAACAAACTGGGTATCGAAGGAACATGCCTCAAAACAATAAAGGCTTTACATGCAAAACCCACAGCTAGCATCATACTGAACAGGGAAAAATGAAAAGCCTTTCCTCTAAAATCTGGAACAAGACAAGAATGCCCACTAGAAGTCCTAGCCAGAGCAATGAGAAGGGAGAAAGAAAGGGCATCCAAATTGAAAAGGAAGAAGTAAAATTGTCCTTGTTTGCAGACAATATAATCTTATATTTAGGAAAACTTAAAAATGCCAAAAGGCTGTTGGAACAGATAAATAAATTCAGAAAAGATGCAGGATACAAAATCAATATGTAAAAATCAGTAGTATTTCTATATGTCAACAACAAACAGTCTAAAAAAGAAATTAAGAAAGCAATCCCATTTACAGTAGCTACAAAAAATACTTACAAAATAATCTTGAAGAAGTAAAAGATCTCAACAATGAAACTATAAAATATTTATTAAAGAAATTAAAAAGGACATGAAAATGGAACAATATCACATGATCATGATTGCAAAAATTAATATTGTTAAAATGTCCACACCACCTAATCTGCAGAATCAATGCCTATCAAAATACATTCAGTATTCTCTACAGAAATAGAAACAAAAATTCTAAAATTTATATGAAACCACACAAGAATCAGAACAGCCAAAGCAACCCTGAGCAAAAAGAACAAAACTGGAGGAATCATATTACCTGACTTCTGTTGGGGAAAAGCTGAGTGTTGGGAAAAAAGCTGAGGCAGGGCTTGCATGTCTGACATAATGTAAAAGAGTCTCGGAACATGTCCAGGGTCCAGGGTCTAAAACCCCTCTTGGCCTTTGGAACACCAAATTCTGTGCCAAAGGGTGGAAGGCTGCCCTGCCGCACCATAATCTAAGCCCAGGGCATAAAACCCCTCGTGGCGTGGATGGAATCCAGGGCTCAGGGCATAAAACCCCTAGTGGCCTCTGGAATGTGTCTAGACTTGCTGGCTCCTTGCTTCTAGCATTCCCAGGATCACAGGTTGATTGTATCTTAAACTAGAAGAACATGTTTCCATTATCTCAAGTAGCAGAACATGTTCCATATGCTTCAAAGAAAATGCTAAACCGTCACAGGTGTAGATCATGCGCTTGATGCATCACTACCTTTCAACCCCACATCCTCACCACCTGTTTCTTTGATCACCAATAAATAGCATGGGCTCCCAGAGCTCAGAGCCTTCACAGCCTCCGTACTAGCATTGGCCCCCTGGTCCCACTTTCACTCTTAACTTGTCTTTTCTCATTCCTTTCACTCCACCAGACTTCATAGCCCTCATGGTCTGGTGTTGCATCTGATCACCCCAACACTACCTAAAGAAATCTGCAGAGTCAATGCCTATCAAAATACCATTCTGTATTTTCTACAGAAATAGAAATAAAAACTCTAAAATTTATATGAAACCACACTAGGATCAGAACAGCCAAAGCAACCCTGAGCAAAAAAGAACAAAACTGGAGGACTCATATTACCTGACTTCAAAATATACTACAAAGCTATAACCAAAACAGCATGGCACTGACTTAAAAATGGACACACAGGCCAATGGAACAGAATACAGATCTCAGAAATAAATTCATGCATTTACAGTCAACTCATTTTCAACAAAGATGCCAAGAGTATACACTGGGGAAAGAACAGTCTCTTCAATAAATGGTGCTGGGAAAAATAAATATCCATATGAATGTATGAATGAAACTAGAGCCCTATCTCTCACCCTATACAAAAATCAACTCAAAATTGATTGAACATGTAAATATAAGACCTGAAACCATGAAACATGTAGAAGAAAACATTGAGAAAACACTTCAAAACATTGGTCTAGCCATACGTTCTTGAATAGCACCTCAAATGCACAGGTAATCAAAGCAAAAACTGACAAATGGGATTATATCAAGCTAAAAAGCTTTGCTGTATAGCAAAGGAAAAAATTAATAAGGTAAAGAAACAATCTACGCAATAGGAGAAAGTATTTTCAAACTATTCATCCAATAAGAAATTAATAGAATATATAAGGAACTCTAACAACTCAATGGACAAAAAAATCAAATAATCAGATTACAAAATGGACAAAAGATCTGGATAGACATTTCTCCAAAGAAGACATCCAAATGGCCAACAGGTAAATGAAAAAATTATCAACATCACTAGTCATTACGAAAATGCAAATCAAAACCACATGAGATATCATCTCCCCCAGTTAAAATGGCTATTATCAAAAAGATAATAACAAATGCTGATAAGGGCATGGAGAAATGGGAATGCTCTATATACTCTTTGTAGGAATGTAAATTAGCACAGCCACTATGGAAAACAATATGGAGGTTCCTCAAAAAACTAAAACTAGAACTACCATATGATCCAGCAATCTCACTGCTGGGTATATAGCCAACATCTGTATTATCTTGAGGTTCACATCTGTGTCTTCCAATTAAAACTGGTTAAATTCTGCTGGTTCTCCGTAAGCTGAGAAAATGTGAATTACATCCTGAATGTTGTGCATGTTGTGTTTTGTGTAGACTGTGGGTTGCCATAATCCTTGGGAGAATGTTGATGTTTTGGTTTCTGCAGGAAATCAAGCTGGTTAGGTTGAGACTGCAAGTTCCATCTCTCCTATGTGTGGCAGTTCCAAGCTGTGCTCAGTTCATATAGCTCTGTTACACTGGTTTGGGACTTTCTACACACATGTAGCTCAAGGTGAGCATAAGACTTGGGTGGTTTCGTGCTCAGAATTAGCAGATCCCTTCTCCAGCTCACTCTGCTCTAGAATCCTTTCCAGCTCCATTGGGCTCTTTCCTGGTTCCTCTACCTAGAAAGATGGAGTTTCCAGGAAAGTTTTAACCACTGGCCCCACTGTGCTGCTTTGTGTGGGTGCACCCTGGAGGCAAATCCATGGAAGACAGAAAATTGACCTCTGTGTATTTGCTGCTCCAAGTTTTTCTCCAGTCCACACCCTGCCTCCTTTCATTTACCTCCCAGGGTCTTTGGGTAATTGTACTTTGTATGTGTCCAGAGTTTTAAGCTGTGATCTGGGAATGATATCCTGCAGTGGGTCTGCCACCACAGTGGAGCTGGAACTCCTAAGTCCTTTACCAGGGTCCCTGTATCTCTCCCGAAATCCATCATCTCTTCACCCATTACATACATTTTTTGCCCACAGATTTAAAAAGTTAACATACTTATTTTAAAGTCTTTGTAGGCTAGCTCCAAAATCTGGGTCTATTCTGGTCTGTTTCTATGTACTGAGTTCTCTAAACTGTGGGTCAACTTTTACCATTTACTCATACGGCTAGTAATTTTTCATTGGATACTGAATATCTGGGATCTGTTCTAGGAAAAGCCACGGAAATTGAATCTCAGTTCTTTCAAGAGTCAAATCTGTTCCAGAGTTTTGATTGTTCTTCAGTGCCTTCAAACAATTGTTTTCTAATGTCTCAGTTTCTAACTGTTCAGTAGGTTTAGTATGATGCAAGCTATGCCACTACCATCAGAAACAATATCATCTTTCAGGACTTAAGAAAGCTTCCTTCCTATTCTCCATCTCCCCTTGGAATTTGGCAAACAGTGTCTAACTTTTCTGTAGAAACTACACTGAGATATTGCTAATTGTCCTCTCACTCCCTCATCCACACAAGCGAAAACAAAGAGGACAGCACAGCTTGGCCAAGGGCCCATGGCAGTGCTGTTCCTAAGCTTTAGACAGTTCTTTCTCCTCAAATGTGCCATCTCACTACAGCACACGACCATCAAACGCTGATCATGTACTGATAAAGACATACTATATGCCCTGCCTTGTGTCCTCAGAGCATCTTAACACAGAAATCCATAACACGACCTCCATAACATCCAGAACATCTTAACACAGAAATCCATTAACATGAGGCAGACAGCCCCAAATGCTGGGAGAGAGAACATAAAAAACTGCTGTGGTGATTCAAAGAAACCAACTCCTGCTGGTAAGACTAACAGGAATTTCACAGAGGAGGAAGGAATACAGAAAGTGGACCCTCACTGCTCATGCAGGCAGACATTTACCTGTCTGTCTCCTTTTGCTTCAGCTGTGTCATGGGAGTACAGGTGGTGGTGGCTGTTAGTATACCAAGCCTTCTACATAAAGTGTGTCCTGCAGATGAGCTGCACTGGTATCCTCAGTCTGTGTCAGCAAGGCAGGACTGTAGGACCCACCCTAGGTTCGCTGATGAAAACAAGCATCTCAGCAAGCTCCCCAGGTGTTCCACGTGCATGTGAAAGTATGAAGGGCACCAACACGAAGCACTGTGTCTTTTACAAGAACAACGACTGGAAGACCTCAGTTCTCTCTGTCCAGGCATTCATACATGCAATAGAGGGAAAGGGGCACAGGGAGAACCACAGGTAACAGGGACTGAGCATCTGCCACTGTGCACTTCATGTGTGTTCTGCCACCTTACACCCATCAGCCTTTGAGTTAGTCGTTTCCATTCTGAAGATAAGGAAGTTGAAGGTCAAAGAGGTTAAATAAGTGGCCTAAGATTCCCAGAAAAGTGGCAGAACCTCAATTTGAAACCATATCTGGCCGATGCCAAGCCTGTGCCATGCTTTCCATTGCACTGTACTGCCTATCCCTGGTCTGGGACTCAGGAGAGGCAGGTACTGGTGTGGTTCTGCCACTAACTAGTTTAGTGATCTTGGTTAATTTGTTCTGTCTTTCTAGAACACAGATCTTCATGTATCAGTTGATGAAGGCGGAACTGCTGAAAGTTCACAAACGAAGGAATCGCATTGCTTCAGGAAAATGGGTGATGGAACTAGCCTTCAGATTGAGTGCTGGAGCCCCTGCCATGTTACAGAAAAAGGATTAGTAAACCAGGGGTGCAGCAAAGTGTGGGGCAAAGAGTTCAGGACAGATGTGAGGACACCTGGGTTCTAGTCCCGCCTCTACCATTTGATAGCTGTGAGCCTCAGGTGCTTCACCTATAAAATGGAGATAAATGATCTTCCTAGCTATCTCTCATATGTTTGACTGGTTCAAGTGAGATTATGTATGAAAATATTCTCACAGATGTCATGAAGTCATCTATTAACACAGCCATTTATCTGTCTGCCTTCATTTTCACAGCATGATTTAGGTATTTCTAAACTAACAAACCAAGGAATGTGACTGTGATCTGTGTGCCACAGTAGCAACTGAGCACCAGCTCTGGCCAAGCCCATCCCCTCTGCACATTTGCGTGACCTTACACTGGGAATAACAGGTGATAAAACTGGTGCAGGCCCTGCCCCTGTGTGAGAGCCAGTGGTGTCAGAGAAGCAGAGGTCATGGTTCCAGAGCAAGAAGTCCCTTGTGAAACCATCTGTGGTGATGGACATGCTACCTATCTTTGCTAGTCACTTTGGTGGCTACTGAGCATTTGACTTGTGGCTACTATAACTGAGAAACTGAACTCGAAATTTAATTTAATTTTAATTAGCTTAAATTTAAATAGCCATGACTGCAGCTACTGTGGAGCAGCACAGCTTAGAATTCAACTGAGCTATGGATCTGGTCATCAATCTTAAGGTTTCATAGCTGTCCTCTTAAGGCCAACACATAAACCGACTTTGTTATTTGCAGTTCTGAAACTCTAGCCTCTAATGCTTTTTTCCCCACAATCAAACAAAATTTTCATGGCATGGTTTTTTTATAATGGTAGGTTTCTTAGGAATCCAATTATCACTTTGTAGCAACACAAATAAAACAAATAAAATGTGAAGGCTACATAAACAAAAAATTAAATGTTGTTATATATGTTTGCTTACCTGGAAAGATATAATATTTTATGTCTTTCTCTTTGAAATTTAAAAAAATCAGGGACTGAATAGAACAAGACCTTGTGGGGGTCACTGCCCCCACTGGCCATAGTAGCCCCCTACCTTGCATGTTCTGCTCTCTGGCTGGCGTGCTGGTGCGAGCGGAGACACCCCGGAGGTGCAGGGATGGGCCAGGTGGGCGGCACACAGTGAGACACCGGGGGCTCAGATGTGGGTTCTTGTTCTTGGGGGAGGTGCTGATGGGAGCAGCTGGGCTCAGCTGGAGAAGAGCAGAGGCCGTGACTGGCTGAGGAAATGTTTCCCAGGAAGCCTGTGAATGAAACAGGAAGGAAGGGCATCCTTGTCCTAAAGTGGGCTGCTAGAGGCAGAAACACATGAAGACAGTGGCGGTAATCCAGCACCAGCACTCTTCCTCTCACATGCCTGCCTCCTCTGTCCTCCCAGAGGAGGGCTGGGGCCTCCTGGCTATCCTGGCTGAGGAGCAGACGCTCTGCCTCTTTCCTACCCTGGAGCAGCCTGGAGGCCTCATAGTGCCCTGGGCCCTGACTGCTCCACTCCCAGACGGCGTGGTTCCCCACAGTCCAGGAGTGTGGTCCGGGCCCCCAGGCAAGACAGCCTCTGCAGTGGTGAGTGCTGCCACCTCCCTCCTCCATGGTGGCTCCTCTGTCATGGCCTCCCTCAAAGCTAAGGCTGTCTGGGTGAAGCGAGGCTTGCCAACTGAAGCCGCATTCTTGGAAACCCAGCTTTCCTGCCTGTCCTTCCATGGCATCTCAGACTCTCCTGTGGTGTTGGCAAGGAAGAGAGGTATCATGGACAGGTAGTACTTTGCTGCACCCCAAGCCCAGCACACTGTTCATCTGGCTTGCTCTCCAGGACCTGTCCACACTACTCAGCAGAACCTACGAGGCCTTTCACAGTCTGACCTGTTTCCTGCTTTCCTATACCCACGACCAAGGTATATGGCAGCATCAGCCATCCTGCACACACCGGCCTCTTTCAGGCTTCTTTGCTTTGGCTTATGCTGTTCCTTCTGCCTGGATTTCACTTCTACTCAAATTCACATGCAGACTTTAAGACCTGCTCAAATATCATATTCTCTCTGAAACTTCAGGGACCGACTTTCTTCTGGGTGTCACAGCACTTGGCCCATGTTCCCGTTACATGCGTGATCCCATCATAGGCACTTCCTTGCCCAGTCCACGGGTTTTTGAGAACCGCTACTGATGTTGTTACCTCCACAGCCCAAGCATTTACCCAACAGAAGCCAGGTACATAGATAGTTTTTAGTTTGTGTTTGCAGAATAAATAAAAACATACTTTCAGCAATCAAAAACCCCAACAGCAAAACTTCTTGTTCAAAAGAAATGAAGGTCTACAGGTGTAATTTCAAATGATGTGATCGCTAAGTGGGGTTATGTTTGGGTGGTGTTGATGGTGGCTTTCTAAGGGTTCTTCAAGTCATATCAGAGGGGGCAGAGTTCTCTTTCTGCCCCCTGATATCTGGCCTATTTCTGGCTGTGCCACCTCATGGCCTGAGGCAGGAACCCCAGCTGGCTAATGCCCCTGAGTGTCTGCTCCTCTCCAGCTGTTTCTGATGCTAGGCAAGACACGTTCTGCCAGTGAGCAACAGAAACATATGGCAGGGCTCTGGGAAAGATGGCTCCACTTACAGCTATGTGCACTCCAAGATGAGCTCCCATGCAGGTCTCCTGGTGAGTGGGATGTCTGCTAACAGAATCAATGGCCTTGTAGCTCCAAAAGACCTGCAAGATGAATGCTCTACCAGTGGAGGAGCAAGGGTCTATGCTAGGGGGCCAAGCAGCCACGGCACCAAGGATGAACACAGCTGCTGCCCAGGGAGGGTGCAGCCTGGGAAGCTCTGCTGAGCCTCTGCTCCTGCCATCTTGTTGGATCTGTTTCCTCTGCCTTCAATGGAGCTATTCTTCAGGGTTCTGCTCTAGACCCTCCTCAGCCTCACCCTGACTCCGGATACCGCAGGGTGATCCTGTCCTCCCACAGCCCCCAGGACCACCTAAGTGATGGCAACTCTAAAATCTGAACCTGCAGCTCAGGCCTTTCTGGGGCTCCCTGCCGCAAGGCAGACACCCCACAAGCAGGTGTCCCCGATGCTCCAAGTGAGCCCCTCGTATGCCTGTGTTCCCTCTCGGTGAGGCACATCAGCATGACTGTCCACTGCACTCTCTAAGCCAGAGCCCAGGCATCACTGTGACTCTTCACTCTTTCTCACCAACCATGTCCTGTCCTTATGGCATTGCTCACAGAAAGCTCTTCCACAGTGCGCTGCATCCTTAAGATGACTCACAAAGCACTCTCTCTCTTTCTAAAACCATATTTCTGTTTATTTCTTCAACCAGTTTCTTGCCAGTAATTCCTCGTGTTTCAAATGGAATTCTAGTAAAATACCAACCTCTTTCTCATCACCCCATACATTCAGCTCAAAACTCAGTGAGGGCAGAGATTTCATCTCTTTTTGAAATGGTTTTGTTCTCAGAATCAAGCCCAGTGTGTAACACAGTAAGTATGTGTTGATCAAACAAAGGATGTAGTATAGTAAGGAACTACTCCCCTGGTGACAGTCACTGCTCCTCATTGCCCTCCCAATAAAGTCCAGGCTCCTCAGTCTGGTAGGAAAGGCCACTTTTCCACAACCCACTAACCCTGTCCTGTCACCCCATGCATCCTTCATGCCCCCAGTTGTATGTGTGGGCTGTGAGGATGAAAGAGTGACTCACCCTCACCTCCACAGCCCCTGTCTAGCACTCGGGCAGTAGAGTCCTATCCATGACCCAGAGTCCATTTATATGCAGACCTGGGGGTCTATCAGCACCAAGCCATGGCTATAAAACTGGTCAGCTCTCTCCAATGGGCTATAGCTCCAGAAACATCCTTTCAAAGCAGTTCTGGCAATAAACATTGCCTGGAGAGTTCTTAAAACCAGACTGCTGTGTTTTGTCCCAGAGTTTCTGATTCAGTAAGTCTGGAGTGGGGTGCAGACTGACTTACAAGAATGAATTACTTACTGACATTCTCACGAGAATGTGCAGGTCTAACAAGTTCCCAGGTGATGCTGATGCTGATGAGCTGAGAATGGTTTTTACATTTTCAAAGGATTGTAACATTAAAAAAAATAGGAATATAAAATAGAGACTATCTGTGGCCTTCAAAATCTAAAATATTTACAGGAAGTATCTGCTGAGCCCTGGACCCTTGCTACTCAAAATGAAGCTTTACTTTTTCAATTTTATCCTCCCAAAAAAAGTGGGAAAGAGTGGAGCTTCCAAAAGACACTAATGCCTGGGTCCACCACCCAAGAGATTCCTGGGTAACTCACTTGGCACAGGTCCTTGGCATCAACATTTTACAAATGTCCCTCCTTAATTCTGATGTGCAACCAGGTTCAAGAATGGCCAATTTAGACCATATATCTGCCTCAGGAAAAAAAAAAAAAAAGCCTGCTGCTCCTCAACCTTACTGGTGAGTAGAGGATGAGCCTGAACAAATGTGAAGGAGCATTTCTGCAACTTACAACTCATTTTAAAAAGCTGAACTACTCTTTTGTGAAGGTTATTAAAACCCAAGCATAAGTCTGTATTTGCTCCTCTCACCTGTCCCCTCCTAAGTGATTATAAATCAGTAAGAATCAAAAAGCAACCCCAAACAAACCCACCAAGGGTCAAGTGCAACTGTGCCAGGTGGTCTGAAGTAGGGCCAGAACAGCCAGAGATGGATCAGTAGAAGGCGAAGGAGAGGTCTTCCCTACAGGTGGCTGAGAGGTGACAGGGCAAAGTGCAGAGAGCTCAGGGAAGGGGGAGAGGTGGAGGACTGAGGATGGTAGTGGTATCGAGGTGTCTGAAGAAACACCAAAAATGCCTTTAGCTTCATCACGAGCCCAACACTTCTTGGCAGTGTTGGCAGCTAGAGCTGCCCTCCTTGCTGGAGATTGGAGGGCCTCATCTCAGCCCCTCCTGAGACAGGGCTGTGTGTGCTCCCATACCTGTGCTTTCCTCCTGCCTGAAGCCACAGATCTGACAGATGCTCTGGACCCACTCATTCATGTCCTCCCTGGTCTCAGCCACCAGGTAAAAGGTACGCTCACTGGTCTTGATGTCAAACATATAGCCCTTCTGAATCTCCTTCTTGTTGAAGTTCAGAGTCACATCAACATCCAGCTGCTCACAGAGGTTCAGGTTGATGGTGCGCAGGGGCTTCTTGGAGCCATCATTCTTGTAGTATTCCAGAACATCTGGGTCACTGCTAGTCTGGCCCCTCCGCAGGATAAACCAGCGTTTCCTCCAGGCCTAAGGAAGGAGTAAGAAGAGGGGAAGCATGCATTTGTTATTACAAAGCTTTTAACAGGTCTGAGACATCACTAAGTTAAGGATGGGACTCGGACCTGCACTCAGCCTATGTCTCCCTTTCGGATTTCCCCAGTTTCAAAGGTGGAGAGTGACTTTGAATGCATTTTACTGCAGCATCTCACTATGTCAACAGAGTCTCATCACTACAAAATAAGATGTGCATTTCCACACTTTAGAGCAGGAGGTTGGGTGAGGACACTTTATAGCAACAATTTCATTAGCCTAGAACACTGACCTCAATGCATAGCACTTTTAGACAGAGTAGAACTCTCAAAGCCACAACACCTTAGTTTATAGATGGGGACCTCCACTAAGCATGGTGAGTTGAAGCAACAATGTCAGAAGCAGAAGCAGTAGCAGTAAACAAGTAGCAGAAAAACATGTTTCCCAACTTTTAGTAAAATGTGCTTTTTACCATATCATGATGCTTTAGAAGAGTCACAGAGAAACCCTTCTAAAACTTCTCTGAAGCACAGGACTTCAGGATGCTTCTTTTTTAAGGGACACAGTCTTACTCTGTCACTCAGGCTGGAGTGCAATGGTGGCACAGTCACAGCTCACTGCAGCCTCTAATTCCTGAGCTTAGGTAATCATCCCACTTCAGCCTCCTAAGTAGCTGGGACTAGAGCATACACCACCATACCTAGCTAATTCTTTAATATATTTTTTTGCAGAGATGGGGTCTCACTATGTTGCCTAGGCTCATCTTCAACTCCTGGCCTCATATGATCCTCCTGCTTCCGCCTCCCAAAGCACTGAGAGACCTTTTTTCTATCTTGTTCACTGCTATATCCCTAGTACTTATAATAGTATTACTGATCAGATAAACTCCTTATACTGCTCCATCCCATAGAATTGAATGCATTATTACATTTTGTCTTAGGCTGTCTTCTACCTTCCACCTCTTCAACAAGACTGAGTGATCCATGAGCAGACACCACACACAGGGATAAAAGACTACCCATGGTAGAGAACTGTGGATGAGTCTATGCTTCTCCACTGACTCCAGGTGTGACTTTCCAGTAAGCCATTTACCTCTTTGGAGCTTGTCTCGGCTATTGGAATCACCACCACCACCACCTGCCCTAAGTACCTCATAGTTTTATTATGCAAACAAACTCGAACCACTTGCTATACAACCCTGAAGGACTACAGATGCCAAGCATTGGGTTATTATCACAACTCTTTAGAACCCAAGAGAGTCCTACACTCTAGGACTCCTACCACCTTTTCCCACTCACCTTTTACCCCTGTTATTTTCCCCCTTATCAAACTTCCTTTCCATGGCTCTATTATAATCATACCTTTGCTTCTTTCTCCATTCCTCTTATTTATCTGGCAAAACCACAGCCCCTGGCTAAGCCTAATGCTTTGCCTACTCCACCTGTTCCCATTCAGCTGTGAACAGCTGGAGAGAAATACACAACCATGCTGCCTGGTCTCACTGTAACTTCAAGGGGCCCTCATGTGGCCCAATGTCCTACCATATTTACCTAGTTCATGGTTTTCTCCTAGTGTTTTGCAACAATTTCTCAACTTCTCTCCCTTTAAACCTCCAACACCCTTATTTCTTTGTTTCTTATTCCATGAGAAAATATAAGCAATGAAAAGAGAATCTGCACCTGATCCGCCTCCACACCCACCAGCCTGCCTGTGCCTATAGCCCTGGACCTTGTCACTGGGGAACACAGAGAGTTCATCCATTCTAAGGCCAACCTTCTTGCATTTGTGAACACCCTCTCGCTCACAAACGGACATCACTTCAACAGTTCTCCACCTCTACTAGGATCATTCCCATCAAGACACAAATTTCTCCCATCTTAGAAAAAAAAAATTAGAAATTTGGTTTCAGCCTGCATTCTCTTCCAACTATGGCCCAGTTTTTCTACCCTCTTTACCTTAAAACTCTGAAGAGTTTCCTCATTGCTAATCTTCATTTCCTCCTCTCCTGTTTTGTGAAATCACTCTAATCAGGCTGTTCCCCTTCTGCACCACTAAAATGACTCATGGAAGGTCCCAAAGACTTCATTGCTGCTATATCAACTCCTGGGCCTCACTTAATCTCCCAGCATAAACCGTACCCAATAAGCCTTGGATTGAAAAAGATTGAAGACTGAGGCATAGCCAGACAGGATAGAGCTGAGGAACATAAAAATAAGTGCTACTTATTTACAGTCACCTGAAGTATTGCCGAGGCTGCTGCCTTCACGATTCTGTGTGTACATGGTGCAGGTGTTATGTATATACATGTAGTGTGAGCATAGCAGGTGTACTGTTACTACTCTAGCTGGTGTTTACTCTCATATATTGTAAGGGTTTTTATGCTACTGCATTATTTCAATTTTGTGTAAATTATGCAGCCGTATTTCCATATATTAAGTTTATATGTTCACCCTAAATTCTGTGATCTTGCTATATTCACCTAGCTCTGGGAGGGTTTTTTGAAGTAGATTTCTTAGAAGTTCCTGTATATCCAATCATGTCTTTTGAGAATAAAGACAACTTTACTTCATCTTTTACAATCTGTATGACTTCCATTTCTTTTTAATGCTTGTTACACTGACTAGACCCTTTGGTACAACACTGCATAAAAGTCATACGCACAGACATCCTTGCTTTGTTCATGATCTTAGGGTAAAACGTTCAGTATTTTATGATTAAGAATGTTGTTAGCTGTAGGTTTTTCACAGATACGACTAATTTTCTATGGTTTGTTGAAATTTGGTCAAATACTTTTTTGCATCTATTCAGATGAGCAGGTGATTTTTCTTCTTTATTCTCTTAATGTGATGAATTGCACTGGCCTGTTTTTAAACGTTAAGCCAACTTTGCATTCATCCTATAAACGCCTTGGTCATAAAGTGGCAGAGCAAGACTTCAAGCCCAGCAGCCTGGTTTCACGGGCTCTGCTTGTTCTCTCACCAATATTGCTTTACGTGTAGAATTTGGGCTGAGGGTAGAGGAGAGGGAACAGTGATGAGGATGACTCTGCAAAGATAGTTGGGCGGATAATGGAATACGGTTTCCCAAATCTGTAAGCAGATCCTTGAAAGCTGTGGATTGCTCGGCTCCAGTCTTCATCCTCCCAACACTTTCTTCCAGTGCCTGTAATTTACTGGAAATCCTTCTGCATCCATGTTGTGTATCAATATCATTACACTTAAACGTTCTGCCTGTGGCTTTGAAGAGCACAGCGTATCTCCCAGCACAGCACCTGAGCTCTGCTAAGGGACAGACTGCCTCCTCAAGTGGGTCCCTGACCCCTGTCCCTCCTGACTAGGAGACATCTCCCAGCAGGGGTTGACAGACAACTCATACAGGAGAGCTCCAGCTGGCATCTGGCAGGTGCCCCTCTGGGATGACGCTTCCAGAGGAAGGAGCAGGCAGCAATCTTTGCTGTTCTGCAGCCTCCACTGGTGATACACAGGCAAACAGTGTCTGGAGTGGACTTCCAGCAAACTCCAGCAGACCTGCAGAAGAGGAGCCTGTCAGAAGGAAAACTAACAAACAGAAAGCAATAGCACCAACATCAACAAAAAGGACACCCACGCAAAAACCCCATCCAAAGATCACCAACATCAAAGACCAAAAACAGACAAATTCACAAAGATGAGGAAAAACCAGGGCAAAAAGGCTGAAAATTCCAAAATCCAGAATGCCTCTTCTCCAAAAGATCACAACTCCTTGCCAGCAAGAGAACAAAATTGGATGGAGAATGAGTTTGACAAACTGACAGAAGTAGGCTTCAGAAGATGGGTAAAAACAAACTCCTCTGAGCTAAAGGAGCATGGTCTAACCCAATGCAAGGAAGCTAAGAACCTTGATAAATGGTTACAGGAACTGCTAACTAGGATAACCAGTTTAGAGAAGAACATAAATGACTTCATGAAGCCGAAAGAGACAGTACGAGAACCTTGTGAAAAATAAACAAGTATCAATAGCCGAATTGATCAAGCAGAAGACAGGATATCAGAGATTGAAGATTAACTTAATGAAATAAAGCATGAAGACAAGATTAGAGAAAAAAAAACTTAAGGAATGAACAAAGCCTCAAAGAAATATGGGACTATGTGAAAAGGTCAAATCTATGTTTGATTGGTATATGTGAAAATGACAGGGAGAATGGAACCAAATTGGAAAACATTCTTAAGGATATTATCCAGGAGAACTTCCCCAACCAAGCAAGACAAGCCAACATTCAAATTCAAGAAATACAAAGACCACCACCATGATACTCCTCGAGAAAAGCAACCCCAAGACACGTAATTGTCAGATTGACAAAGGTTGAAATGAAGGGAAAAAATGGTAAGGGCAGCCAGAGAGAAAGGTCGGGCTACCCACAAAGAGAAGCCCATCAGACTAAGAGCAGATCTCTCTGCAGAAACCTTACAAGCCAAAAGAGAGTGAGGGCCAATATTCAACATTCTTTTTTATTATTATTATACTTTAAGTTCTATGGTACATGCGCAAAACGTGCAGGTTTGTTACATATGTAAACATGTGCCATGTTGGTGTGCTGCATCCGTTAACTCACCATTTACATTATGTGTATCTCCTAATGATATCCCTCCCCCCTCCCTCCACCCCACAACAGGCCCTGGTGTGTGATGTTCCCCAACCTGTGTCCAAGTGTTCTCATTGTTCAATTCCCACCTATGAGTGAGAACATGCGGTGTTTGGTTTTCTGTCCTTGCAATAGTTTGCTGAGAATGATGGATTCCAGCTTCATCCATGGCCCTACAAAGGACATGAACTCATCATTTTTTATGGCTGCATAGTATTCCATGGTGTATATGTGCCACATTTTCTTCATCCAGTCTGGTTGGTTCCAAGTCTTTGCTATTGTGAATAGTGCCGCAATAAACATACGTGTGCATGTGTCTTTATAGTACAATGATTTATAATCCTTTGGGTATATACCCAGTAATGGGATTGCTGGGTCAAATGGTATTTCTAGTTCTAGATCCTTGAGGAGTCGCCACACTGTCTTCCACAATGGTTGAAATAGTTTACACTCCCACCAACAGTGTAAAAGCCTTCCTATTTCTCCACATCCTCTCCAGCACCTGTTGTTTCCTGACTTTTTAATGACTGCCATTCTAACTGGTATGAGATGGTATCTCCTTGTGGTTTTGATTTGCATTTCTCTGATGGCCAGTGATGATGAGCATTTTTTCATGTGTCTGTTGGCTGCATAAATGTCTTCTTCTGATAAGTGTCTGTTCATATCCTTTGCCCACTTTTTGATGGTGTTGATTTTTTCTTGTAAATTTGTTTAAGTTCTTTGTAGATTCTGGATATTAGCCCTTTGTCAGATGGGTAGATTGTAAAAATTTTCTCCCATTCTGTAGGTTGCCTGTTCACTCTGATGGTAGTTTCTCTTGCTGTGCAGAAGTTCTTTAGTTTAATTAGATCCCATTTGGCTATTTTGGCTTTTGTTGTCATTACTTTGGTGTTTTAATTATGAAGTCCTTGCCCTTGCCCATGCCTATGTCCTGAATGGGATTGCCTAGGTTTTCTTCTAGGGTTTTTATGGTTTTAGGTCTAACATTTAAGTTTTTAATCCATCTTGAATTAATTTTTGTATAAGGTACAAGGAAGGGATCCAGTTTCAGCTTTCTACATATGGCTAGCCAGTTTTCCCAGCACCATTTATTAAATAGGGAATCCTTTCCCCATTTCTTGTTTTTCTCAGGTTTGTCAAAGATCAGATGGTTGTAAATGTGTGGTATTATTTCTGAGGGCTCTGTTCTGTTCCATTGGTCTATATCTCTGTTTTGGTACCAGTACCATGCTGTTTTGTTTACTGTAGCCTTGTAGTATAGTTTGAAGTCAGGTAGCGTGATGCCTCCAGCTTTGTTCTTTTGGCTTAGGATTGTCTTAGCAATGCAGCTCTTTTTTGGTTCCATATGAACTTTAAAGTAGTTTTTTCCAATTCTGTGAAGAAAGTCATTGGTAGCTTGATGGGGATGGCACTGAATCTATAAATTACCTTGGGCAGTGTGGCCATTTTCACAATATTGATTCTTCCTACCCATGAGCATGGAATGTTCTTCCATTTGTTTGTGTCCTCTTTTATTTTGCTGAGCAGTGTTCTGTAGTTCTCCTGGAAGAGGTCCTTCCTATCCCTTGTAAGTTGGATTCCTAGGTATTTTATTCTCTTTGAAGCAATTGTGAATGGGAGTTCACTCTTGATTTGGCTCTCTGTTTGTCTGTTATTGGTGTAGAGGAATGCTTGTGATTTTTGCACATTGATTTTGTATCCTAAGACTTGGCTGAAGTTGCTTATCAGCTTAAGGAGATTTTGGGCTGAGACGATGGGGTTTTCTAAATATACAGTTATGTCATCTGCAAACAGGGACAATTTGATTTCCTCTTTTTCTAATTGAATACCCTTTATTTCTTTCTCTTGCCTGACTGTGCTGGCCAGAACTTCCAATGCTATGTTGAATAGGAGTGGTGAGAGAGGGCATCCCTGTCTTGTGCCAGTTTTCAAAGGGAATGCTTCCAGTTTTTGCCCATTCAGTATGATATTGGCTGTCGGTTTGTCATAAATAGCTCTTATTAATTTGAGATACATCCCATCTAGTTCATTGAGAGTTTTTAGCATGAAGGGCTGTTGAATTTTGTCGAAGGCCTTTTCTGCATCTATTGAGATAATCACGTGGTTTTTGTCTCTGGTTCTCTTTACATGATGGATTACATTTATTGATGTGTGTATGTTGAACCAGCCTTGCATCCCAGGGATGAAGCCAACTTGATCGTGGTGAATAAGCGTTTTGATCTGCTGCTGGGTTCGGTTTGCCACTATTTTATTGAGCATTTTTGCATTGATGTTCATCAGGGATATTGGTCTAAAATTCTCTTTTTTTGTTGTGTCTCTGCCAGGCTTTGGTAACAGGATGATGTTGGCTTCATAAAACGAATTAGGGAGGATTCCCTCTTTTTCTATTGATTGGAATAGTTTCAGAAGGAATGGTACCAGCTCCTCTTGGTACCTCTGATAGAATTCGGCTGTGAATCCATCTGGTCCTGGACTTTCTTTGGTTGGTAGGCTATTAACTATAGCCTCAATTTCAGAACCTGTTATTGGTCTATTCAGGGATTCAACTTCTTCCTGGTTTAGTCTTGGGAGGGTGCATGTGTCCAGGAATTTATCCATTTCTTCTAGATTTTCTAGTTTATTTGCATAAAGGTGTTTATAGTATTCTCTGGTGGTAGTTTGTATTTCTGTGGGATTGGTGGTGATATCCCCTTTATCACTTTTTATTGCATCTATTTGATTCTTCTCTCTTTTCTTCTTTATTAGTCTTGCTAGAGGTCTTTCAATTCTGTTGATCTTTTCAAAAAACCAGCTCCTGGATTAATTGATTTTTTGAAGGGTTTTTGGTGTCTCTATCTCCTTCAGTTCTGCTCTGATCTTAGTCATTTCTTGCCTTCTGCTAGCTTTGGAATGTGTTTGCTCTTGCTTGTCTAGTTCTTTTAATTGTGATATTAGGGTGTTGATTTTAGATCTTTCCTGCTTTCTCTTGTGGGCATTTAGTGCTATAAATTTCCCTCTACACACTGCTTTGAATGTGTCCCAGAGCTTCTGGTATGTTGTGCCTTTGTTCTCATTGGTTTCAAAGAACATCTTTATTTCTGCCTTCTTTTTGTTATGTACCCAGTAGTCACTCAGGAGCAGGTTGTTCAGTTTCCATATAGTTGAGCGGGTTTGAGTGAGTTTCTTAATCCTGAGTACTAGTTTGATTGCACTGTGGTCTGAGACATGGTTTGTTATCATTTCTGTTTTTCTACATTGGCTGAGGAGTGCTTTACTTCCAACGATGTGGTCAATTTTGGAATAAGTGTGATGTGGTGCTTAGAAGAGTGTATATTCTGTTGATTTGGGGTGGAGAGTTCTGTAGATGTCTATTAGGTCTGCTTGGCGTAGAGCTGAGTTCAATTCCTGGATACCTTTGTTAATTTTCTGTCTTGTTGATCTGTCTAATGTTGACAGTGGGGTGTTAAAGTCTCCAATTATTATTGTGTGGGAGTCTAAGTCTCTTTCTAGGTCTCTAAGTATAGGCTTTATGAATCTGGGTGCTCCTGTATTGGGTGCATGTATATTTAGGATAGTTAGCTCTTCTTGTTGAATTGATCCCTTTACCATTATGTAATGGCCTTGTCTCTTTTGATCTTTGTTGGTTTAAAGTCTGTTTTATCAGAGACTAGGATTGCAACCCCTGCTTTTTTTTTGTTTTCTATTTGCTTCGTAGATCTTCCTCCATCCCTTTATTTTGAGCCTATGTGTGTCTCTGCACGTGAGATGGGTCTCCTGAAAACAGCACACTGATGGGTCTTGACTCTTTATCCAATTTGCCAGTCTGTGTCTTTTAATTGGAGCATTTAGCCCATTTACGTTTAAGGTTAATATTGTTATGTGTGAATTTGATCCTGTCATTATGATGTTAGCTGGTTATTTTGCTCGTTAGTTGATGCAGTTTCTTCCTAGCATCAAGGGTCTTTACAATTTGGGATGTTTTTGCAGTGGCTGTGCAAAGGTTGTCCTTTCCATGTTTAGTGCTTCCTTCAGGAGCTCTTGTAAGGAAGGCCTGGTGGTGACAAAATCACTCAGCATTTTTTTGTCTGTAAAGGATTTTATTTCTCCTTCACTTATGAAGCTTAGTTTGGCTGGATATGAAATTCTGGGTTGAAAATTCTTTTCTTTAAGAATGTTGAATATTGGCCTCCACTCTCTTCTGGCTTGTAGAGTTTCAGCCGAGAGATCAGCTGTTAGTCTGATGGGCTTCCCTTTGTGGGTAATCTGACCTTTCTCTCTGGCTGACTTCAACATTTTTTCTTTCATTTCAACTTTGGTGAATCTGACAATTATGTGTCTTGGAGTTGCTCTTCTCGAAGATTATCTTTGCAGCATTCTCTGTATTTCCTGAATTTGAATTTTGGCCTGCCTTGCTAGGTTGGGGAAATTCTCCTGGATAATATCCTGCAGAGTGTTTTCCAACTTGGTTCCATTCTGCCCGTCACTTTCAGGTACACCAATCAGACGTAGATTTGGTCTTTTCACATAGTCCCATGTTTCTTGGATGCTTTGTTTGTTTCTTTTTACTCTTTTTTCTCTAAACTTCTCTTCTCGCTTCATTTCATTCATTTGATCTTCAATCACTGATGCCTTCTTCCTCTTGATCAAATTGGCTACTGAAGCTTGTGCATGTGTCATGTAGTTCTCGTGCCATGATTTTCAGCTCCATCAGGTCATTTAAGGACTTCTCTATACTGTTTATTCTAGTTAGCTATTTGCATAATCTTTTTTCAAGATTTTTAGCTTCTTTGCGATGGGTTCAAATATCCTCCTTTAGCTCGGAGAAGTTCATTATTACTGATCGTCTGAAGCCTTCTTCTGTCAACTCGTCAAAGTCATTCTCTGTCCAGCTTTGCTCCGTTGCTGTAGATGAGCTGCTTTCCTTCGGAGGAGAAGAGGCGCTCTGATTTTCAGAATTTTCAGCTTTTCCCTGCCCCTAGAGGTGGAGTCTACAGAGGCAGGTAGGCCTCCTTGAACTGAGGTGGATTCTACCCAGTTCGAGCTTCCAGGCCACTTTGTTTACCTACTCAAGCCTCAGCAATGGTGGGTGCCCCTCCCTCAGCCTGGCTGCAGCCTCGCAGTTTGATCTCAGACTGCTGTGCTAGCAGTGAGCGAGACTCCATGGGCATGGGACCCCCCGAGCCAGGTGTGGGATATATTCTCCTGGTGTGCTGTTTGTTAGGGCCATTGGAAAAGTGCAGTATTAGGGTGGGAGTGTCCCGATTTTCCAGGTACCATCTGTTATGGCTTCCCTTTGCCAGGAAAGGGAATTCCCTGACCCCTTGTGCTTCCCGGGTGAGGCAATGCCCCACCCTGCTCCGTGGGCTGCACCCACTGTCTGACAAGCCCCTGTGAGATGAACCCAGTGCCTCAGTTGGAAATGCAGAAATAACCCATCTTCTGCATTGCTCATGCTGGGAGCTGTAGACTGGAGCTGTTCCTATTTGGCCATCTTGGAACCTCCGTTTTCAACATTCTTAAAGAAAAGAATTTTCAACCCATAATTTCATATCCAGCCAAACAAAGGTTCATAAGCGAAGGAGAAATAAAATCCTTTACAGACCAGCAAATGCTAAGGGATTCTGTCACCACCAGGCCTGCCTTACAAGAGCTCCTGAGGAAGCACTAAATATGCAAAGGAAAAACTGGTACCAGCAACTGCAAAAACATACCAAAATGTAAAGACCACCGACAGGATGAAGATACTGCACCAACAGGCAAAATAACCAGCTAGCATCATAATGACAGGATCAAATTCACACATAACAATATTAACCTTATGTTCTCACTCATAGGTGGGAATTGAACAATGAGAACACATGGTCACAGGAAGGGGAACATCACACACTGGGGCCTGTTGTTGGGGGCGAGGGGGGAGGGATAGCATTAGGAGATATACCTAATGTTAAATGACGAGTTAATGGGTGCAGCACACCAACATGGCACACGTATACATATGTAACAGACCTGTACATTGTGCACACGTACCCAAAAACTTAAAGTATAATTTAAAAAAATTAACCTTAAATGTAAATGGGCTAAATGCCCCAATTAAAAGACACAGACTGGCAAATTGGATAGAGTCAAGATGCATCAGTATGCTGTATTCAGGAGACCCATCTGATGTGCAAAGACACACATAGGCTCAAAATAAAGGGATGGAAGAATATTTACCAAGCAAATGGAAACCAAAAGAAAGCAGGGTTTGCACTCCTAGTCTCTGATAAAACACACTTTAAACCAACAAACATCAAAAACGAAAAGAAGGGCATTAAATAATGGTAAAGGGATCAATGCAACAAGAAGAGCTAACTACCCTAAATATATATGCACCCAAGACAGGGGCACCCAGATTCATAAGCAAGTTCTTAGTGACCTAGAAAGAGACTTAGACTCCCACACAGTAATAGTGGGAGACTTTAACACCCCACTGTCAATATTAGGCAGATTAACAAGACAGAAATGAAACAAGGATATTCAGAACCTGAACTCAGCTCTGGACCAAGTGGACCTAATAGACATCTACAGAGCTCCCCACCCCAAATCAACAGAATATACATTCTTCTGAGCACCACATAGCACTCACTTATTCTAAAATTGACTACAAAATTGGAAGTAAAACACTCCTCAGCAAATGTAAATGAATGGAAATCTTAACAGTTTCTTAGACCCCAGTACAATCAAATTAGAACTCAGGATTAAGAAACTCACTCAAAAATGCACAACTACATGGAAACTGAAAAACCTGCTCCTGAATGATTACTGGGTAAATAACAAAATCAAGGAAGAAATAAAGATTTTTTTTAAACCAATGAAAACAAAGACACAATGTACCACAATCTCTGGGACACAGCTAAAGCAGTGTTTAGAGGGAAATGTATAGCACTAAATGCCCACAAGAGAAAGCAGGAAAGATCTAAAATTGACACCCTAACATCAAAATTAAAAGAACTAGAGAAGCAAGAGCAAACAAATTCAAAAGCTAGCAGAACACAAACTAAGATCAGAGCAGAGCTAAAGGAGATAGAGACACAAAAAAACCCTTCAAAAAATCAGTAAGTTTAGGAGCTGTTTTTTAAAAAATTAGATAGACCGCTAGCCAGACTAATAAAGAATCAAATAGACACAACAAAGAAGAATCAAATAGACACAACAAAAAATGATAGAGGGGTATCACCGCTGATCCCACAGAAATACAAACTACCATCAGAGAATACTATAAACACCTCTATGCAAATAAACTAGGAAATTCATAAGAAATGGATAAATTCCTGGACACATACACCCTCCCAAGACTAAACCAGGAAGAAGTCAAATCTCTGAATAAACCAATAATAAATTCTGAAATTGAAGCAATAATTAATAGCCTATCAACAACAACAAGAAAAGCCCAGGACCAGACCGATTCACAGCCGATTTCTACCAGAGGTACAAAAACGAGCTGGTACCATTCCTTCTGAAACTATTCCAAACAATGCAAAAAGAGGGACTCCTCCCTAACTCATTTTATGAGGCCAGCATCATCCTGATACAAAACCCTAGCAGAGACACAACAAAAAAATAAAATTTCAGGCCAATATCCCTAATGAACATCAATGCAAAAACCCTCAATAAAATACTGGCAAACCGAACCCAGGCACATCAAAAAGCTTATCAATCACGATCAAGTCGACTTCATTCCTGGGATGCAAGGCTGGTTCAACATATGCAAATCAATAAACGTAATCCATCACACAAAAAGAACCAATGACAAAAACCACATGATTATCTCAATAGATGCAGAAAAGGCCTTCCATAAAATTCAACACCCCGTTCGTGCTAAAAACTCTCAATAAACTAAGTATTGATGGAACGTATCTCAAAATAATAAGTTATTTATGACAAACAATCAATAAACGTAATCCGTCACATAAAAAGAACCAATGACAAAAACCACATGATTATCTCAATAGATGCAGAACAGGCCTTCGATAAAATTCAACACCCCTTCGTGCTAAAAACTCTCAATTAACTAAGTATTGATGGAACATATCTCAAAATAATACGTTATTTATGACAAACCCACAGCTAATATCATACTGAATGGGCAAAAGCTAGAAGGATTCCCTTTGAAAACCGGCACAAGACAAGGATGCCCTCTCTCACCACTCCTATTCAACATAGTATTGGAAGTTCTGGCCAGGACAATCAGGCAAGAGAAAGAAATAAACGGTATTCAAACAGGAAGAGAGGAAGTTAAATTGTCTCTGTTTGCAGATGACATGATTGTATATTTAGAAAACCCCATCATCTCAGCCCAAAAACTCCTGAAGCTGGTAAGCAACTTCAGTAAAGTCTCAGGATACAAAATCCATGTGCAAAAATCACAAGCATTCCTATACACCAATAATAGACAAATAGAGAGCCAAATCATGAGTGAACTCCCATTCACAATTGCTACCAAAAGAATAAAATACCTAGGAATACAACCTACAAGAGATGTGAAGGACTTCTTCAAGAAGAACTACAAACCACTGCTCAAGGAAATAAGAGAGGACACAAACAAATGGAAGAACATTCCATGCTCATGGATAGGAAGAATCAATATTGTGAAAACGGCCATACTGCCCAAAGTAATTTACAGATTCATTGCTATTCCAATCAAGCTACCATTGACTTTCTTCACAGAATTAGAAAAATCCACTTTAAATTTCACATGTAACCAAAAAAGAGCCCGTATAGCCAAGACAATCCTAAGCAAAAATAACAAAGCTGGAAGCATCACACTACCTGACTTCAAACTGTACTACAAGGTTACAGTAACCAAAACATGTTACTGGTACCAAGACAGATATATAGACCAATGGAGCAGAACAGAGGCCTCAGAAATAACACCACACATCTACAACCATCTGATCTTTGACAAACCTGACAAAAACTAGCAATGGGGAAAGGATTCCCTATTTAATAAATGGTGTTGGGAAAACTGGCTAGCCATGGGCAGAAAACTGAAAGTGGACCCCTTCCTTATATCTTATACAAAAATTAACTCAGTTCTGAAGGAGGTCGGGGTCAAGATGGATTAAAGACTTAAACGTAAGACCTAAAACCATAGAAACCTTAGAAGAAAACCTAGGCAATATCATCCAGGACATAGGCATGGGCAAAGACTTCATAACTAAAACATGAAAAGCAATGGTAACAAAAGCCAAAATTGACAAATGGGATCTATTTAAACTAAAGAGCTTCTGCATAGCAAAAGAAACTATCATCAGCGTGAACAGGCAACCTACCGAATGGCAGAAATTTTTTCCAATCTATCCATCTGACAAAGGGCTAATATCCAGAATGTATAAGGAATTTAAACAAATTTACAAGAAAAAAACAACAACACTATCAAGAAGTGGGCAAAGGATATGAACAGACACTTAACAGAAGAAGATATTTATGTGGCCAACAAACATGAAAAAATGCTCATCATCACTGGTCATTAGAGAAATGCAACGAGATACCATCTCACGCCAGTTAGAATGGCCATCATTAAAAAGTCAGGAAACAACAGATGCTGGAGAAGATGTGGAGAAATAGGAATGTTTTTACACTGTTGGTTGGAGTGTAAATTAGTTCAACTATTGTCAAAGACAGTGTGGCGACTCCTCAAGGATCAAGAACTAGAAATACCATTTGACCCAGCCATCCCATTACTGGGTATATACCCAAAGGATTACAAATCATTCTACTATAAAGACAAGTGCACCCGTATGTTTATTGCAGCACTATTCACGACAGCAAAGACTTGGAACCAACCCAAATGCCCATCAATAATAGACTGGATAAAGAAAATATGGCACATATACACTATGGAATATTATGCAGCCATAAAAAAGAATGAGTTCATGTTCTTTACAGGGACATGGATGAAGCTGGAAATCATCATTCTCAGCAAACTTACACTGGAACAGAAAACCAAACACCGCCATGTTCTCACTCATAAGTGGCAGCTGAACAATGAGAACATATGGGCACAGGGACGGGAGCATTACACAATGTGGCCTATTGGGGTTGGGGGGCAAGGGAAGGGATAGCATTACGAGAAATACCTAATGTAGATGATGGGTTGATGGGTGCAGCAAACCACCATGACACGTGTATATGTATGTAACAAACCTCCACGTTCTGCACATGTATCCCAGAACTTAAAGTATAATAAAAAATTGAAAAAAGAAATGGAGAAAGACAAGAACGCAGAATTGATCATACCCCATACCTCAGGGAAGCAGAGGAAAGGGAAGATGACTATAGGATCAGCTTATTCTGGAATAGATTCTTGAAGGGCTGGACCTGGGGCTAAGGAACAGGAGAGAAAAGCCTCTTCTATGTACCTTGGTATAATCATAGTGACTCCTAACAATTACCGCTTCCTCAGTAAAATTGTTGAAATTTAGAACAACACTCTTCAAATTAGCCACTAGGGGAAAGGGCAACCAATCTTCTTTTTTTCTAAATCGTTTAACCACATGAATTAATATATAGAAAACTACACTGCAGTGCACACTGTCCCTCAGCAGGCGTGGTGGCATGGAAGGACGCGAACGACCCCGGGAGTGGCGGGTGAGGAGGGAAGGGGAGCGAGCGGGTGCGAGGTGCCCGCGTTTTCCTGGGGCCCGGGAGGGAAAGGGAGAGGGTGTGAGGTGCCTGCCTTCTCGGGGCTTGGGAGGGAAGGTGAGCAGGTTTAAGGCGCCTGCCTTCCTTGGGGCCTGGGAGGGAAGGAGAGAGGGTGCGAGGTGCCCGCCATTCTCAGGGCCTGGGAGGGAAGGGGAGCGGGTGCGAGGTTCCTGCCGTTTTGCGAGGCTGCGGAGCCTGCTGTGTCCCCTTTCCCGCCCACTCTCCGACCTGCAGGCCCACGGCGCTCAAGGTAATAGGGTCCCCAGCCCTGGAATCAACTCCCTGGGTCTCGGAACGCAACCCACACAAACCTGGACCCTGTCTCTCACTGGCGGGGAGTCGCCTTCGCATGCAGACGTGGAGAAGTCGCCTCCACCCGCAGCTCCTCCCGTGGACCCAGGCCGCCTCCCCCACGCCCCTCCCGGAGTCCCCAGACCCTCCGTGGCGCTCCTGGTACCGCCCCCACTGCCCCACTCACAAAGAGCCTCAGCTTCTTCTCGGGGGGCGACTTCCTCAGCCAGCCGCTGTACAGCACGTGGCCACTTCTCGTGCTTCCGCCGGCGGGGCCACTTCCGGGCCACGAAGACAAAGGCGCAAATGCCGGGTCAGGTGGGCACAGCTCCCGGGAGGGTGAGGGGGACGGCAGGGACATGGGGGCTGCAGCTCACAGTGAAGGTGGGGGAGACAGGGCGAGAGGGCGTTGCTGGAGGTGGGGTGTGAGGGACGGCTTGCGATACCCTGGGACTGCGGGGTAGAAAGCGCAGTTCTAGGGGAGGTCGGGGTCAGAGGTGAAGCTCGTGGGGAGGGCGAGACCCGGGCGCAGGTGCTCACAGGCGAGGGCGGGGTTCAGGTTCCAGCTGGGCTTTGAGTTCCGGTTCAGGCTTCCATCTGTGGTTCCGGTTCCAATTTGAGGTGGAGTTTGGGATTAAAGTTTAGACGAGGCCTCTCGTTCAGGGTTTGCGTTGGGGATTGGGGTGGGGATTTGCACCCTGGGTCAGCCTGGGTGCATCTCATCGGGACCACCGGGGCGGGGGACATGGGCCGGGTGGCTCCTTGGGAGAAGAGGGACAGGGAGCGCAGCTGGTGGAGAGGACAAGAACGAGGGGCGCAGCTCATTCAGAGGGCCACAACAGAGTCTCAGGTGCTGAGTCCCATGCGCCAGATGAGGAAAGACAATGGAAGAGTTCAGGTTCCTGCTGGGGTTTGAGTTCCAGTTCGGGATTCGGCCCATGGTTTACCTTCTGACTTGAGTTGGGGTTTGGGGTCAAGGTTCAGGCTAGGACTTGAGTTCCGGGTTGCAGTTTGGGGGTGGGGTTAGGTTTCAGAGTGAGGGTTTGGGCCTGTTTGTGTTGTGTATGTTTGTGAATGTATTGGGATGTCACCGTGTGTACTTATGTCACGTGTGTGCACGCATCAGTGTGTGCATGTGTGAGTGTTCATTGAGTGTGGCACTGACAGCCAACCCCTCTCCTCCCATTTATGCCCCACTGTCTTATCCTGGTTGGGGTGGGCTTTACAAGTTCCTTCCCTGGGCCAGTTGGAGGTTCTCATGTTGCCTGGGGAGAGAAGGGAAGGAGAGAACAGGTCAAAGATGAGGGCAGCTTGGCCTCAACCAGACCCGGTGTCACGGGGACCAAGAAGCCGGAGGTCCTTGTCTCCTGCCTCTGGAGGAGCTTGGTTTGCTTCTTTGTTCACACATTGTGTGAAAGCACAGTTGGGGGCATCTGATATGCACAGGATCTGTTCTTGCCTCTGCAGATGTCTTAGAGAACAGGACAGACAAGGGGCCTCTTCAGTAAGCCATCCCCAATGTGCACTGCATGTCAGCTTACAAGAGGGGCACAGGGGCCCCATCAGGTAGCAGGGAGGATGCAAGGAAGAGTGTGTGGGGATGGGGGTGCTGGGTGGGGCCAGGTGAGTGGGTGCCTGGCTTCTCCTCAGAGCAAAGGAAAGTGCTGAAGAGTGTGAAACTGTGTGACATGTTATGCTTTATGTTTTGAGAATGGATTGCAGGAACAAGCAGACATGGGGGACCTGATGAGGGCCAATGGGATGTCCATAGAGATAAGATTTGGCTTGAGCTGGTGGGAAAAGTGGAGATGGAGCCACATGGAGGAAATTGCAGAGTCTTGAGACTGAGGAGACATGTGGGTGGATGAGATATGAGTAGTGACCCGACCCTGAGGTGGGGAATGGGGGGACAGCCCCGAGGGGAGGTTGGTGAGGTGTATTTGGACCTATTGGGTTGGAGCCCTAGGCAGCATCCTCATGGGAGGACCACTGGGTCCTGGTCAGGCAGACATGGTGCTCAGGGAGACACTGGATGAGGTGGGAGCCATAGACCCTCTGCTGATGGCAAGAATGGGGTTCCTGGAGGTGCTGGCTCCCTCTGCAGGCTGCAGTCATGGCGAGTCAATTCTAAACTCACCATCACAGCTCACACTGTAAAGGACACATACCTTAGTATAAATCAGTTAGCCAACGAGGCCACAGGGTACCCAGTTGGATCCTGCCCTGAGATGAGAGTAGGTTTGGATGGGGTGAGACGGGAGAGAGGCAGTGGCAGGAATGAGGCAGATAAGGTCTTCCTGGATGGAAGGGAGCTCAGCCCCTGCAGTGACCTCGTACCGACTGGGGCCTCAGCAGGAGCCCCGACCTGGGTCCCCGTGGGCCTCTGACTGTCTTCTCCTGGCCTCAGGGTGGAAAGAACCCTCTTCCAGAATATGTCCTCTCCAGCAACATTCTTCCAGCCCCCTACAGTGCGCACAATGGGAACTTCAGGAGAGTGCAGAGACTGCCACAGGGCATGGAAGGCAGGTGTTGCCCCAAGGTCTAGCCTGCCCAGGATGTTGGCTTTGATGACGGTTGGGGGCCACTGTGGGCGACTTATGAGTGTTCTGAGCCTTTTTGTGTGTGTATACAGTGAATTTAAATTTATCCTCTGTGTCTCAAGTGGACAAAAAAAAACCACTTTATTTTCCATTGATGATTTATTTTTCTTGTGTCTTCCATTCCATGGTTGATGGAAAATATATATAAGTTTCTCATAACTTATCTCTGTTTCCTCTGCTTTGCAGCTATCCGTGCCCACCATGGGTCTCACCTCCTCCTTCTGTGAGTGTCTGTCCGGTGGCTGTCGGGGAGGGTCTCCAGCACTTGTGCTGCCCCTGGGACCCTCACTGACCCTGGGCTCCTGGTCTGCCCACCCCTTCGATTCCCCTGGAGTCACACATTGGCACCAGAGTCAGGAATGGGCTCTGCATTTCCCCCTCTGTGGGCCTCGTCTGGCTCCCACAGCCCATGTATCAGCGAACTACTTGGGGGTCACATAGGACCCTCCCCTCCCTGCTGAGCTGGCAGTTCATGCCCCGTGGGTAGGAGGAAGGGCAGAGGGAGAGCTCCAGGGGTGGGCTCCAGTGTGCTCCCTCAGGCTTCTCACTTTGGGCAAAGGACACAGGGCATGAGGGCCTCTCCCTGCGGTCTGGACCAAGCTGACCTGGGTCTTTACCAGTCAGGAAAATAAAATAACTTTTATCTGAGAAATGCAAGTGCTTTAATTATCAGGCCCAGAAAGAGGCATTAAAATGAGACCACAGTCATGTCCTACTCCCTCACATTGAGCTGTGTATTCATTTCTTGATACTGCTGTTGCCAGAAGTAGCTATGAATTTACCTCATAATGCCACACCAGACGCCATACCCCACACCCTATAGCTTAACAGTGTACGGCCCATCACTAAGCAGTGTTATTGCTATGAACCAACTAAAATTCCTGAGGAATTGTATCTGCCCCTTCCCTGCCCACCTTGTTTTGCCTTTAAAAATCAGCTCATAACTGCTGCTAATTGCAGTGTATATTCAGGATAACTTGAATCTATGCTCCAGAGTTGCAATCCTGAAGTTTGTCTCAAATAAACTCTCTACTAAGATTAACTTTGTCTCAGCTTCTTCCTTGTAGGGTGACACCAGGATCTCCTTTCCTGGTGCTGCAGGGCTTCCCTGGACCCTGTGCAGCAGAGATATCCCCTCCACACAGTATTGCCAGCATATTATGTAGAAAAATCATTTTCCCTTTCAACAGGAAGCCCAGTTCTTAGGATTGTTGTTCAAAAATATAATTTAAAGCTTAAAACTGAGCACTTGGGTCTTGGCAGATTTCCCATCTTTCCTCACAGTGGCAAATGTGACTGTCAAGAGCCTGGGCAGCTGAGGACAAGTCTGAGCGGGGCAGAGGTTGTGATCGTACCCTGGCCTGTGTCATCCCCTTGCAGACACCAGCCCTTCTCTATAGAACCAGGGCATCTGCCAGGGATTATTTAGGCCTTGGGTGAGGGTCTGGCAGGGAGCAGTGCAGTGATGGAGGGTGTGGTGTGTGTGTGGCGTGTTGGATGGATACTTCTGGTCCCACCTAGGGAAGAGCTTCCTTTTGGAAGCAGAGGTCTCCTGTGTCCCCACAGAAGGATTCAGGTCTGCTGGCCTTTCCCAAGCACCTTGAAAGTCACCAGTCTTCGTGTCACCTGTCCGTCATGCTATGTGTGTGTGAGAGAGAGAGACAGAGAAAATTGTTCAGGTGGGGGTACCCAGTCTCTGTAGCTGCTGAAAGGCCCTGGGACACATGCTGCATGCTGCCAAGTGTTTGTTTTTTCCTCAGCACATGTCACCATCTGTACCCTGGTGCAGGCTGCTGTGAGCACCAGGCTCTGTGCTAGGGGAGCAGTGAGGGGACTTGAAGAGACTCAGGGTCCCATGTTGAGGCTGAGCTGGCACATAGTAAGGAAGACAGAATGCTCCTGGCACAGGTGCTGCTTGGCCTCTGGGTGTGGACATCAGGAGGGCTTCTTGGAGGAGGAGGGAGGGCTTGCTGAGGAGGAGGCTGCCACTCCCAGGGTGAGTTCTGATCATGCTGCCTGATCCCTTTCCTCATCCCATACTCTGCTTCTAACCTGGATGGGGGCCCACAGGGCCAGCGTGCAGCTGAGCCAGGACTGTGCCAGCACCTCGCAAGGAGCCTTGGAATTCAGTGTGCGAGAGGCCACTGCAGTACTCACCTGTGACTCAGCATGTCCCTGGAAATCTGTCAGCCTGGAGGAGAGCAGGAGGGCATGGGGACACCTCCTAGGGGCCCCAAGTTTGGAGGATATGCTGCCAGCAGAGTGTGAGGAGTGAGAGGCACCGCTGCCTGCCTACCTGCCACTGGAGGACCAGGCCCCTACATCCCCGACAAGCCTGCTCACCGAGACTGAGTGGGGTAGCAGTGGCTACTATGCCTTGGGCTGCTCTGGAGGGATGCAACCCTTCAGCCCTCTCAGGAAGCACATGGAGCCCTGAACCCATCCCAGCCCTGCCCCATGGCCTGTCACATGACCACTGGGGCTTGGAGACCTAGCGAGGAGGTACCTGGGCGGTGAATGGTCCAAGCTAGAGGCATGGGCTGCACAGGGACATCCAGGGCCCACAATCCCCTCCTGTCTTCACCATGGCTCAGTCCTGAAATTTCTAGGGCCCAGACACAGCCACCTGCATCGTGTCCATCTTAGGGAAGATGGACAAAAGTCTCTGGAGCTGGCCCTTGGCTGGGACAGGACCTCCTGAGAAGGGGCCTCTAGCAGTGGTCAGAAGTCCTGCCTGGATGGAGGCTGGAAGCTCCTCCTTGCCCGACCTGCTCAGCACCTGTGGGGAGGGGCCTCTGCCCTCAGCATCCTGCCCACAGCACCACATTCTCCTGTCCCCTTTCTGGCTTTATCTATAGCCACTCTGAGAAAAGAGGTGTAGTCTCCCAGCCTGTTCTGCTCTTACCCCTTAAAGGGCCAGCATGGGGCCAGTGGACACAGGTGAGACACCATAACCTGGAAGTGGTGACCTCTCCATGCCTTCCTGAGGCACCTTTCGTAGATATTAAAAGGTGCATAATGGCTTTTCCAAAGTGCTGATGCCTGGGAGGAGAGACCAAGGGAGGGGTGGAGTTTGGCCAGGCCTGGTGGGCTTTCTAGGCTCCAAGAACAGCAGGGTGCAGACTCAAACCAGCTCCAAGATAGTAGGGTGGAACATCAATGACAGCTCTGGGGACAGCGGAGTGGAGGCGCAAGGACAACTGCAGACAGTGGGTTGGAGGCTCACATGATCCAGCACTTCCCTTCTGGGTGTCTACACAAAGAAATTCAAAGCAGAGTCAAAGAAGTATTTGTACATCTATGGTCATAGCAGAATTATTCACTAATAGCTTAAATGTGGAGACAACTCTAATGTCCATGACAGATGAATGGATATGTGGTCTATACACATAATGGAATATTCTTCATTTCTCAAAAGGAAGGTAATTCTGACAAATAATATTAAAATAACCCTGAAGATATTAGAGTAAGTGAAATAAGTCAGAAAAGACAAATACCATAGATTCTGCTGTTATAAGGTCCCAAGAATAGTCAAATGCATACAGACAGAAAGTAGAATGGTGCTTGCCTGGGGCTGGGTGGAAGGGAGAACAGAGAGCTATTGTTTAATGACAGAGGGTTTCAGTTTTACAAGTTGAAAAGAATTCTGGAGATGGATGGTGGTAATGGTTGCACAACCATATGAATGTTAATATTACTGAACTGTTCACTTAAGCAAGGTTAAACTACTATAGTTTATGTTATGTGTATTTTAACACAATTTTAAAAATTGGAAAATAAAACACCTAGAGCCATGATCTCTAAGGCCGTATGTGTTCTGCCCCTATTACTCCTCACTCACTCCATTCCAGCTCCACTGGCCTTTTTCTGGCTCCTCAGACATGCCAAGCACTCCCTGCCTCGGGGCCTTTGCAGTGTCTGTTGCCCTCACGTGGAATGCTCTTCCCACAGATCTCTCTATGACTCTCTCTCTCTCACTTGCTCTGCTCTAATGTCTCTTTTTCAGTGAGGCCTTTCCTGATCACCCTACAGAAAAGCACCCAGCAATATTCTCTATTCCTTTTCCTTGCCTTGTCTTGGTAGCACTTGCTCCTTGCTGACATATAGAAAAAATATGTGTTTATGCAATGGTGAATATGATGACCACAGATTTTTCCCCAGCCCTGTTCTAGGCAGAGACTGGGAAATGGGTCATTCCTGTCCCCTATTCCAATTCTCTCCTTCTATAATGGCTTATTTTTCCTTTTTAATGTTCTAACCTAATGTTGAGCAATTTCAGTTGATTTTTTCATAAGCTGGAAGGTCCATGAAATCTGTTTCTATGGCCATTATTTTCTCAAACACTGCAGTGTCTTTTTTCAGTGTTTTCCATATATAATGATATTCCTAGGAATATCTCCTTGGCCTTCCTATCTAAATTCACCCAATGTGGTGTTCTTCATATTTCAAGTGAATTCAATACTGCCTTCATAATTGTTGGCCCCTTTAAACTTTTATTGTCCCTGATAGGTAGGTGCTCATCTTATTGGTTAAATGATTTCGGCAATTTCCCTTTTTAATTATTTTTATTTTTATTTTGAGACAGGGTCTCAGTCTGTTGCCCAGGCTGGAGTGCAGTGACATGATCTCAGCTCACTGCAGCCTCGACATCCCAGGCTCAAGCAATCTTCCCACCTCAGCCTCCCAAGTAGTTGGGATTACAGACATGTGCCACAGCACTCCACTAATTTTTTTCTATTTTTTTCTATTTTTGTAGAGACAGGATCTTGTTATGTTTCCCAGACTGGTCTGTAACTCATACACTCAAGTAATCAGCCCATCTGGGTCTCCCAATGTGCTGGGATTACAGGCCCAGCCTAAAATGTCTTTTTGATAGAGTGATTTTGAAGATTAAGCAGGCTAGTGGGTCAAGCACGTAGTACAACATTTGAAGCCCAAAGGCAGGGAGTGTGAGCCCCAGGTGGTGGTGGCGGGGATGAAAGGAGAAGCAGGAGGCAATGGGGAACGAGACACTTGAGACTGGAACTCAGGGCTCTTCAGAGAGAGAAGCTTTCAGGTCCTGGAGAAGGGGTGAGACCCATGCGAGTCCCCTGGATGCTCAAAAGGAAGGGCCAGGTTTCCCTGACACAGTGGGCTCCGTGGTCTCCTCCCCTCCTTTTCACCTCAGGAGGGAGGGAAAGAGGGGAAGAGAAGGTCCTGCAGAGGAGGCAGGATGGCCGGTTGAGGGGGGCCTTGGGCGCTTTTTCCCAAGGGCTGCCTCCTGTGGCAGCCCCAGGGGCTTCCTTGAACAAGAACTCCCTGCTCTCCCGCTGAGAGCCAGGGTGGGTCCTCTGTCCCTCACCATGAAGTTCAATGAGTATTGGAGAGTCCGCATGAGGCGAAGGGGCTTCAGCCCAACCGCTGGTCCCTGCTGCACTCACTCTTCAAGAAGGACCACCAGCTGCCTGATGGTGAGCATGGAGCAGGTCTGAGTGGACCAGACTAGGGCCAAGAAACACACCAAAATTGAAACACAAAGAAATACAAAACATGAACAGACCAATAACAAATAATGAGATCAAAGCTGTAATAAAAAGTCTCCCAGTAAAGAAAAGCCCCAATATTCTATGGCTTCACTACTGAATTCTAACAAGCATTTAAAGAACTAACACCAATCCTACTGAAACTATTCCACAAAATAGAGATGGGGAATACTTCCAAACTCATTCTATAACACCAGAATTACCTTTATACCAAAATCAAAGACACTTTAAAAAAAGAAAACTACAATATCTCCAATTAATATTGATGCAAAAATCCTCAACAAAATGCTAACAAACCTTTAAGCAATACATTAAAAATATCATTCTTCATGATCATGTGTGATTTATCACAAGGATGCAAGAATGGTTGCAAATCAATCCAAATGATACATCACATCAACAAAATGAAGGAAAAGATTATATAATCATTTAAATTAAGACATTAAAAAAAATTTGATAAAATTCAACATCCCATCATGATTAAAAACCCTCAAAAACCTGGGTAGAGAAAGAACATTATTAACATAATGAAAGCCATATATGACATACCCACAGCTAGTATCATACTGACAGGGGAAACACTGAAATCCCCTTCTCTAAGATCTGGAACATGACCAGGATGCCCACTTTCACCACTGTTATTCTCCGTAGTACTGGAAGTCCTAGCAAAAGCAATCAGACAAGAGAGAGAAACAAAGGGCATCTAAAGGGAAGAAGACAAATTATCCTTGTTTTGCAGATGATATAATCTTATATTTGTAAAAAACCTGAAGACTCCACAAAAACTACTAGAACTGATAAATTCAGTAGAGTTTCTGGATACAAATCAATATATAAAAATCAGTAGCATTTTTTTTTTTTTTTGAGACAGAGTCTCGCTCTGTCACCCAGGCTGGAGTGCAGTGGTGCAATCTTGGCTCACTGCAAGCTCCGCCTCCTGGGTTCACACCATTCTCCTGCCTCAGCCTCCCGAGGAGCTGGGGCTACAGGCACCCACCATCACGCCTGGCTAACTTTTTTTGTATTTTTAGTAGAGACGGGGTTTCATCGTGTTAGCCAGTATGGTCTCGATCTCCTGACCTCAGCTTCCCAAAGTGCTGGGATTACAGGCGTGAGCCACTGCGCCCAGCAGGAATCAGTAGCATTTCTATATGCCAAGAGTGAACAATCTGAAAAAGAATTTAAAAAGAAATACCATTTATCATAGCCACAAATAGAACTAAATACATAGAAATCAACCAAAGAAGTAAAGGATTTCTACAACAAAAACTATAACACAATCATAAAATAAATTGAAGACACAAAAATTGAAAGATATTCCATGTTCATGGATTGATAGTGTTAGTATGTTAAAATCTCTATATTACCCAAAGCAATTCACAGATTAAATGCAGGAATCACATTAACTGACTTCAAATTATATTACAAAGCTATAGTAACTGTAGCAGCCTGGTACTGGCATAAAAATAGACACATAAACCAATGGAATTGAACAGATAACCCAGAAAAAAAATTTATACATTTTCACTGAACTCATTTTCAACAAAGGTGCCAAGAACTTAAATTAGGGAAAAGACAATCTCTTCAATAAATCGTGCTTTGAAAACTGGATATCTACATGCAAAAGAATGAAATTATAACCCCAACTCTTGCCTTATACAAAAGTCAAATCAAAATGGATTAAATACTTAAATCTAAGACCTTGAATTAAAAAACTACTGCAAGAAAACATTGGGGAAAGTCTCTCCAGGTCTTGGCAAAAATGTCTTGAGTAATACCCCACAAGCACACGCAACCAAAGCAAATATGGACAAATGAAGTTACATCAAGTTAAAAATCTTCTGCATGTCAAAGGAAATGATCAATAAAGTGAGGAGACAACCCACAGAATAGGAGAACATATTTGCAAACTATTCACCTGACAAAGGATTAATAACTAGAACAGATAAGCAGCTCAAACTACTGTATAGGAAAAAAATCTAGTAATCTGATCTTTAAAATGGGCAAAATATTTCAATAAACATTTCTTAAAAGAAGACATATGAATTGCAAGCAGTTATATTATCAGAAACACGCAAATCAAAACTACAATGAGATATCATCTTATCCCAGTTAAAATGAATTTTGTCCAAAAGTCAGGCAACAGCAAATGCTAGTGAGAATGTGGAGAAATGGGAAGCCTGGTACACTGTTGGTGGAAATGTAAATTAGTACAACCACTATGGAAAACAGCTTGGAGTTTCCTCATAAAACTAAACTAGAGCCTCCATATAATCCAGCAATTTCACTGCTAAGTATATACTCACAAGAAAGGAACTCAGTATGTTGAAGAGATGTCTACATTCCCATGTTTGTTGCAGCATTGTTGAAAATAGCCAAGATTTGGAAGCAACGTAAGTGTCAATCAACAGATGAATGGATAAAGAAAATGTAGTATGTATACACAGTGGAGCCAGAAAAAAAGAATGAGATTCTGTCATTTTTAACAACATGGATGAGGGTTATTATGTTAAATGAAATAAGCCAGGCACAGAAAGACAAACTTTGCATGTTCTCACTTATTTATGGGTGCTAAGGATCCCATTGAGTTGAACTCAACGGAGATAGAGAGTAGAAGGATGGTTACCAGAGGCTGAGAAGCATAGTAGGGGGGCAGTTTGGTAGGGCCATGGAGGGAAGTGAGGATGGCTAATGGGTACAAGAAATAGTTAAAAAGAATGAATAAGAGGTAGAGGTACTATTTGATGGCACAACAGGGTATTTGTGCTGATAGCACAACAGTAGTATTTGTACTGATAACACAGTTTGTACTGGTAGCACAACAGTAGTACTTGATACCACAACACTGCAATTGTCAATAATTGACAATTATTATAATCAATAATAATTTAGTTGTACCTTTTAAAATAACTGAAATCATATAATTCAATTTTTGTAATACAGAGTAAATGCTTGAGGAGATGGATACCCCATTTACCATGCTGTGATTGTTACACGTTGCATGCCTGTATCAAAGTATCTCATGTACCCCATTTATACACACAACTACTGTATACCCACAAAAAATAAAAATAAATGTGATATAATAATCAGGTATGGTTTTGCTGGGGTATATATTACATCGCTGTATTTTGCCTAGTCTATAGGATTAGGGGGAATAGCTGTGGTAAATTCCCACAGAGGCAGTTGCAAAACTCCCTACACTTCTCTCTCCCATTTGCACTTTAGTTTGTTAAAATCTGCTAAAGCTGTTTCTAATTCACCACTTTGTAGCATTCTTTGGCTTTGTTTTGGAGGACTAGTAAATCAGTTAGCTGATACTGGTTTGAAAACCCTGAATCATAGGTCTTAAGCATTATTTGGAATTCCTTGGCAAACCTAAGGTGTCTTGAGTCAGATCAAGAAATCCAAACATCAGAGCACTTAATTCTGACTTGGTGTAAGGTGTATATCTTATGTTTGAACCCACTCTTCCTGTGGGTTTTGTTTTAAAAGAAATGACTACTATTTTGTCTTCTCCTGTAGCTATTTCTGGACCCTTTGTGGTTTAAGAAGGAATACGGGAGGAGAAAGAGAAAAAAAATGAAATCATCCAGGCAAGGAAGTTTAGAAAGCAGAGGTTTAGGAGAAGAAAAAGAAGAGAGTTTCTGGCAGCTTCCTGATTTTAGAAGCTGATTTTGCTACTTTTCTTTAATTCTGAGGTAGTTTCAAGTATTTTGTTGTTACCTTTCTGGAAAGAAATAAGTTTATCGTTTCTACTTTTGGATGTTTTTAGGTGCCAGCTAAAATACAACCCTCATTTATTTTCCTTGATGCAGAAACCTAACTTCTCTAATTTAGCATACGAGAAGACCAGTTTGGGAATATTTAAAGTTCTTCACTTTGGGAACCTTAGATGTTGGTCGTCCTTAGTAAAATCCTCCCTTTACACAAATGTTTGCAAGAAGAGGTGCTATAATTATCAGCTATAAAACCAGCTGGGGTGCCCAAAGGGGGACACTCTCCTTGCCTGTCCTCGATTTTAGAGATTTTTTTTCTCATTTTTCTTTAAAAGGAGTAGTTGAACTGTGGCTTGTCATTTGATTAGAAGATCAGAGTGTGCCGATTGTGGATGAGACTCCATGGTGTCTATCACTGAGTCGTTTCTGTCCTCTTGTATCTCCCAGTTTCTCTGTCTTGGTGTTTATCACCTCCAGGGAGATGCAAATCAAAACAATACCAGACATTACCTTATCTTAACTAGAATGGCCATAATCGAAATGACAGAAGAGAACAAGTGTTGGCAAGGATGTGGAATAAAGGGAACTCTTATAAACTGTTGGTTTGAATACAAATTAATACAGCCACTATGAAAAACAAGTATGGAAGTTTCTCAACCTGAAATGGAACTACTGTATGTTCCAGCAATTCCACAACTGGGCATATAGCCAACAGAAATAAAATCAGTATGTTAAAGAGATAGCTACACTCCCATGTTTATTACAGCACTATTGACAATGGCCAAGATATGGAATCAATCACAGTGCCCATCAAAGAATAAATGGATAAGACAACATGGTATGTAAACACAATGAAATGCTATTTGGCCACAAATATATGGCATAATAAAATAAATGGCAGAATAAAATTCTGCCATTTAAGACAACATAGATGAACCTGAAGGACATTGTGTTAAGTGAAATAAGCCAGACACAGAGAGACAAATAACACAGGAATTTATTAAATGTGGAGTCTAAACAAGCTTATCTCTTAGAAGTAGAGAGTAGAATGGTGGTTACCAGAGCCTGCGGTGGTTAGTGGGGAGGACAGGATGGAAAGATGTTGGTCAAAGGAAACATAATTATTATTAGATAGAAGAAATATATTTTACAAGATCTGTTACGCAGCACGGCAGCCATACTTAATTATGATATATTGCAGTCCTGAAAAATGAAAAGGTAGTTGATGTTAAGTGTTTTCACCACAAAAAATAACTTTTAGATCATGCATTTGTTAATTAGCTAGATTTAATCATTTTATAATCTATATGTAATTCAAAACATACATAATAAACTTACACAATGTTATTTTCAATTAAAAACAAATTTTAAAATTATGCTTAAAAAATTTTTTATTCAAGCTAGAATTTGAATATAGCTAAATATCTTCAATAAACAAGAAAAATTAAAATAATTTCAAAAATTAAAACTAAGAGATTTGCTTGCCAATAGGAGCCGCGTAAGAGTGTACTCAAGAAGAAAATAACATTTTCCTGTATACAGGTTAAAATTAAAATGAAGGGGTGAGAGACAGACCTTGAGAATACAAAATCATAGTGGACATTGAACTGAGGAAAGCACATAGTTCTTGGCACCAAAAAATTAAAAGATATTGAGATATTATAAAAGTACAATTCACATGTTTTATTTAAATCAGAAAGAAAATTATGTGTTTTGTATAATTTAATTGATTACAAGGAAATAATTTTTAGAAAATTTTATCACCAACTTGTTAAAAATAGATGGCACTTCCATTGAAACTTTTGCAGAATATTGATGATTCTTTTATCAGATCTGATTAGCACCAGAGGACTGACAGTGGCATAGGCATTGACCACAAACTTGTGGACACCATAGGTGACAGGGCCAATTACCCATAACAGCATTGTGGATGATGAGAGGATGAAGTCCACTGAGTACATCAGCACAAAGGAATTCACCAGCATCAGGATGGTCTTGGTGGCCATTTTCACTAGAGAGGTCCTTAATATAAGGCTGCTGCTGTGAAAGTGCTGGGAGTGCCTCTGATGCCTGGACAAAAGAATGACCATGTATACACTTGAGAGCAGCGTGATTCCTATGAAGAAGGCATCTCTGGATAATGATAGCATAAGAAATAGCGCCCTGATGAGGACATTCATTGGGAAAAATGTGCAATATTTGCTGATATTCAAAATTATCTGGGTCATTGGAATAACCTACAGTGTAGATTATCATGTCGCTACTGAAAGACAAATTGCTAAACCAAAAAACGAATAAGCCCAGGATATCGTATTTTGTAAATTTATGTTTAAATCTCACCAACCAGGAGGTGCTGGGGCTGATGGTAATGGCCTGGAACATGCTCAGGAGGCAGGTGGTGCAGATGGAGAGGCCCCTCATCACCTTCTGCAAATAGAAGAAAGCTTTAGGCCAGGTGCGGTGGCTCACGCCTGTAATCCCAGCACTTTGGGAGGCCGAGGCGGGTGGATCACGAGGTCAGGAGATCGAGACCATCCTGGCTAACACGGTGAAACCCCGTCTCTACTAAAAAATACAAAAAAAATTAGCCGGGCGTGGTGGCAGGCGCCTGTAGTCCCAGCCACTTGGGAGGCTGAGGCAGGAGAATGGCATGAACCCGGGAGGTGGAGCTTACAGTGAGCTGAGATCGCGCCACTGCACTCCAGCCTGGGCAACAGAGCGAGACTCCGTCTCCAAAAAAAAAAAAAAGAAAGCTTTACATCTAAAGTTATTCTGAAAATTCAGTGACTCAAACATGTCTGGAGACAAAAACTCCATTGCAGTGAAGAGCATTACTAGGTGGAAAAAGGCCAAATGACAGGTGACCAGGTCATGGGTCTTAGGCCTATGATCCTGAAAGAATGTAAAAATGTGGAAGAGAAGATGGAAGATGTTGGCTGAGATTCTAATGCTAGCTTGACAATTAAAGGCATTTTTAAAAGATAACGTAAGTGAAAACTGTGTTCATCCTAATGGCATAGAAGAAACATATTTTGTAGATCTGAAAAAAAATGACTCATATCATCAATGTTCTTTCTTCAGTGTTTGAAATTATTACCATCATTATTATTTTTATTTTACTCACTTATTCTTGATTAACCTTGATGCTAAATTCTTGATAATGTACCCCCTGCACTCTTTTCTAAGCCAAATAATTATATATATATAATTATTACTCTCTATATATAATGAATACATTTACAATCATGCCTGTATAGGGTGCACACTATCTATATTCCTAATGCCCTTTGCCCTCCATCTTTAGAAATCAATTTTTGTTATTTTGTGTTCTCTCATTTTATTTTTAGCACCCAATTCAGTGACAGGCATATAAAATGAATCACATTTGCACAGTCGAATTGAATAAAATGTATGCTAAAGTGGAAAGACTCACTAAAGCAAACAATTAAAAATATATCCAATTGAGTCTTTCTCATGATCTATCACTTTGATACGGTTTATTCTTCACTCTTCCATGGTTTTTGATGCTTATGATTCTACTGGGCCCACCATGATAATTCATAATAGTCTTCTTATTTTTCATCAGCATATCAGCAATTTTGATCCCATTTGCAACCTTATATTCTCTTTGCCATGAATTGTAATGTATTTCCAGTATCTAAGAACTTGGATGTAAATATCTTTTTTAGGGAGTGGGGAACATTATTCTGTTTATCCAAACCCTGATTAACTGTATGTCTTAGAAATGGTCCTGGTGCTTTCCCAGTTTACTTCACATCCCAGAGACTTATCATGTGAACTCTCTTCATCTCAGAACAAAATTTTTAATATTTGCTTCTCAGTTATCAACAAGATAAACACTACTTTTAATCATTTTATTTCAACCAAGAGGTTGCATTAAAATAGTCACACATAGTTCTTTTTCCTGAGACTTTACTTGATACAGGAATATCAGTCTCCAATGAGAAAGATAATGCCTCTCAAGTTTTCTTGGGATATCCTCAATACCATAATACCTTGTAAAATTTTGCAGAACAATTTTGCAGTTGCCATTTCATGTTATTTGGCCAGGATTCAGGTATCATTGTATCATTTTGCTTTAACCCATGGGTAAAAACAATTTAGCTTCATGCATGAAATATAAAAAACAGTAAATTAGCACAGATTTGGGGGGGGATGAAGGTGTGTCTGGTTATATATTCAAAGTCATTTATCATTACACTGTCCCCTAAATAAAAATATGAAAGGCAATGCAAACATCTTGACACTTAGTATTCTTGTCTAATAAACACAAGTGACTGAGGTAAAAAATATTGCTCTAAAACCACCAGATATGTTTGATTTTATAAAGGAAATATCATCTAGGTGATTAAATAGTTATTACTCTCTCTACAAAACTTTAGTAAGTGAATCCATTTATCATAAATGTCAGAATCAAACAATGAAAAGTTCCTACCAACCTGCGTCTGCACCATCAGCATGGTTGAGTTCTGCTGTCAAGTTGAAATCAGAAGAAAAAAAAAACAAGGGGAGGCACAAAGATGGCCAAATAGGAACAGCTCTGGTCTACAGCTCCAGCACTATCAACACAGAAGACAGATGATTTCTGCATTTCCAACTGAAGTACCTGGAACTGGTTGGACAGTGGGTGTAGCCCACGGAGAGGGTGAGCTGAAGCAGGGTGGGGCATCACCTCATCCAGGAAGTACAAGGGGTTGGGGGATTTCCCTTTCCTAGCCAAGGGAAGCCATGAGAGATGGTACCTGGAAAATCGGGACACTTCCACCCTAATAGTGTGCTTTTCCAACAGTCTTAGCAAATGGCACACCAGGAGATTATATCCCGCACATGGCTCGGAGGATCACATGCCCATGGAGGCTTGCTCACTGCTAGCACAGCGGTCTGAGATCGAACTGGGAGGGAGCAGACAGGCTGGGGGAGGGGCATCCGCCATTGCTGAGGCTTGACTAGGTAAACAAAGCCACCAGGAAGCTTGAACTGGGTGGAGCCCACCACAACTCAACCAGGACTGCCTGCCTCTGTAGACTCCACCTCTAGGGGCAGGGCATAGCTGAACAAAAGGCAGCAGAAACTTTCTACAGCAGAAGTTTCTACAGCCTTAAACTTCCCTGTCTGACAGCTCTGAAGAGAGCAGTGGTTCCCACAGAATGGAGTTTAAGCTCTGAGAATGGACAGACTGCCTCCTCAAGTGTGTCCCTGACCCCCAAGTAGCCTAACTGAGAGACACCTCCCAGTAGGGGTCAACTGACACCTCATACAGCCAGGTGCCCCTCTGAGACAAAGCTTCCAGAGGAAAGATCAGGCAGCAACATTTGCTGTTCTGCAATATTTGCTGTTCTGAAGCCTCTGCCAGTGATACCCAGGCAAACAGGGTCTGCAGTAGACCTCCAGCAAACTCCAACAGACCTGCAGCTAAGGAATCTGTTAGAAGGAAAACTAACAAACAAAAGCAATAGCATCAACATCAACAAAAAGGACATCCACACCAAAACCCCATCTGTAGGTCACCATCATCAAAGACCAAAGGTAGATAAAATGACAAAGATGGAGAGAAACCAGAGCAGAGAAGCTGAAAAGTCTAAAAACCACTGCACCTCTTCTCCTCCAAAGTGTCACAGCTCCTCCACAGCAATGGAACAAAGCTGGATAGAGAATGACTTTGATGAGTTGACAGAAGTAGGCTTCAGAAGGTTTGTAATAACAAACTTCTCCAGGCTAAAGGAGGATGTTCGAACCCATCGCAAGGAAGCTAAAAACCTTGAAAAAAGATTAGATGAATGGCTAACTGGAATAAACGGCATAGAGAAGACCTTAAATGACCAGATGGAGGTGAAAACAATGGCACAAGAACTACGTGATGCATGCACAAGCTTCAGTAGCCGATTTGATCAAGTGGAAGAAAGGGGATCAGTGATTGAAGGTCAAATGAATGAAATGAAGTGAGAAGAGAAGTTTAGAGAAAAAAGAGTAAAAAGAAATGGACAAAGCCTCCAAGAAATATGGGGCTATGTGAAAAGACCAAATCTACTTGTGATTGGTGTACCTGAAATTGACGGGGAGAATGGAACTAAGTTGGAAAACACTCTTCAGGATATTATCCAGGAAAACTTCCACAACTTAGCAAGGCAGGCCAACATTCAAATTCAGGAAATACAGAGAACACCACAAAGATACTCTATGAGAAGAGCAACCCTGAGACACAGAATTGTCAGATTCACCAAGGTTGAAATGAAGGAAAAAAGGTTAAGGGCAGCCAGAGGGAAAGGTCGGGTTACCCACAAAGGGAAGCCCATCAGACTAACAGCGGATCTCTCAGCAGAAACTCTACAAGCCAGAAGAGAGTGGGGGCCAATATTCAACATTCTTAATGAAAAGAAGTTTCAACACAGAACTTCATATCCAGCCAAACTAAGCTTCATAAGTGAAGGAGAAAGAAAATCCTTTATAGACAAGCAAATGCTGAGAGATTTTGTCACCACCAGGCCTGCCCTACAAGAGCTCCTGAAGGAAGCAGTAAACACAGAAAGAACAACCAGTACCAGCCACTGCAAAAACATGCCAAATTGTAAAGGCCATCGATGCTAGGAAGAAACTGCATCAACTAATGGGCAAAATAACCAGCTAACATCATAATGACAGGATCAAATTCACATGTAACAATATTAACCTTAAATGTAAATGGGCTAAATGTTCCAATTAAAAGACACAGACTGGCAAATTGGATAAAGAGTCAAGACCCATCAGTGTGCTGTATTCAGGAGACCCATCTGACATGCAGAGACACATATAGGTTCAAAATAAAGGGATGGAGGAAGATCTACCAAGCAAATGGAAAACAAAAAAAAGCAGAGGTTGCAATCCTAGTCTCAGGAAAAACAGACTTTAAGCCAACAAAGATCAAAAGAGACATAGAAGGCCATTACATAATGGTAAAGGGATCAATTCAACAAGAAGAGCTAACTATCCTAAATATATATGCACCCAATACAGGAGCACACAGATTCACAAAGCCAATCCTTAGAGATGTACAAAGAGACTTAGACTCCCACACAATAATAATGGGTGACTTTAACACCCCATTGTCAACATTAGACAGATCAACAAGACAGAAAGTTAACAAGGATATCCAGGATTTGAACTCAGCTCTGCACCAAGTGGACCTAACAGACATCTACAGAACTCTGTACCCCAAATCAACAGAATATACATTCTTCTCAGCACCCCATCTCACTTATACTTAAATTGACCACATAGTTGGAAGTAAAGCACTACTCACCAAATGTAAAAGAACAGAAATCACAACAAACTGTCTCTCAGACAACAGTGCAATCAAATTAGAACTCAGGATTAAGAAACTCACTCAAAACTGCACAACTACATGGAAACTGAACAACCTGCTCCTGAATGACTACTGGGTACATAATGAAATGAAGGCAGAAATAAAGATGTTCTTTGAAACCAAAGAGAGCAAAGACACAACATACCAGAATCTCTGGGACACCTATAAAGCAGTGTGTAGAGGGAAATTTATAGCACTAAATGCCCACAAGAGAGATCAGGAAAGATCTAAAATCGATACCCTAACATCACAATTAAAAGAACTAGAGAAGCAAGAGCAAACACATTCAAAAGCTAGCAGAAGGCAAGAAATAACTAAGATCAGAGCAGAACTGAAGGAAATAGAGACACAAAAAGCCTTCAAAAAATCAATGAATCCAGGAGCTGGTTTTTTGCAAAGACCAACAAAATAGATAGACCGCTAGCAACACTAATAAAGAAGGAAAGAGAGAAGAATCAAATAAACACAATAAAAAATGATAAAGGGGATATCACCACTGATCCCACAGAAATACAAACTACCATCAGAGAATACTATAAACACCTCTATGCAATAAACTAGAAAATCTAGAAGAAATGGATAAATTCCTCGACACATACACCCTCACAAGACTAAACAAGGAAGAATTTGAATCCTTGAATAGACCAATAACAGGCTCTGAAATTGAGGCAATAATTAATAGCCTACCAACCAAAAAATGTCCAGGACCAGATGGATTCACAGCCGAATTTTACCAGAGGTACAAAGAGGAGCTGGTACCATTCCTTCTGAAACTATTCCAATCAATAGAAAAAGAAGGAATCCTCCCTAACTCATTTTATGAGGCCAGCATCATCCTGATACCAAAGCCTGACAGAGACACAACAAAAAAAGAGAATTTTAGACCAATATCCCTGATGAACATTGATGCAAAAATCCTCAATAAAATACTGGCAAACCAAATCCAGCATCACATCAAAAAGCTTATCCACCAAGATCAAGTTGGCTTCATCCCTGGGATGCAAGGCTGGTTCAGCATACGCAAATCAACACACATAATCCAGCATATATACAGAACCAATGAAAAAACCACATGATTATCTCAATAGATTCAGGAAAGACCTTTGACAAAATTCAACAACGCATCATGCCAAAAACTCTCAATAAATTAGGTATTGATGGGACGTATCTCAAAATAATAAGAGCTATCTATGACAAACCCACAGCCAATATCATACTGAATGGACAAAAACTGGAAGCATTCCCTTTGAAAACTGGCACAAGACAGGGATGCCCTCTCTCACCACTCTTATTCAACATAGTGTTGCAAGTTCTGGCCAGGGCAATCAGGCAGGAGAAAGAAATAAAGGGCATTCAATTAGGAAAAGAGGAAGTCAAATTGTCCCTGTTTGCAGATGACATGACTGTATATCTAGAAAACCCCATTGTCTCAGCCCAAAATCTCCTTAAACTGATAAGCAACTTCAGCAGTCTCAGGATACAAAATCAATGTGCAAAAATCACAAGCATTCTTATACACCAATAACAGACAAACAGCGAGCCAAATCATGAGTGAACTCCCATTCACAATTGCTTCAAAGAGAATAAAATACCTAGGAATCCAACTTACAAGGGACGTGAAGGACCTCTTCAAGGAGAACTACGAACTACTGCTCAATGAAATAAAAGAGGATACAAACAAATGGAAGAACATTCCATGCTCATGGGTAGGAAGAATCAATATCATGAAAATGGCAATACTGCCCAAGGTAATTTATAGATTCAATGCCATCCCCATCAAGCTACCAATGACTTTCTTCACAGAATTGGAAAAAATTACTTTAAAGTTCATATGGAACCAAAAAAGAGCCTGCATTGCCAAGTCAATCTTAAGCCAAAAGAACAAAGGTGGAAGCATCACGCTACCTGACTTCAAACTATACTACAAGGCTACAGTAACAAAAACAGCATGGTACTGGTACCAAAACAGAGATATAATCCAATGGAACAGAACAGAGCCCTCAGAATTAATGCCGCATATCTGCAACCATCTGACCTTTGACAAACCTGACAAAAACAAGCAATGGGGAAAGGATTCCCTATTTAATAAATGGTGCAGGGAAAACTGGCTAGCCATACGTAGAAAGCTGAAACTGGATCCCTTCCTTACACCTTACACAAAAATTAATTCAAGATGGATTAAAGACTTACATGTTAGACCTAAAACCATAAAAACCCTAGAAGAAAACCTAGGCAATACCATTCAGGACATAGGCGTGGGAAAGGACTTCACGTCTAAAACACCAAAAGCAATGGCAACAAAAGCCAAAATTGACAAATGGGATCTAATTAAACTAAAGAACTTCTGCACAGCAAAAGAAACCACCATCAGAGTGAACAAGCAACCTACAGAATGGGAGAAAATTTTTGCAACCTACTCGTCTGACAAAAGGCTAATATCCAGAATCTACAATGAACTCCAACAAATTTACAAGAAAAAACAGACAACCCCATCAACAAGTGGGCAAAGGATATGAACAGACACTTCTCAAAAGAAGACATTTATGCAGCCAAAAAACACATGAAAAAATGCTCATCATCACTGGCCATCAGAGAAATGCAAATCAAAACCACAATGAGATACCATCTCACACCAGTTAGAATGGCGATCATTAAAAAGTCAGGAAACAACAGGTGCTAGAGAGGATGTGGAGAAATAGGAACACTTTTACACTGTTGGTGGGACTGTAAACTAGTTCAACCATTGTGGAAGTCAGTGTGGCCATTCCTCAGGGATCTAGAACTAGAAATACCATTTGACCCAGCCATCCCATTACTGGGTATATACCCAAAGGATCATAAATCATGCTGCTATAAAGACACATGCACACGTATATTAATTGTGGCACTATTCACAATAGCAAAGACTTGGAACCAACCCAAATGTCCAACAATGATAGACTGGATGAAGAAAATGTGGCACATATACACCATGGAATACTATGCAGCCATAAAAAATGATGAGTTCATGTCCTTTATAGGGACATGGATGAAGCTGGAAACCATCATTCTCAGCAAACTATAGTAAGGACAAAAAACCAAACACCACATGTTCTCACTCATAGGTGGGAATTGAACAATGAGAACACATGGACACAGGAAGGGGAACATGACACACCGGGGACTGTTGTGGGGTCGGGGGAGGGGGGAGGGATAGCATTAGGAGATATACCTAATGCTAAATGACAAGTTAATGGGTGCAGCACACCAACATGCCACATGTATACATATGTAACAAACCTGCACGTTGTGCACATGTACCCTAAAACTTAAAGTATAATAATAATAATAATAGTAATACATTTTAAAAAGAGAGAATTTCTTTGTTAGTTTTCATCACAATGATTGATCTGTCTAAAGCTGTCAGTGGGATGTTCAAATCCCCCACTATTTTTTTTAAAATATACTTTAAATTTTAGGGTACTTGTGCACAACGTGCAGGTTAGTTACAGGTTAGTTACACGTGCCATGTTGGTGTGCTGCACCCAGTAACTCGCCCCCACTATTATTGTGTGGCTGTCTAAGTCTTTTTGCAGGTTTAGAAGTATTTGTTTTATGAATCAGAGTGCCCTAATGTTGGATGCCTATATTTTCAGGATTTTTAAGTCTTCTTGTTGAACTAAATGCTTCATCACTATGTAATGCTTTTTATTTATTTATTTTTTTTACTGTTGTTGGTTTAAAGTCTGTTCTATATGACATAGCAATAGCAACCTCTGGTCTTTTTGTTTTTCATTTGTATGAGAGATCTTTCTCCAACCCTTTCCTTTAATCCCATGGATGGCATTACATATTAGATAGGTCTCTTGAAGACAGTATATGGTTGAGTCTTCCAACTTACCACTCTGTCCCTCTTAAGTGGGGTGTTTGAACCATTTACATTCAAGGTTAATATCGATATGTGAGATTTGTATCTTGTCATTGTTTTGTTAGCTGGTTGTTTTGTAGATTCAACTGTGTAGCTGCTTTACAGGGTCTTTGGGCTATGTATTTAAGTGTGTTTTATATTAGCAGCTTTTATTTTTCATTTCCCTAAAGAACCTCTTGTAAGGCTAGTGTAATGGTAACAAATTCTCTTAGCATTTGCTTGCCGGGAAAGGATTTTATTTCTTCTTTGCTTATGAAGCTTAGTTTGGCAGGATATGAAATTATTGGTTGGAATTTATTTTCTTTAAGGATGCTGAAAATAGGCTCCTAAGATTTTAAGGATTGTAAGGTTTCTGCTGATAGGTCTACTGTTAGCCTAATAGAGTTCCCTTCGTAAGTGACCTGACCCTTTCCTCTAACTCCTGTTAAGGCTTTTATTTTCATGTTGACCTTGGAGAATCTGATAACTGTGTCTTGGTGATTGTTGTCCTGTATAGTACTTCACAAAGGTACTCTAAATTTCTTGAATTGGCATGTTGGCCACTCTAATGTGATTGAGGATATTTTTGTGTGGATTATATTCCCAACAATTTTCCAATTTTTTTTTTTTTTTAGATGGAGTCTCTCTCTGTCCCCCAGGCTGGAGTTCAATGGCACAACCTTGGCTCACTGCAACCTCCACCTCCCAGGTTCAAGCACTTATGCTGCCTCAGCCTCCCAAGTAGTTGGGACTACAGGCATGCACCACCACACCTGGCTAATTACGTATTTTTAGTGAGACTGGGTTTCTACATGTTGGTCAGGCTGGTCTCGAACTCCCAACCTCAGGTGATCAGCCTGCCTCAGCCTCCCAAAGTGCTGGGATTAGAGGCATGAGCCACCACGCCCAGCCTGTTTTAACTCTTTGATTATCTGAATCTTCCAATTCCCCCCAACCACCAGTGAATTATTTCTGCTAATTTTTTTTTTTTTTGAAAAGAGAATGATGGAAACCCCACCCTGTTCCAGTGGGAGAGTACAGGGATTCCCTGGAAAGACTCTGGCTTGGAGCCCTCAAACCAGAGTTTAGGTCCAGGGGTCCACTTGGTGACTCAGGAGAAACCCTGGACCCCACCTCAAGGAATCTTGGATCCCCCGGTGGGGGTCTCAGAAGTAGGAGGCTGCTGGGCCACGGCAGGGACAAGGCTTTCTCTGGCACCCCCATGCAAGGTTCCTCAATAGAAAGAAATCATGTTGCCCGTTCCGCAGCAGGCATGCCATCCCAGGCCCCTGAGACCCCCAGGGGACATCCCCGCTCTGCCAACTGTGTGAACACACTCCACCTCCCAGCCTCTGCCATGTCACAGATGACTTGAGGCTTCAGATGAGTGACTCCCCAGAGTCACATGGGCCTATGCTTGGGTCCCAGCCTCTTCTATGACCCTTGAGGTGGCTCTCAGCATAGGAGGCTGATTTCTAGGCCTCTATGTGCTGTTCTGTGAATGGGACAGGTAACAGACCTCTATGGCAGGCATGAAATGCCAAGCGCCCACCACAAGGCCTGGCAACAAACTCTCAGGAAATTCAGGTCATTCTCTGGGAGTGGCCACAGATGCTTCTCAGAACCCCAACCCCTGGCACTGCTCCAGCCCATGCTGGACCCTTCATCATCCAGGTGTCCCAGGCCCACAAGTATCTGACACCTCAGGTGGCACTTGTGGCCCACTGTGTGACCCCAAGCATACCTCCATGTTCTCTGGGCTGAGTCTCTGAGCCGCCACAGCTCTGCAGAGCCCAGGCTGTGGGCTCCAGCCCCTGACTTCCAGCTTGACTTACTAAATGTAATCTCCAGGGCTAATTTTAATCCTGGGCAGGAATTGGACACATTCCCATGGCTAGGATGGGTCCCTGGAGGCTGGAGGTGACACCATCCCACAGGACCCAGTGCCAAGATAATCCCCCAAATGACCCCTGTGCCTGTGGTCTCATGAGAGCAGGGACTGGGGCTGAGCTTGGGCCTGAGTCTCTTGAGCATAGAAGGCTCAACTAAGCCCCTTCTCAATCTGTCTCAATTTTAGTTATAGGGACACTATGGCTAGTGCAGAGGTCACGAGACAGGGGAACCCCGAGAGGCAGGAAGTTGGGGGCCTTTCTGGACTGATGTCCTAGAGCTGAGACAGGAAGTGAATTCCATGCAGAAGAAACAGCAGGTACAAGGATCCCAAGGGGGAGAGAAACAGCAGTGAGGTTGGAGTGGGTGGGGAGGGCCAGAGGCCACAGAGGCTGGGCCACACTGGGTCTTCTGAGCTGCAGGAGGCTCTGGGTTTTAGCCTAAGAGCAAAGACGAGCTATGAGAGGGTTTTGAGGAGAGAAGGGATGGGGCTGATTTATCATTTTAACACGCAGCTCATGGCTACCATGGAAAGCAGGACTATCAGGGCTGGGGTGGAGATGGCAGGAGGCTGGAGATGAGGTCAGGGCTGTGTCCATCTGAGCAGAGCCTGGGGCGGTACCCTCTCTGTGCTGGTCTGTACCTCACACTGTAAGTCACTGGATCCCACGGCTTATTTGGCCCTCCAGAACATCAGGAGGTCCCCCACCAACTCTGGTGCGAGGTGACAGGTGCAGATGAGTTGATGCGGGGCTTAACTCTCCTGACCCCCCATGACACTGGAACTCTCCTGATCCCATCACCAAAGAACCAAGCTGTCCCCCACTCTGCCCCTGAGAGATCAAGCTCTAATCATGGCCTCCCTTGCTCACACATTCTCCATGGTTCCACATTGGCCTTGTGAGAAAATTTCTGCATCCAGCCTGACGTTCAAACACCTTGCCCTAATCAGCTCCTGCCTACTTCTCTCTATCTTTGACAAATATTTCTGTCTAGAAGGTCCTTTTTTCCCTTCCTCACCTAGCCAACTCCTATTCACACTTCAGAACTCAGCTCAGGTCAGATGAGGTGGTTCATGCCTGTAATTCCAGCACTCTGAGAGGCCAAGACAGGAGGATTGCTTGAACCCAGGAGTTTGAGACCAGCCTGAACAACATGATGTAACCCCATCTCTACAAAAAATACAAAAATTAGCTGTGTGTGGTGGCATGTGCCTGTAGTCCCACCCTGAAGTAGGAGGATCAATTGAGCACGGAAGGTCAAGGCTGCAGTGAGCAGTGATTGTGCCACTGCATTTCAGACTGAGCTGCAGAGAAAAAAAAACTCAGCTCAAGAACAAGCATTCCTCCAAGAAGCCCTCCCTGTTGTTCCTCTGGAATCCCACAGTCCCCATCCTTCCCCTGTAGTTCTGACCCCATGGGGCTGGCAGTAGATACATCCAACTTTGTCTCCCCTAGACTAGACAGCCCTCTAGATCAGGCCTAGGAGTGGACAGTAAAATTTAGAGAGTGCAACAGGTGAAGAGAGACGTGACTGACTCCCTCCTCTTTAGCTTCCCTTGACAGCTTCCTCTCAGACTGCCCCAGCTGATATCCTGCCCAGAAACACACATGCTTGCAAATCCAGCCACTAACCATTGACCTGTCTTGGACTCAAGTGTGAAGAGCCAGCCAAGGAATGCAGACCCGGAAGCCTAGGGTGTGTGTGTGTATTTGTAGTCAAGTGAAAATCCCACCCAAGCTCCAGACAGACCCTGGCGGCCCATTCTGCAGATGTTGGTGAGGTTGGTATTTCTGCGGAGGTGTCAGCAAAGGTTGAATGTGCCAGGCATGAGGCAAAGGCCAAGGTTTAGGGGGACTTCTACACACACACCTGCCCCCTTGCCTTGTCCAGCCAGAAAGCAGAGAGCAGTGGCATCTGCCCAGCACAGAGGCAGATGGGTGGATCCACTCATCGGAGGATAGAGCAGGGAAGACAGGACAGGAGAAATCCAAGAGGGCTTCTCAGGGGAGGAGGCGTGTAGTTTGGCTTAGATGCAGAGGCTAGACAGGGGCCTGAGCAGATGAGTAGGGGACTGGGCATTTGAAGCCAAGAGTCTTGCACCTCCCTACCCCTTTCTTTGCACCCTCATACTTGAGCATTTATTAGCAACTTGTGCTAACCACTGAGCTAAGCTGACCTCCAAGTAATTAGAAAGCTTAAGTAAACCAACATCTGTAGATGAGAAAGGTGACTGAGGACCTACTGTTACAAAGGCAAGGTAATTTGAGGCTGCAATGAGCTATGAGCAACTGTGTTCCAGCCTGGGAGACAGAATGTAAAAAAAATAGTAATAACAGAAAGTATGCATCAATCTCAATTTTTTTAAAAAAAGGCAGATGATTTTACAGTTGTTTTATCAAAACTCAAAGAACAGGAAAGCCCAAATTATTTCAACAAAGTCAGACCTTTTAAACAGATGATAGCTGCCCAAGTCATTTTTATGAAACTTCTTTATATCAAAACGTAAGTCTAAAAAGAGAAAAGTGTTGACCTTGATACAGGCTGTGTTAGGCAGAGATTTCAAGGAAATCCTCTCTGAAGAGGTGACATTTGATCTGAGACCTGAAGCACCGGAAAGAGGCAGCCAAGCCAGGAAGAGGCAGGAATGGGAAGGTCTAGGGAAAGACTGGTCCTGGCAGGCAGAACTGCGGTGGCAAAGGCCCAGCGGTGATCAGGAGCTTGGCATTTGGAAAAATAAAGAGTGTGTGTGACTGGACAGCGTGATCAAGTGGGCAGAGGAGGAGATGGTGATAGGGTGTGCACTGGTCAGGCCACCTAGCTCCTGGAGCCCACAGTGAGAAGCATGGGCTTGACTCTGAGGGCAAAGGAGAGCCACAGAGAGTTTGGGTAAAGGGGAAAGTTGGCATTTAATTTTATAGCTTTTTGAAGTTTGTTTTGTTTTCTTAGAAACAGGGTCTCAGTCTGTTACCCAAACTGGAGTGCAGCTCAAAATATTTTCCAATTTATCTTGTGATTTTTTTTTGATCCAATGATTTAGAGGTGGGTTGTTAAATTTTCACATATTTTCAGATGTCCAATATTTCTTACTGTTGTTAGTTTCTAATTCTGTTTCAGTCAGATAACTTATTTGTTTTCCCTGTCTCTCCTGTCTTCTGATCCTGTTTTTCCATTGACTACCATTTTTAAAATAAACTTATTTCAGTGTGTCATTTACAATCCTATTTTAATTTTTTGCTCTATCTCTGACGTGGTTGTTCCAGGGATTATAATGTGCTTTTAAATTTTTCCAACGAATGAAGAACGAAGTGATCGACTTCTTGCCTCTGCCGGGGCTCTGAAGCGCTGCCCCGAGGCGGTGGACGGAGGGTGCCAGGCGTGACATCAAGAGCTCTGCAGCCAGGGCCTGGGGCAACCTCCCGCTCCACCTCCCGGGAGCCTCGCAGCCAGCATCCCCAGCGGCTCGTGCTCCCCGGCCAGGCGGGACCTCAGCGCTGTGGCGGCCGCAGACCTCACCTGGGCAGGCCCCGGGCCGCATGCGGACCCTAGAGGCAACCAGCGGGCTGGATCCGCACAGCGGCCCTGGGGAATGGATCGTGTACAGGGGACAAAGCTACACATGTCTTTCATTTTGGAGGGGGGAAAAAAGAAAAAACGGAAATGAAAGATTGAAAATGTGTGGGCTCTCCGTCCTTTCCTTTGCTCCTGCGCGCTCTCTGGGGTGGGGGGCTCAGCGAGCTTCAAGAGGTGGCCGAGATTCCCCCACCCCGCCCCCAGATCCCCGGGAGAGGTCAGCACGGCCCCTCCCGTGGGTGTCACAGAGACCGATACCGGTCCCGCTCCCCGGGAAGGAGTGGGTCTGGGTCCAGTCCGCAGGACCCCCTCGCGGATGCTGACGCAGAATGGAGTTGAGGTGGGGGCAGCGCTGGACCCTAGGGCCCCTGCCTGCCTCCTGGGGAGCCCGGTGACCCAGGCAGCCCTGGTGAGGCCGCAGGAGTCTGGGCCCTAGCGACGCCCCCGGGCTCCCACAGGACGAATGTAGACGGTGAGGCCAAGGACGCCCTGCTGCCCTCGGGACTGTCCCTCCAGCCCCCAGCTTTCCGTGGTTATTGGGCCCCCTCTGCAGAGGGGCAGGGGAGCCCACCCTGGATCCTGAGGCGCCGAGCTTGAGGGACCCCAGAGCTCCAGCCAGGCCGCTTTCTTTGCGGATGGTGAAGCTGAGGTCCCGAGGAGGGCAGGGGCAGGTCCCGGGCGCTCCTCAGGCAAAGGGAGCCGATTTAGGGGCTGGGGTCACAGGAGGCGCTTCTGCGACCTCTAGGGCCCTAGAGCCCGGGAGGATGAGAGACTGGGGGCCTTTCGTCCACCCCTGGGGCTGGGCAGACGCTCAGCCTGTGCAACCCGAAGCTGCTTCTGCCCAGTCCCAGCCGCGGCCCCTTTAAGAGGGGGTGGTGCTTCAGCCTGGCGCCAGGGACGCTGCCAGCATGCAGGCCCCGACGGAAGCCGAGACTGCGCTTCGTGCGAGGCCCGGGCAGCATCGGCGGCGTGGTCAGAGCGAGTCTCGGAGAAGATGTGGTGGCTTCCGTTTGTTGGTGGAGGAGGTGGCAGGCCTCGGCGGTAAGTGGAGGGGGATGAACCCCACCTGGAACCCTCTGGGTCTCCCTACTCCTTCTCGGCCGCTCCCTGCTTTCGGGCCCTGACTTCTAAGTGGGCATCTGGGCCCGAGTCGTCAGCGTCGGGGCGGTTGTGGGATCCTGGCCTCGGCAGCGTCCACACCCCCGCCGGGAAGGCTATGCCCCTGTCCGACCCGCGTCCAGCCTATAGGAGCGCCCTGGCCCAGAGGCGGCGGTGAAGCGCTGGACTGGGTCCCTCCGAGCCCCACGGGCCTCTGAGCTGGGGCCTAGGGTTATTTTTTATGCCTCGGGACCTTTAGAAAGAGACCTCGCTAGAGCAGGGGACATCTGTAGTTTCAGTTCTTTGAGGAGTTTCCAGCTATTTAGCTGTTTTCCATGGTGTGTACCCTAATTTTCATTTCCACCTACAGTGTATGAGTTCCCCTTTCTCCAAAACCAAACCCCCATTCCAATTTGTTTTTGTTTTTTTGAGACGGAGTCTCGCTCTGTCTCCAAGGCTGGAGGGCAGTGGCGCCATCTCGGCTCACTGCAACCTCCACCTCCCGGTTTCAAGCAATTCTCCTGTCTCAGCCTCCTGTGTAGCTGGGACTACAGGCGCCCGCCACCACGCCTGGCTAATTTTTGTATTTTTATTTTTAGTAGAGACGGGGTTTCACGATATTTGTCAGGCTGGTCTGAAACTCGTGACCTCAGGTGATCCGCCCGCCTCGGCCTCCCAAAGTGCTGGGATTACAGGCGTGAGCCACGGCTCCCAGCCCCTCTTATTTTGAAAAATTTTTTCTAGGAATATTCAATAACTGTGAGATTATCTGCGTGTGGTTTTGAATTACAGTATTCTAATGAATAGTTAATTTTGAGGACCTTATCTCTTATCTGTTGTTCGATTTTATATCTGTGCAGAATTGTCCGTTCAGGTTCTTTGCGAAATATTAGATTGGATTCTTTTTCTACTTTGTAGTGTTTTTTGTGTACACGTTAGTTGACAACTCCTCGTGAATTACATGATTGCCTGAAATTTTTGCGTAATCTATAGGATGCTTTTTTATTTGGAAAGTAGTTTTCTTTGCTATGCAGAAACTTTTCACGTTGATGTAGTCCCATATGTTGTTTTTTTTTTTTTGCGTTTTATGCGTGTCATTGTGGTCACCCATATTAGAAAATATGCATCAGTAACAAAGCATTTAATTGTCAATGAGGTTTTTCTTCACAATTATCTAAGGTATTAGTTTTCTATAAGAATTGTTTTAAAATATTTTTGTTACCAGAGCAGTTGTATTATATTTCAAAATGTAAGATGATTTTTAAAAGCCTGAGTACCTAAGATGCAATTATATGAACTCTACTCTGGAGGGAGAGAAGGATGTCAGTGGACATTGTAAGACTTTTATGTTTTTGTGCCATCAAATATAGGTAAAAATATCAATAGTGCAATTCTGCTGTTTAAACAGGAACTATTGGCCTCCCTGGCCCTAAATGGAAGGGCTGATATTTTATGGTTGATTATTTTATGGTAAATTAATCCAACCTAATTCTTTTTAATTTGGTTGAATGTTTTTCTTGTTAAATAATGTTTAAAAAATAAAAACTGGAAGTTCTTGGCTTGATTTAAAAAAAAGAGAGATTCTGGTTGAGCTGAAATGGGAGTAGTCCAAAGCAATTATTATTATTATTCTTTTTAGACAGGGTCTTGCTCTGTCACCCAGGCTAGAGTGCAGTAGTGTGTTTAAAGCTCACTGAAGCCTGGACCTCCTGGGCTCAAGTGATCCTCCCACCTCAGCCTCACAAGTAGCTGGGACCCAGGCGTGCACCACCACACCCAGCTAATTTTTTATTTTTTGTAGAGATGAGGTCTCACTATGTTGCCCAGGCTGGTTTCAAACTCCCGGGCTCAAGCAGTCCCCCTGCCTCAGTCTCTGAAAGTGCTGGGATTACAGGCCTGAGCCACTGCAGCAGCTAATTTTTTTTTTTTCTGATTGAGTATAACATATTTTTTTTCCAAAGATGTCCTAACATATACCCATACCTATGTATCCATGAAATGTTGGCATGCCTCCATTGAGACTTGTTTTGTCTCCTTATTTATGTAAAATATAAAATGTACTATTTTCACCATTTTTGAGTGGTATCAAGTAAAGTCACAGAGCATACGATATTTGGTTTTCCATTCTGGAGTTACTTCACTTAGAATAATGGCCTCTAGCTCCATCCAAGTTGCTGCAAAAGACGTTATTTCATCAGTTTTTATGGCTGAGTAGTATCCCATGGTGTATATATACCACATTTTCTGTATCCACTCATTGGTTGATGGGCACTTAAGTTGTTTCCATATCCTTGCAATTGCAAATTATGCTATAAACATGCATGTGCATGTGTCTTTGTGTCTTTTTCATATAACTACTTCTTTTCCTTTGGGTAGATACCCAGTAATGGGATTGCTGGATAGAATGGTAGTTCTACTTTTAGTTCTTTAAGGACTCTCCATACTGTTTTCCATACTGGTTGTACTAATTTACATTCCCCCCAGCAGCGTAAAAGTGATCCCTCTTCACTACATTCAAGCCAACATCTATTGTCTTTTTACTGTTTAATTGTAGCAATTCTTGCAGGAGTAAGGTCATAGCTCATTGTGGCTTTAATTTGCATTTCCTTGGTGATTAGTGATGTTAGTGCCCTTTAAATAGAGACTCCAATAGTTTCTTTGTTCCATTCTCCATATGAGGCCACAAGACAGGTATCTTTTTATTTTATTTATTTATTTATTTATTTATTTATTTGAGATGGAGTCTCACTCTGTCACCCAGGCTGGAGTGCAGTGGCTCTATCTCGGCTCACTGCAAGCTCCGCCTCCCGGGTTCATGCCACTCTCCTGCCTCAGCCTCCCAAGCAGCTGGGACTACAGGCACCTGCCACCACACCTGGCTAATTTTTTGTATTTTTAGTAGAGACGGGGTTTCACTGTGTTAGCCAGGATGGTCTCGATCTCCTTACCTTGTGATCCGCCCACCTCAGCCTCCCAAAGTGTTTTTCTTTTTTATTTTTTTGAGACGGAGTCTCAAAAATTGAGCACAATTTCAGCTCACTGCAACCTCCGCCTCCTGGGTTCAAGCAATTCTTCTGTCTCAGCCTACGGAGTAGCTGGGACTACAGGTGCCCGCCACCACAGCCGGCTAATTTTTGTATTTTTAGTAGACATGGGGTTTCACCATATTGGTCAGGTCAGTCTCAAACTCCTGATCTCAGGTGATCCACTCACCTCGGCCTCCCAAAGTGCTGGGATTACAGGTGTGAGTCACCGTGCCCGGCCGAGGCCCCAACAAGACAACTATCTATGAACCCTTGCCAGACACCAAATTTGTTGGTGACTTGATGTTAAATTCCCAGCCTCCAGAACTCTAATAATGTCTGTTGTTTATAACCCACCCAGTTTATGGCATTTAGTTACAGCAGCCTGAATGGGCTAAGACAGTATGTGTGTAAATTACTTTCTTAGCACTGTGTTTGCTGCAATCTGTAAGTTTTGGTGTGTTATGTTTTTTATTTCTTTTATCTCAAGATAATTTCTAACTTCCCTTGTGATTTCTTTTTTGATCCATTGGTTAGTTACGAGTATGTCGTTTAATTTTTCTTTTTTTTTTTTTTCTTTTTGAGACAGGGTATCACTCTGTCACCCAGGCTGGAGGGCAGTGGTGCGATTTCTGCTCACTGCAACCTCCCTCTGACTCCCAGGTTCAAGCAATTCTCCTGCCTCAGCCTCCCAAGTAGCTGGGATTACAGGTGCCTGCCACCATGCCCAGCTAATTTTTGTATTTTTAATAGAGACGGGGTTTCACCATGTTGGCCAGGCTGGTCCCGAACTCCCAACCTCAAGTGATCTGCCTGCCTCGGCCTCCCAAAGTGCTGGGATTACAGGTGTGAGCCACCATACCTGGTCTAATTTTTCAAACATTGGAAAAATTTGTGATTTTTTAAAAAGTTTTCTTCTGTTAATTCATTTCATATGACTGGATATATGCCTTATATAATTTCTGTCTTTTAAAGTTGATTAATTCTTCTCCTCTGGCCTAATATATGGTCCATCCTTGAGAATGTTCCATGTGCACTTGAGAAAAATGTGTGTTCTTCTGCCATTGGATGGAGTGTTCTATATATGTCTGCTAAGTCCAATTGGTTTATGATGTTGTTCAAGTTCTTTATTTTCTTGGGGATCTTCAGTCTAGTTTTTCTACTCACTGTTAAAAGTGGCATATTAGAGCCGGGCTCAGTGGCTCACACCTGTAATCCTAGCGCTTTGGGAGGCCAAGGTGGGTGGATCACCTGATATCAGGAGTTCAAGACCAGCCTGGCCAACAAGGCAAAACTCTATCTCTACTAAAAATACAAAAAAAATAGCCAGACATGGTGGCAGGCACCTGTAATCCCAGCTACTTAGGAGGCTGAGGCAGGAGAATCACTTGAACCTGGGAGGCAGAGGTTGCAGTGAGCCAAGATGACACCATCGCACTCCAGCCTGGATGACAGAGCAAGACTTTGTCTCAAAAAAAAAAAAAAAAAGTGCCGTATTAAAGTCTCCAACTATTTTGTAGAACTGTATATTTCTTCCTGAAATTCTGTCAATGTTTGCTTCATGTATTTTGGAGCTCTGAAGTTTATTGCATATATGTTTATGATTATTATATTTCCTTGATGAACTGACCCTTCTATTAATATATAATATCCTTCTTTATCTTTTGCAATTGTTTTTGACGTAAAGTTTATTTTGTCTGATATTAGTATAACAACCCAAGCTCTCTTTTGGTTACTATTTGTGGGGAATATATTTTGCAACCTCTAACTTTCAACCTATTCATGTCTTTAAATCTAAAATGAGGCTCTTGTAGACAGTGCATATTTGGATCATGTTTTATTATTCATTTAGCCAATTCCTGCCTTTGGACTGGAGAGTTTACTCCACTTAACTATTGATAAGAAAGGACCTCTGCCATTTTGTTATTTGTCTTTCGTATGGCTTAATATTTTCTGGCCCTCATTTCCTTTATAACTGCCTTCTTTTATGTTTAGTTTCTTTTTTTTCCCCAAGACCAAGTCTCACTCTGTCACCCAGGCTAGAGTGCAGTGGCACGATCCCAGCTCACTGCAATCTCCGCCTCCTGCGTTCAAGTGATTCTCCTGCCTCAGCCTCCCAAGTAGCTGGGATTACAGACGCACAGTACCATACCCAGCTAATTTTATGTATTTAGTAGAAACAGGGTTTCACCTGTTAGCCAGGCTGATCTCGAACTCTCAACCTCTGGTGATCTGCCCGCCTCGGCCTCCCAAAGTGCTAGGATTACAGGCGTGAGCCACTGCAACTGGCCTATGTTTAGTATTCTGTTTTTTTGTTTGTTTGTTTTTTGTAGTGACATATTTTGTTCCCCTCTCATTTCCTTTTGTTTATATTCTATAAATATTTTCTTCATAGTTACTATGAATATTACATACAACATCCTAAGGTTGTAACAATCTAATTTGAATTAATACCTACTTAACTTCAATTGCATACAAAAACTTATGGTGGCTTATACCTATAATCCCAGCACTTTGGGAGGCCAAGGTGGGCGAATCACCTGAGGTCAAGGGCTCAAGACCAGCCTGGCCAACATGGTGAAACCCCATTGCTATTAAAAATACAAAAATTAGCCAGGCGTGGTGGCATGCGCCTGTAATCCCCGCTACTCAGGAGGCTGGGGCAGGAGAATCACTTGAAACCAGGATTGAACCCAGGATTGAACCCAGGTTTCAGTGAACCAAGATCTCACCACTGCACTCCAGCCTGGGTGACAGAGTGAGACTCTGTCTCAAAAAACAACAAACAAACAAAAAAAAACTCTACTCATGTACAGTCTTCCATTTATATTGTTGATGTAATCTTGTGCCTACCAACTTAGTCCACAAAGGCACTCACGTTGATCTAGTATCACAAGTGGAAAACAGTATTACTTGCCATAAACAGAAGGCAATTATAACTATAGGTTTTTTTAAAAAAACAAACAATTTTCTCATATTCTACCTAAATCCTATTCCCATTGAAAGCTCTGATCCTGAAGTGTATCTTCCTCTTGGGACTTCCAGAGAGTTCAAAGCATGTCAGCACTAAACTAAGAGTCAACCTGATATACTCAGAATAATTGGAAGTGAATCCAAAAAGGGAGGTGATTCAATGTTTTTAAAATGATTTTTCAGATAGCTCTTAAAACCATTTCATGTTCCACAAGAGATATTGCTTATGGTTCAAGTGAATAGGTTGTGAAGCAAGAATTAAATTTAAATACCAACCCTCTCAGTGAGCAGCTGAGTGACTTTGAGGAAGTGAATGTGCCTCTCTGAGCATGAAGTTTTTCTTATTTAAAATGGGCTACAAAAAAGTGCCAGCTTCACACAAAAACATGTATGCAAATGTACATAGCAGCTTTACTCAAAATAACCAAAACCTGGAGACAACCCAGGTTTTGAAAGGCCTAGAGATGCCTTTCAGTAGGTAAATGGTTAAACAAAAACTGAGGTACACCCACAACATGGAATACTGTTCTGCAATAAAAAGGATCAAACCATTGATGCACACAACTTGGATGAGTCTCTAGAGAATTATGCTAAAAAAAACCAACAATCCCAAACAGTTGTACACTATTAAATTATATTTATATAACACGCTTGAAACAACAAAATTATAAAAATAGAGAACAGAGTAGTTGTTAGCAAGGGGTTAGGGATGGGGAGAGGAGAGGAAAAGAGAAGAAAAAGGAGGTGGATATGGTTATAAAAGAGCAACATCAGAGATCTTCCTGATGTGCTGGTGAATGCACAAACCTATATATGTGATAAAACTGCATAAAAATAAATACACCCATACACACACACAGGTACAAGTGAAACGGGAGATCTGAAGATTGGTGGATTGTATCAACATCAGGATTCTGGCTGAGATACTGAACTATAGTTTGCAAGATGTTGCCACTATGGAAAACTACTAAAGAGTACAGGGGCATCAATCTGTATTATTTTTTATAACTGCATGCAAGTCCACAATTATCTTAAAATGAAAAGTTAACTTTAAAAATACCACCCTCATAGGCTCTCTGTGAGGATCAAATGAGATAGTATTTAGGGAAGAAAATTCACTCAGCAAATGTTTATTGACCCCTCTCATCTGTCCAGACACTGTGTGAATGCTGAGCTTACAGCAGGGAACAAAGTTCACACTATAATAGAAATTTTATTCTAGTATAGTGTCACATAAAAGCGAATTGATATTTTTTAATTTGTCATTGAAATTGGTATAATCACGACCACTCATAGAACAGTAGCATGCATCGTGTGCCTACGTGTAATGAAAATAGACTCAGAGAGATGGCAAAATTTGCCCAGGTACCAGGTAGAACCAGAGGCAGAATTGAAACCCAGATTGGAACCCGAGGTTGTGGCTCATCATCTCTAAATTCACTGCCTTCAACAAAGAAGTTCTCTCCCCTTTGTAGGGTAACCCAGAGAACACAGCCGAAGTGGAATGTGGGGACGTCTGCGACACCGGGGACAGAGCAACTGTGGATGAAGAGGGCTACATCTGGTTCCTGGGGAGGAGTCATGACACTATCAATGCCTCTGGGTAGGTGTGACTGATGCCAGGCTGGCTGTTGTCATCCTCATATGCCTCCTGGGATCTTGCTTGCCCAGACAGTCTTTCATGCATTGGTGACAGGACCCTCAGCCCAATTTGAATAGAGCCATGTCTACAATGCCCTGATCCCAGGTTTTGGTGCACCTCCCTAACCCCTGCATACAGAAGAATCAATCAAAATGAAATTCAAGAGTGTCTTGAAGACATAATAAGACACTGTGCAATTTAGAGAAGGGCCTTGGAATGAGACTGAGAAGGAAGACTCTGTTTTGGTCCCCATAGGTTCAGGGAGCTTATTTCATGTGTGTGCTCCTCTAATGCAGCACAGGATGTCACAGAACAAACATAGTAATAATAACAACTAACCTTTAGCTATTGTTTATTTTTTATTTATTATTATTATTAATCTATTATAAATCTATGAATACAACAAATCTATTAAGATAGATTATTATAAATCTATTATTTGTTATAATTATTTAGCTAACCTGGAGTACTTACTATGTGAAAGCACTGTTCTTAATGCTTTATATAACTCACCTCTCAATGCTGGAAGGGAGATGCGATTATTACCCCTATTTTACTGGTGAGGAAACTGGGTGGCTGACCAGTGAAGAAATTTGCCTGAAGTCTCAAAGATAGCACAGGGTGCAATCCAGATTTGAACTGAGGCAGGCTGGCTCTGAGACCCTGTCCGTAACCCCTACATGATTTTTTAAAAAGATACATTACACTACAGTAACAATCTCTCTTGGATATTTTAGAGAAATGGATGTGATTTTTTTAAAATTTCTGAAATGTGATGTACTGGAAATTTGCAGAGAGTAGATTTTAAATGCTCTTACCACAAAAGAAAAAAAAAGAGGTAATTACGTGAGATAATGGATATACGAGAGCCTGAGTGTAGTAATCGTGCTACTATGTATATGTACATCAAAACATCATGTTTTATGCCTTGAATATATTTAATAAATGCCAAAAATCATGCTGATTCAATGGGAAATAGTGTGCAGAATTTGCACAAATGTTTAAGACCAAGTTTGAGGCTTCCAAGAGATTTCGTGTCTGGTGAAGCTGCATGGGCCAAGGGCCCAGGGAACTAAGCATTCGCCCTTCTTTGTCAATAAAGGCAGTGAGGCGAGAAGCCCTGGGAGCACCTACAATGTCCAGGTCTTCAAATTTTGGGCCCGTGGCACAGACAGATCAGGAGTCTCTGGGTCCCTATGACCTCTGCCCTCTGTGCCAAGGGAAGCTGTGACTCTCCAAAGCAGGAGATTTGAGGACTTGGTTCACCCCAGCCCTGGCATCTACCCCAGAACCCTTCATCCTCCAGGTACGGCATTGGGCTACAGAGGTGCAGCGTGCTTTGGTGGACCACCCAGTGGTGGCAGAGTCAGCCACGGTGAGCAGCCCAGACCCGATTCAAGGGGAAGTGAGGAGGGCACAGAGATCATTGTGTCTGTACATGGGCACTAGGAAAGCAAACGCCCGGGAAACTTCCAGGCCTTACCTGGGCAACCTTGGGGGAAGGAGGGCATAGTGTGCCTGTGCACTTACACAGTATAGTGACTTGGGGGCACTGCGGCCTCTCTGTGGCTCTGAAGATAAAGATGACAGATTATATTTAGTGAGCACTTAATACATGCCAAATAATTTAACTCTCACAAAATGGAATAATCTAAGAGCTCTTCTACTCTTTGTAGATGAGGAAAGAGGAGCAGAAGGAAGTTAAGTAATCTGTCCACATCACACAGCTACTAAGGGGTGGAGCCAGAATGGCATTTCAGCAACGTGGCTGAAGAACATACGTGCATTTGTTTATTAAAAAGTGTTTATTGAGCACCTTCTATATGCAAGGCCTTGTACAATAAAATGGGGATAACACTACTAATATATGAATAATAAATTGTCAATAATTATCAAATACCCATTGGGTTACAGGCACAGGGTGGTATATATAATAATAGTAAAAATAATGATGAAAGTACTGATGACAGGGATAATAATGTAAACTACCTGGATGTTTTATATGTATTATCTCATGGAAGCTTTAAAGAAACCAAATGAGGAATGGAATCTTTATTATTCCCATTTCACAGAGAAGGAAACTGAGGTTAAGGAGAGGTCAAGTAACTTTTCAAGGCATGGAGTGGACATTGGAAGTACAGGCATTTGCACCTGGTCCTCTTATTTTCCAAAACTACTGTAGGGTCCAACGTCACCTTGTTTTTCCACTCATTCAATAAATACTGACTTTTTATGCTATGTAATAGGTTGACACTCATCATGAGCCTCTGCCCTCGTTCTGCAGGTGGTGAAGGCATTGATTGTCCTGACCCCACAGTTTCTGTCCCATGACAAGGACCAGCTGACTAAGGAGCTGCAGCAGCATGTAAAGTCAGTGACAGCCCCATGTAAGTACCCGAGGAAGCTAAGTGAGGGCAGATGGAAGGGGTCAGTTCCCAGTACTCCTGCCCCATGTCTCCTAGGGTGGCTGTGCAGGGGGAAGCTTGGAGACTCACAGTAGTGGCTTTTTTTTCTGCATAAGAAGCAATTTGGCTTAGGGATGGGGTGTTCTCTTAAAAATGTATTTAAACTGACAAATTAGAAAATGATCTATTAAAAGCAAGGAGACATAGATAAATCCTAATTCAGGTGATTACAACAAATATTTCTTAAGCACTTTCTATATGCTGGCAATTTATAAGAGTGTTTAAGATAAATCTAGTATAAATGCTGAACTCAGGAGAGTAAGAAAATGACAAATACTTATAGGACAGCCCATGCGATATTACAAGCACATGCAATGTTGTGAAATAACACAGAGGAGGGCATAATTAACTCTGCAAGAGTTAGGAGGAGGTTCAAAGAGGAGGGCCTAGTGAGTAGGCATTTTCAAGATGTAAAGGAATAGAGGGGATGATGTGGAAAGAGGAAGAACCTCTCAAAACAAGACAGGGCTGGGCTTGGTGCCTCACACCTGTAATCCCAGCACTTTGAGAGGCTGAGGCAGGATGATCAGTTGAGCCCAGGAATTTGAGACCAGCCTGAGCAACACAGCAAGAACCCTGTTTCTATTTAAATAAGTTTAATATATTAAAAAAAGACAACAGAGTAAACAAGAAGCACTGAGGCATGAGACAACATGACATGCAAAAGACAGTAAAGTTGAACTAGTAACATAATTTCTAATGTCTCCAAATGACGAAAGTAGCATACAGCTCTTAAAACTGACATGAGAAAGTGCATTTAGTGACTTCAGTCTTTGGTGGAAGTTCCTAGTGTATGAAATGGAACAGATGAGAAAAGGCCTTGGTTCCCATGCTGTGGGAATAGGGAACTGGTGAAGGGCTAAGTATCAGAGGACGTGTAATTCAGATAAATCACTCCGTTGGTTACCTGGAGGGTGAATTTGAGGAGAATGAGACTGGAGGCAGGAGCAAGGCAGTACCAGTGCAGGTGAAGAAAGAACATAGGTAGAACTTGGCCACCAATTAGAAAAGGTGAGAGGAGGAGCCAAGGAGAGGGAAACATGTGGGATCACGGCCAGGTTTCAGGCTGGAACAGGACAAATGGCAGAAGCATCCAATATTGAAAATAGAGTCAGAGGAGCCTTCTTGAGTGGAGAGGGATAACAGGGCATTCTAGGACAGGATGGGTTTGAGATTTCTTGACATATCTGAGTGGAAAAGTCTTGGAAGCATGAGGCCACACCAGAGCTCAGTGAGGGCAAGAAGATAGGGAGTGTGGAGTCATCAGCTTGCAGGTGACAGCTGAAGCCATTCTCCCACTTCAGGAGAGAAGCACATGAGCAAAGAGCTGAGATTCCTGGAGAACACCAACATTCCCAAGTGAGCTGAAAGAGAGAATTCGGAGGAGGGCCAGAGGGAAAATTAAATGGAAGAGTGTGCTGTAGAGATAGCACTGTGATCCAGGGCTTGATCTTTGAAGGCAGACTGCCTGAATGACAGTTTCCTTTTCTGTAAATGAGAGTGAAATTATCTACCCATGCATGGAAAAAAACCCTCAACAAACTAGAAACAGGAGGGAACTTCATCAGCATGATGAAAAGCATCTGTGAAAACCTAACAGTTAACAGATTTAATGGTGCAAGACTGAATGCTTTCCCCTAAGATTGGGAACAAGACAAGGATGGCCATGTTCAGCAGGTCTATGCAGCCTTGGTTCTGACCAGGATGATTAGGCGATTGATATATAAAAGGATCCAGATTAGAAAGGAAAAAGTAAAACTGTCTTACTCCCAAATGTCATGATCTTGTATACAGAAAATCCTAAGGTATCCAGTTTAAAAAAAAAACAAAACTAGAACTAGTTCAGCAAGTTCACAAAATCAGCATACAAAAATCAATTGTATTTCTGTACACTAGCAATGAGAAATCCAAAAATGAAATTCAGAAAATTATTCCATTCACAATAGCATCCCAAAGAATAAAGTACTCACTGTGGAAAGAAACTAAAAAAGAACTAAATAAATGAAAGATATTCCATGTTCATGGATCAGAAGACTAAATATTATTGTCAGTACTCATCAAATTAGTCTACAGGATCAACCTGATTCCTATCAAAATCCCAGCTACCTTTTCTGCAGAAATTGACAAGGTGATCCTAAAATTCATATGGATATGCAAAGGACACAGAATAAGCAAAATAATCCTGAAAAAGAAGAACAAGATTGGAGGACTTATCTTCCTAATTTCAAAACTTGCTACAAAGTAATCAAGAGGGTATGGTACTGTCTTAAGGACAGATGTATAGGTCACTGGAATATAGTTGAAAGCTCAGGCTGGGCACTCATGCCTGTAATTGCAGCACTTTGGGAGGCTGAGGTTGGGGGATCCTTTGAGGTCAGGAATTCAAGACCAGCTTGGGCAACATAGACAGTGAGACCTGTCTAAAAAAATAAAAATTAAAGACAAATTTGATTAGCCAGGCATGGTGGTATAGGCCTGCTGTCCCATCTAGTCAGGAAGCTGAGGTGGGAGGATCTCTTGAGCCTAGGAATCTGAGAATGCAGTGAGCTATGATTGGCTACTACACTCCAACCTGGGGAAGAGAGAGAAAACGTATCTGTAAAAGAAAATAAAGCCAAGTGTGGTGTCTTATGCCTGTAATCCCAAAACTTTAAAGGGCCAAGGAGAGAGGATCCCTTGAAACCAGGAGTTTGACACCAGCCTGGGCAACATAACAAGACTCTGTAACTATGAAAATTAAATTAAATTAAATTTAAAACTATGGCTGGGTGTGGTGTAATCCCAGTACTTTGGGAGGCTGAAGTGGGTGGATCACCTGAGGTCAGGAGTTCGAGACCAGCCTGGCCAACATGGCAAAACCCTGTCTCTACTAAAAATACAAAATTAGCCAGGCGTGGTGGTGTGTGCCTGTAACACCAGCTACTCCAGAGGCTGAGGCAGGAGAATCACTTAGAACCTGGGAGGCAGAGGTTGCAGTGAGCTGAGATCACACCACTGCACTCCAGCCTGGGTGATGGAGGGAGACTCTGTCTCAAAAAGAAAAAAAAAAAATTAGCCAGGTATGGTGGCACACACTTGTCGTCCCAGCTACTTAAGAGACTGAGGCAGGAGGATGAATTGAGCTCAGGAGTTTGAGGCTGCAGTGAGCTATGATCACACCACTGCACTCCAGACTGGGCAACACAATAAGACCCTGTCTCGAAAAAAAATGAATTGATTAACTGAAAAATAATTGAAATCCCGGAAAGAAACCATTACATTTAAAGTCAATTGATTTGACAAAGGGGTCAAGAAACTTCATTTGGAAAGGAATAGTCTTTTCTTTTTTTGTTGTTTTTCATTTTGTAGAGACACATGTCTCACCATGTTGCCCAAGCTTATCTTAAACTCCTGGAGTCAAGCAATACTCCTGCCTTGGTCTCCCAAAGTGCTGGGATTACAGGTATGATCCACTATGTCCAACCATGAATAGTCTTTTCAACAAATGGTGGTGGGGCAATTGGATATTCATGTGCAAATAAATTAATTTGGGTCTCTGCCTAACACCATACACAAAAATTAACTGAAAATGGATCACAGACCTAAATGTAAAAACTAAAACTATAAAACTCTTAGAAAAAAACACAGGAGTAAATCCTTGTGATCTTGTGTAAGGCACTGATGTCTTAGATGCAATGTCAAAAGCACAGTTCAAGACCAGCTGGGGCTAAATAATGAGACCTGGAAAAGGAGGAAAGGGAAAAAGTGAGAAAATGAAAAATGGCAAATTGAACATCAGCCAAATTTAAAACTTTGGCACATCAAAAGATACAATCAAAAAAGGGAAAGACAGCCCACAGAATGAGAGAAAATATTTATAAATCATATGTCTAATAAGTGATATATCCAGAAGAACTCTTACAACTCAATATTAAAAGACAATCCAGCTTAAAAATGGGAAAAGAACATGAATAGACATTTCTCCAAAGATGATATATTAATGTCCAATAAGCACATTAAAAAGTGTTTAACATCAGTCACTAGGAAAATGCAAATCAATCCACAATGGGATGTCGCTTTACACCCACTAGAATGAATACAACCAATCAAGACAGATAACGCCAAGTGCTGGAGAGGAGGTGGAGAAATCGAAACCCTCATACACTGCCAGTGGGAATATAAAATGGTGCAGCCACTTTTTTGGAAGATAGTATGTCAGTTTCTTAAAATGTTAAAAATAAAACTGCTTTAAACCCAGCAACTTTACTTCTAGGTATCTACCCAGGGAAAATAAAAATGTATGTCGACACAAAGACTTGTATGTGAATATTCACAACACCATTCACAAGAATCGAAAGGTGGAGACAACTCAAATGCCCATCTACTGACAAAGGGATTAAAATGTGGGATATACAAAGGAATACTACTCAACAATCAAAAGGAAGTTCTGAGGCACACTACCACAGTGGTCACCCTCAACAACACAATGCTTCATGAAAGAAGCCAGATGCAAAACAACACACATTGCATGATTCAGTTTATATGAAATGTCCAGGACAGCCTCGTATAGGGACAGAAAGCAGATTACTGGTTGTCGAGGGCTGGGAATAAGACTGAAAAGTGACTCTGATAGGCACAAGTTTCTTTCTTGGGATGACAAAATGTTCTAAAACTAGATTTCGGTGATGGTTACATAATTCCATAAATATACTAAATATACTAAAAATCGTTGAATTGGACCAGGCACAGTGGCTCACACCTGTAATCCCAGCACTTTGGGAGGCCAAGGCAAGAGGATCACTTGAGCCCAGGAGTTCAAGACCTGTCTGGGAAACATAGAGACTCCATCTCTACAAATAGTTTTTTTAAAATTAAACAGGTGTGGTGGCACAAGCCTGTAGTCTCAACTACTCAAGAAGCTGAGGCAGGAGGATCACCTGATCCCAGGAGGTTGAGGGTGCAGTGAGCCATGATAGCACCATTATGCTCCAGCCTTGGTATCAGAGTGAGATCTTGTCTCTCACACACACACACAAAAATCATTGAATTGTACACTTAAAATAGGTGAATTTTAGTATGTAAATTAGACCTCTATAAAGCTGTTAATTTTCTTAAGGTTTTTTTTTTTTCTTTTTTCTTTTTTTTTTTTTTGAGACAGAGTTTTGCTCTTATTTCCCAGGCTGGAGTGCAATGGCACGATCTCAGCTCACTGAAACCTTCGCCTCCCAGGTTCAAGCGATTCTCCTGCCTCAGACTCCCAAGTAGCTGGGATTACAGGCTCCTGCCATGAAGCCCAGCTAATTTTTTGTATTTTTAGTACAGACAGGGTTTCACCATGTTAGCCAGGCTGGTCTCGAACTCCTGACCTCAGGTGATCCACACACCTCAGCCTCCCAAAGTGCTGGGATTACAGGCGTGAGCCACTGCACCAGGCAATTTTTTTAAGTTTTAAAATTACAATATTTACCCCTAGCACCAAGATTGTCTCAAAATACCACTAAAAGAAAACAAGCCTTCCTGGAGAGAGTGCTGATTCCAGGTCTAGGCCAGAAATGTATAAGATAAGCCTGGAACACTGTCACTCTGGATAGCAAGGAATCTATCAAAGATTAGGATGCTTTCAACACGTCTGAAGAGCCAATCTGAAGGGACTCCTTCTAACCAAAGATAGGACATTTTATACATTAATAAGGATAATAATTGCAGTGGATTGAAATACATCAAATGTGTTTGAATGTCTGCATTCATAATGATTCTTTATAAAAAATAAAAGTGGGTTGGCCAGCCACAAGGGCTCATGCCTGTAATCCCAGCACTTAGGGAGGCCAAGGCAGGAAGATCACCCGAGGTCAGGAGTTCGCAACCAGCCTGGCCAACCTGGTGAAACCGCATCTCTACTAAAAGTACAAAATTAGCTGGGTGTAATGGTGCATGCCTGTAATCCCAGCTACTCAGGAGGGTGAGGCAGGAGAATCACTTGAACCCAGGAGGTGGAGGTTGCAGTAAGCCGAGACCTCGCCATTGCGCTCCAGCCTGGGCAACAGAGCAAGACTCCATCTCAAAAAAAAAGAATAAATAAATAAATAAATGTGGGCTGGGGACAGTGGCTCATGCCTTTGGGAGGCCGAGGCAGGAGAATCACTTCAGCCCAGGAGTTCAAGACCAGCCTGGACAACACAGGGGGACCCTGTCTCTACAAAAAATGTTTTAAATTACTCAGGCTTAAGGGCCCATGTCTGTGGTCCCAGGTACTCAGGAGGCTGAGATGGGAGGATTGCCTGAGCACAGAAGTTTGAGGCTGTGGTGGCATGATTGTCCCACTGCATGCCAGCCTGAGCAACAGAGCTAGACCGTCCCTGTCTAAATAAATAAACAAATAAAAGTAGTCACCATCAAAGGATATAAATGAAGCAGACCATCATTTTGAAAAATGGTAAACAAAAAGAACAAATCAAGCCACTAACTGGCCTTTTCTATATAAATTGTACAACTGGGTAGCACAATAATTTATAAGAAGCTGCATCTCTTTTTTATATTTACTTTTTTTTCTTCATGGAAGGCCCTTCTCAGGGTAGCAATATTTCTTTCTGGAAGTATGGCAGCTCATAAATGAAGAAGGAATGATATAACAATACCATCATTGTTCAATCCATAATTGATCACTGGCTGTTAACATTATAAAAAAAAAAAGGTGGCCAGAGAGTACACACCTCCTGCTGGAAGAACTTAGCACAGTCTTTTTGCCTTGACCCCTCAAATCCAACATGAATCTGATCAAGCTTTCAGATCAAACTACTAATTTATCAAAACTAGAACAAAGTGAAGAACAAGTTAATCAACATCACAAGGATACAATTAGCCAAATTCAAACTACCAGAAATAGCATAATGAGAATACAGTTAGCATAATCCAAACTATGGGGAAACTGCCTAATTTATTAAATAAACTGCAAGAGACAAAAAAGAGATCAAGTGGGGAAGCTTTCAGGATCAAAAAAAAGCTAAGATACGAATGAAGCAATCCAAAAGAGAGACTTTATTTGGATCCTGATTCAAACAAACAAAAAAAATATGAAATTACTGGAAATTTGGAGCTAGCAGGGGAGTTGACAATATTAAAGAGCAATGGTGTGGGATGGTTGGTTGAACATGGTATTGGGATTATGTTTTTAAAAGAGTTCTTGTCACCAGGAAAGTGGTTCATACCTGTAATCTCAGTATTTTGGGAGGCCGAGGCAGGAAGATCATTTGAAGCTGGGAATTCTAGACCAGCCGGGCAACATAGCAAGACCCTGTCTCTACTAAAATAAAAATTAAAAATTAGCTGGGCATGGGGGTGTGGGTCTATAGTCCCAGCTACTTAGGAAGCTGAGGCAGGAGGGGTCAAGGCCACAGTGAGCCATAATCGTGCCACTGAATTCCAGCCCGGGCGACAGAGGCCTTGTCTTGAAAGAACAAAACAAGAATCCTTATCTTTTACAGACATATACCAAGACATTCAGGGAGGAAATTATATGATATGTGGGATTTGCTATAAAATAACGAGAGGAAGAGGAGAAGCATGCAGGAGTGTACATGAAACAAGATTGGCCACGAGATGACAAATATCTGAATCCGCTGATGAGTAGGTGAAAGCTCACTACGCTAGCCTCTTGTTTAAAATGCTCCAGAATAGAAAGTGTGTCTGAAAATCCACTTCATGGGTTTGTAGCAAGCATTGAATAAGATCATGTATACAGAGTGCTTTATAACCATGGCTTACAGGTAGTCAGTACACATTGTTTTTAGTTTTGTATACTCCCCGTCCATTAATCACATCCAAAAAAGGTATGTTATTCACACTAAGAGCTCTGGCCCATGGACCTTTGTCCACTTGGTGGTAATTTATTGAAATTTGGGGTTTAGAATGAGGAAATGCCAGCCTTCAGAGCCCCAGGCTTACTATGCAACAGCAAAGCCAACAGTCCCAAATGCCTTCCTAGCACACCTAGTAAGTAGGATCACTTTCCTCTCACCTTGTAGGCATACTTGAGTTCATTCACTCATTCATTCACTATTTTTCATTCATTTCTTATGTGCCAGGTATTGGGTGTTAGGAATCCATAATACAGTGAACCCATAATTGACTGCAAGCATCACTTTCAAAGCATCATTTCAGGATGAGAATTTAAGTGCCAAGTGAATTCAAGGAACAGTGCAAAGGATCCATGGCCTCAGTCACCATGAAGACCCTCCCAAGAGCCAGCCCTACTGGGCACATATAAATGAGTGGAGACCTGGAATTCACCCTTACAAAGCCTAGAACCTGACAGAGCACACAAGACAAAAGCCCAAATAACCAAGAACAGGGAGCAGAATGTGAGAGGTGGGCCCCAAAGGATTCAGCCACCAAGGTGGAGAAAGTAATGTGTGCAGAGTGGGGAGTAGTCAGGTTTGGCTGAAGCAAGCAGGCATTTGGGGAGAGGTGGAAACTGAGGCTGGAATGGTCTCCTAGGGCCCTGTATGGAGAAGGTCAGGTTCAGGCATCTGAATCCCATTCAGTAGCAAGAGAGTCACTCCATGGTGCCAAGCAAGGGCTAACAGGCTTAGGACAAGATTCAGGAAGAGGCCTCTTGCAGCAAGTGGTCAAGCCCAGGGACCACTCATGGAAGGCCTATCCCCGCCTGGCACTGCACCTTCAAGTTCACATCACATGGCCATGTGCACATTCATACACAACCATGTGCATGTTCACACACAGTCATATGCATGTTCACACAACCATGTGCATGTTCACACACGACCATGTGCATGTTTACACGTGGCCACATGCATGCTAATGCACAATCATATGCATGTTCACACATCACCATGTGCACATTGAAACATGACCATATGCATTTTCACATGCTCAGTGACTCACAGATTCATAAGACCTGAGACGGACGTGCATTTTGGGAGATCCAACTTTAGGATATGGGCTCACTGTCTCAGCACATGCAGACCAGGCCTGAACTCTATTCAAGAAAGCTGCCTGCCAGTTTATAGCAGGGGTTAGCAAACCTTTTCCATGAAGAGCCAGTTAGGAAATGTTTGAGGCTTTGCAGAACATGTGGTCTCTTGCAACTACTCAACTCACTAAAGCAACAATGGACAACACATCCGTGAAGAAGCATGGCCGTGTTCTGGTAAAACAAAACTTGGCTGCAGTTTGCCCATGCCCAGCCTAGAGTTTGTAGCCTCTTCCCAGAGAGAGGGAATCTGACAGATTCCCAAATCTGTCAGAGACTAGGAAGTCTCCTTCAGAAGGACACCCCTCCAAGCCTGAGGATCCATCCACCCACAGGAGGCCTGGCACAACTCATTCCCCACTCAGCTTGGTGCAAGCTAACCCTATCAGGCCCTGCCACTGTTATCCTTGCTGACCACCCCCAGTGTCCTCTCAAGTGGAGGCTGCCTGCTTCTCATGTCCTCCGCCACAGGGTCAGGCACTGCACCCACCCCTTCCAGCCCCACAGGAGCCCCTCTCCCCAGCCCTGGCCTGCTGCCACCCGACCCCCTCACCAGGGAGCCCCTGCACATCCAGTTGAGCCCAGATGGCATTCCTTTAGGAAACCTCCTCGACACTCCGAAGTCCAGATCGCAGGCCCCACCTGGAATGCTCTCCTTGCAGCCTGTTCGAAGACTCATGAGACCGTGCTGCACACTGGACTTCAACCATGAGCTTCACCGTCTGTCTCTTCCTTCACTACCTTCGCTCTGCACTAGGCCATAAGCTCTGTAGGAGAAGGAACTCATCACAGTGCCTGCCCCAGACAGGTTGTTCATAAGCACGTATTGAAATATAGAATTCCCAGGCACCTCCAACAGAGAGACTGGACCTTGTGAGACCCAACAAGAAGCCAGTATTTCAGAACTGATGAAAAATAGCAAGGATCTAGATTAGGGGGTATAGTGGGAATGAAATGGGGGACTGGGTGATGCCCCATATTTGTCAACGACTCATAGTCTTTCTCCAGAGATGTCTTCCTCCCCTGTGTTCTTTGTCTCATCAGCTGCCACCAGCACTCACTCCAGCCACTAAAGCCAGAAAGTTGAAAGACCTCTGCCCTCATCCGGCCCAGCCCCCATCCAGCCAAAGACCTGTCATTTCAACCTCACGCCCACCCCGCTTTCCACTCCCACTGCTCCTGCCTTAGTTCAGACCACCACCGTCGCTCTCCTACCCAGTTCAAGCCAAGCTGACCTGGCCAGTGGCCTTCAGGCCTTCCCTTCTCCATCCTGCCATGTCCATCCTCCACAGGCAGAACAGGAAGCTGTCATGTAAAAGTGCAGGTCTGCTTTGGTCCTTCTCCTAAACCCTTCAGTGGCTTCCCGGTTCCCTTTGGGTCCTGGTACAGATTCCTTAGCATGGCCAGGGAGGACAGCCCTCCATGATCCTCCCCTCCCTGAGATGTTCCTCCTGCCCCAGCACCCTGTGTTTGAGCCCAAGCCCGCCCTGTGGTGTCACGGGAGGCCCAGCTCCTCTGCCTGGGGTGCCTTGCCTGGCCTAGGAACTGGGAAAACTTACCTGCTTCCAAGACTCAGCTCTAGCACCTCTTCCTGCTGGGTGTTTTCCGATGCCCCCCCTCTCGCCACCTCATGGGGACCCCACAGTCCCCTGAAGAGCCTTCTGCCCCAGTGCCTCACCCCACTCTTTAGACCTGTTTCTGTTTCCATGGCTGCCTTGCCTTCTTAGACCACGGGCTCCTGCAGAGCGGGACCCCATATCTCAGTCGGCTTTGCATTCCCAGTGCCTGGCCGAAACTGAGGCTGGAATGGTCTCCTATTCCATAAGCTCTCAATAACCCTTGAAAAATGACTGGAATCCTGGACAGCGCCAAGGCAGCAACTGGGATGGGAGAGTGATCTGCTGCCCTCTCCTGGCAATGTGAGGAATTGTCCTAAGCACAGACAACTCCCTCCCTGCCTTGCACAAGTGCAGGATGGGGGAAACTGGAAAAGGAGCTGATGGAGGATTGGGGAGGTGGATGCTGTCTAAGGAGACAAACTGAATTGAGGGGTTGCTGGGACTCGGCCGGCTCACATGCTATTCCCATGTCATGGGCCCAGGGGCCAAGTCAGTGCTTCCAAAGGAGGGTGCATCCTGAGAGAGGCTCTGGCTCCCCCAACAAAACCCTAAACTCTTGAAGGACATCTTCCTTCTCAGTATACCCTATTGCTGTGTTGTTGTAACTATCACTGTAACTTTTATTCACTTCAGTGGGCGATCACTGAGTTTTTCCTCCATTGTTGTAAAACATGTGTTTTGCTCTTGTGTGTAAAATGACTGTGAATTTAGCCACTGCCTTCTCCTGATTTTAACTCAGCTTTCTACTGCTAGGAGGTTATCTCTGTTCTGGGTTTCTCAGCTTTCTATCAAAACCCAAATACTGTCATTCCTCGGTATCCGTAGGGGATTGGTTCCAGGAACCTCCCTTGAAGATACCAACATTGCAGGTGCCCAAGCCCCTGATAGAGAACAGCGCAGCATTTGCAGACAACCTATGTACACACTGCATGCACTTTCAATCAGCTCTAGATTACTTCTGATACCTAATTCAATGTAAATGCTGTGTCAGTAGTTGTCTAGGGAATAATGACAAGAAGAAAATTTTGTACATGTTCAGTACGTAGGAAAAAGAAAGAGAGATCAGACTGTCACTGTGTCTATGTAGAAAGGGAAGACATAAGAGATTCCATTTTGAAAAAGACCTGTACTTTAAACAGTTGCTTTGCTGAGATGTTGTTAATTTGTAGCTTTGCCCCAGCCACTTTGCCTTAGCCACTTTGACCCAACCTGGAGCTCACAAAAATATGTGTTGTATAAAATCAAGGTTTAAGGGATCTAGGGCTGTGCAGGATATGCCTTGTTAACAAAATGTTTACAAGCAGTATACTTGGTAAAGGTCATCGCCATTCTCTAGTCTCAATAAAACAGGAGCACAGTGCACTGCGGAAAGCCGCAGGGACCTCTGCCCTTGAAAGTGGGGTATTGTCCAAGGTTTCTCCCCATGTGATAGTCTGAAATATGGCCTCGTGGGATGAGAAAGACCTGACTGTGCCCCAGCCCGACACCCATAAAGGGTCTGTGCTGAGGTGGATTAGTAAAAGAGGAAAGCCTCTTGCAGTTGAGATAGAGGAAGGCCACTGTCTCCTGCCTGCCCCTGGGAACTGAATGTCTCGGTATAAAACCCGATTGTACATTTGTTCAATTCTGAGATAGGAGAAAAACCGCCCTATGGTGGGAGGCGAGACATGTTTGCAGCAATGCTGCCTTGTTATTCTTTACTCCGCTGAGATGTTTGGGTGGAGAGAAACATAAATCTGGCCTACATGCACATCCGGGCATAGTACCTTCCCTTGAACTTAATCATGACACAGATTCTTTTGCTCACATGTTTTTTGCTGACCTTCTCCTTATTATCACCCTGCTGTCCTACTACATTCCTTTTTGCTGAAATAATGAAAATAATAGTCAATAAAAACTGAGGGAACTCAAAGGCCGGTGCCAGTGCAGGTCCTTGGTGTGCTGAATACTGGTCCCCTGGACCCACTGTTGTTTCTCTATACTTTGTCCCTGTGTCTTATTTCTTTTCTCAGTCCCTCATCCCACCCGACTAGAAATACCCACAGGTATTTCTAGGGAGGGGCAGACCACCCCTTCACAGTAAAGCCACAATATTTTTCAAATATTTTTACCCCAGGTGGTTGAATCCCCAGTTGAATCCAGAACCCACAGATGTGAAATCCATGGGTGAGGAGGGCCAGCTGTGCCTGTTAGCATCCCCTGACCCCCACGGTGCCCACTGCTTCAATGGGTCAGGTGATGTCATGCACCCCTCCTGGCAAAGAGAAGCATTACCTCAGCTCCTCTTGGGGCTGCAGGTCTAACCGTCTGCATCTTAACGTTTGCAAAGGTTGCCTAACCCCTAATATAGGAAATAGATTTGGGGAAGGAGCTTGAGTCTGTAGCTGGAGATTTGTGATTGATGTTCACAGAGATAGTTAAAGTCTTGGAGTGGCTAAGATAGCCACCTGCAGAGAAAAATCACCTGTCATTCACCATTGAATCCTCCATCTCTATTGCACAGGGCATTGTATAAACATCAGGTGTCTATGGAACAAATGCAAAGAGAGTACACAAAAGAAGCAAAAGGGACTGTCTTTGCACGATGCAGAAAATTAGACCTGCATGGCACGTTTAGCCCTAAATTTAGGAATCTACCCCACTAGACAGGAAATATCTTTTCAATTAACAAATGGCCTCTCCACTCCTTCTTTCCTTGGAAAGTTTACTGAACAATGATTGGGCACCGTAAACTTTGTTTTCATGTCAAACAGTACCTGCCCTCCAGTGGTTTATCATCTATTTTGTGGGACATGGCACAAAGGAAGAAAAACTGTTTGGTCCTCAGGAAGTCTGTAACCTCACCAGACGAGGCATCCATCTCACACTTGCTTCTCCGGGACCACTAGAGAGCCACATGAGACCATGTGCAATGAAATGCTGAATTCACAACCACTTACCACTGAAAATGAGCAGCACAGAAAATCAGTGTTTTTAGTTAGGTGGCGCTATCAGGGCAGGCTTCCTGAAAGAAGCTGGCTTTGAACTGCCCTAGGCTGGGAAGAAGTAGAAAACAGAACGGAAAATTCATTGTCCCATGGTCTGGAGGCATCCTGAATCCTTGGACCAGCATCAGCCAGAGATCCCAGTGGCGAGACAGGGGAGTGAAGCCATTGACAATCCTGCCCATGTTCTCACTCTTGAGAGTGTGGCACTGGGGCAGAAGCAGCAAAGACGACCACTGCATACTTTGCAGCTCCCAGACAGAGGCGCACTTGGCTTCCAATGCACAAGGCCCCCTTCGATAACACCTTTTCAGGGTGCAGGATAATAGAGTAAAGTGTGGGTGGACTGGAGTGAAGTGCAGCCCAGGATGATAGCACCAGCTCAGAACGTCCTCAGCGAGGCCAGCAACAATTTGGAGAATATTGAGATGGAGCTGTCCAATGAGCCAGAGGGTCCCTGAGAGATGAGATGGCCTTGGCCTGGATTCCCCACCCCTCACTCACAAAAGCAGCTTGGTCCATGGAGCTGGGGAGCACTGTTCAATAATAATGAACAGCCCACCAGGCAGGCCTCCCATCAGAGCCCAGTGAGGGGGCAGGTGAGCGCTGTCTCCCCAGCACCTGCTCCTGCCTGGGCCAGTGGCCCTGACCCTTCTGACAAATCCCTAAGTGCGCCAACTGCTACGTGGTTTCTCACCATCTGCAGCCCAAACTCTGCCTCCAAAGCCTAGTGGATCCACCCAATGGGCCTTACCTCCCACTCTCCCCACACATTCTGCTGTAACTGAGACTCGCCTGCTCCCTGGGCTGCAACGCTCATGTTTACCTGGACTTCCTCACACCGTCCCCACCACCTGAATTATCCTGCTCCTTTCCACCCCGAACAATGGTAGGAACAGAAGCAGCACAGAAGAGATAGCTTCAAGTCCTCCACTAAACAGAGAGTGCCTGCATAATCCCACAAACGAACATAAAGTTAACCATCTTACAGTTACAGAGGCCCGACGTCCACAGTTAGCCTCAGCCAGGCTGAAGTCACAGTGTCAGCACGGCTGGCTCGTTCTGGAGCTCCTGGGAGACGTGGCTCCCTTGCCTTTCCCAGCTCCTAGAGGCATCATGAGTTCCTTGGCTTATGGTCCCATAGCACATGGACTTCTGCTTCTGTGGCCACATCTCCATCTTTGACTCTGGCCCTCCAGAGTCCCTCTTTTGAGGACTCCTGTGATTACATTACCAGAGCCACGTAAGTAATGCAGGATAATCTCCCCCCTCAAGATCCTTAGTTGAATCACATTTGCAAAGTCCCTTTTGCCAGGTAAGGTCAGAAATTCACAGGTTGTGGAGATTAGGATGTGAACATCTTTGGGGGACCATCATTCAGCCTGGCACAGTGAGATACACATGCATTTTTAAATTTTTTGTTTATCTTTTATACACAGAGTCTCACTATGTTGCCCAGGCTGACCTTACACTCCTGAGCTCAAGTTTCAAGCAATCCTCCTGCCTTGGTCTCCCAAGTAGCTGGGACAAGAGGCACACACCACTACAGCTGGCTTATATCTTATAAATCAATAAGAAAACAGTTTAACTTCTTTTTTTAAGACTCAGTTCTGCTCTGTCGCCCAGGCTTGAGTAGAGTGGTGCAATCTTGGCTCACTGCAACCTCCACCTCCTGGGTTCAGGTGATTCTCCTGCCTCAGCCTCCCAAGTAGCTGGGACTACAAGCACGTGCCACCACGACCGGCTAATTTTTGTATTTTTAGTGGAGACAGGGTTTTGCCATGTTGACCAGGCTGGTCTTGATCTCCTGACCTAAAGTGATCCACCTGTCTAGGCCTCCCAAAGTTCTCAGATTACAGCTGTGAGCCACCGCACCCAGCCCAGTTAAACTTTTTTTTTTTTTTTTTTTTTTTTTTTTTTTGAGACAGAGTCTCGCTCTGTTGCCCAGGCTGGAGTGCAATGGTGTGATGTCAGCTCACTGCAACCTCCGCCTCCCAGGTTCAAGCGATTCTCCTGCTTCAGCCTCCGGAGTAGCTGGGATTACAGGCATGCACCACCACACCTGGCTAATTTTGTATTTTTAGTAGAGATGGGGTTTCTCCATGTTGGTCAGGTTGGTCTTGAACTCCCAACCTCAGGTGATCCACCCGCCTCGGCCTCCCAAAGTGCTGGGATTACAGGAGTGAGCCACTGCGCCTGGCCCCAGTTAAACTTTTTTAATGGTAAAAGGTTTGAGCAGACACTTGACCAGAGAAGACAGACAAAATGGCAAAAAAGTTCATGAAAAGATGTGGAACATCGTACTTCATTAAGGAAATGCAAATTGAAACCACGATGATACAATAACTGCATCCCCACTAGAAGAGGTGAAATCAAAAGATTTCTGGTAAGGCTGCAGGGCAGGCGGAACTGTCACGTGCTGCTGGCAGACACACAAAATGGCACAGCTACTGTGGAAAGCAGTTTAACAGTTCCTTATAAAGTCAAACATAGGACGTAGTAATACTTCCCCTAGGTGTTTATCCAAGACAAATGAAAGCAGATTTCTACAATACAATGTGTACAAGAATGTTCCAGCAGCTTCCTGTTGGGAGAAAAGCTGAGTGTTGGGAGAGAAGCTAAGGCAGGGCTTGCATGTCTGCTAGACTTGCTGGCTCCTTGCTTCTAGCACTCCCATTATCTCAAGCAGTCATATGTTTCTCATTCACTTGATATACTGTTTCCTTTCAACCTCCACATTCTCACCACCTGTTTCTTTGTTTGAGCACCAATAAATAGTGTGGGCTCCCAGAGCTCGGGGCCTTTGCAGCTTCCACCCTCACGATGGCTCCCTGGTCCTACTTTCTCTCTCAAACTTTTTCTCATTCCTTTGACTTGATTCAAGATTTCAAAATCTTGAAATCCAGCCCTGCCAAGGGAAGGATGGGGGGACATGTCAATGACAAACAACGCCGGACACTAGTAAATGACAAGGACAGATTTTTGCCAGTAATGCACTATTGCAATCAGGAAAGGAGTCCAGCACGAGCTGATTTTGATTTGTGCAGAGGTGACTGGGTGCTTTCAAGGGAGAATGAGGGGACCAGGTGTGGTGGCTCATGCATGCCTGTAATCCCAGCACTTTGGGAGGCCAATGTGGTCGGATCACTTGAGATCAAGAGTTTGAGACCAGCCTGGCTAACATTTTTTTTCCCATCTCTACCAAAAAAAACAAAAAACAAAAATTAGCCAGCTGCGGTGACACAGCCTGTAGTCCCAGCTACTCAGGAGGCTGAGGTGGGAGAATTGCTTGAACCTGGGAGGCAGAGGTTGCAGTGAGCCGAGATCCCACCACTGCACTCCAGTCTGGGCAACAGAGCAAGACTCCATCTCTAAATAAATAAATAAATAAAGAATGAGGGGATAGGGAGAGGGTAAGCAAGTCATGGAAGTGAGAAATTATAGAATGTGGGGAGAGGGCTTTGTCCATGGGAAACCCATCTGGGTTTGATGACGGGCTTATTGAAGTTAGGCTCCTGTATTCCCAGAGACTGGAAGACAGGGGCCCTGTCTTCAGTTGTTGGCTGGAACAAACAGTAAATTCTTCTGACAGCCTTGAGTTTTCTCAAGTAGGCACTTTAGGCAGGCGGTGACAGGGGCCCTCAGGTCATCACAGGGGTGAGCTGTTAGAGACTATGATAGTGTTTGTTCAAGTCCTTATAAGCCAAGGTTGAGGCCTAATAGAGAAGGGGGCTCAGAGGAGCCCGGCCGAAGTTTGGACAAGGAGAGAATCTTTGGCAGAGGAGATGTCACCAGGCTCTCGGGAGGAGGCAGTAATATTGTTGCACAACCAGAGGGAAGCCTGCAAGCCCAGCCTGTGGAAACAGAGGTCCTGAGAGCACAGCCCAACACTACGGAACTGGCCTGTGGCAGAGACTAGAATGATTAGGTGGGCACCTGCTCCCCTGAATAAGACCACACTTCCCACTCTCTCTCACAGACAGAAACATTCCTCAATGGGATGTGAACATAAGTGCTTCGCACCACTTCCAGGTCACACACTCACAGGGAAAGTGTTCTCCTTCTCTTTTTCTTTCCCCTTCCCACTGGCTGGAATACCACCCCCACACACAGACAAGGACATGACCCTGGAAAGGTGGAATGGAAAGATAGAAGGAGCCTGGCCCACTGATGGCTCTGTGAAGCAGAGCCTCCATACCAACTCAAACTTCTACACACAGAAGAAAACCAGTTCTCTTGTTTTAAACCAATTTATTCTGGGTCTCTTTTGCCCCAGCCAAATTTACATCCAACTAATGTAATGCCTATCCTCACCAAAGGATGGGCAGCCTGACAGGTCATTTCAGAGCATCCAGAGAACAGAGTGGGTGGCAGAAAGAGATCAAGGACAAGGCCAGGCACAGTGCCTCATGCCTCTGATCCCAGCACTTTGGGAGGCTGAGGCAGGCAGATCGCTTGAGGCCAGGAGTTCATGACTAGCCTGTCAGCATGGCAAAACATCATCTCTAAAAATAAAGAGAGGGAGATCAAGGACAATACAAATTGCAATCTAATGAAGATATTGCTGCAAGGGGAGTAGACAGTCATCCGTTGGCCTCTGCAATCAAATATTTCCCCAGAGAATCAGGGAGGGAGGAGTCTCATGCTGGGTGCCGGCCCTGTGCCACTGCTGAAAATCTCACTGCCACAGCGTCCTGAGCTGGCAGTGGCTTCCACGGTATCTGGGAGCCAGGAGAGCGTGAACCTGCGAGCCCCACCCATGAGGGCTGATTAGGAACACTGGAAGAACTGCAAGAGGGGCTGGGCTCGGTGGCTCACACCTGTAATCCCAGCACTTTGGGAGGCCGAGGCGGGTGGATCATCTGAGGTCAGGAGTTCGAGACCAGCCTGACCAACATGGTGAAACCCCATCTCTACTAAATAAAAAATTATTGGATGTGGTGGTGCATGCCTATAGTCCCAGCTACTTGGGAGGCTGAGGCAGGAGAATCGCTTGAACCTGGGAGGCGGAGGTTGCAGTGAGCCAAGATGGTGCCATTGCACTCCAGCCTAGGCAACAAAAGCGAAACCCTGTCAAAAGAAAGAAAGAAAGAAAAAGAACTGCAAGGGGATGAAAAAAAATCTTGCTAAGGGACATGATAAGGAAACTGTCAGTCAGATATAAAGGCAGACCACATAGCTGTCACCCCATAGTCAGACACTCTGAGGGGAACCACACCCATGCATCCCACCCATCTGGAGAGCTGCAGGATGGCATGCATCAGGTTGGGGAAGGTTTGGTCCCCACAGCCCTGACTGAGAAGTACATTCACTAGAGATTTGTACAAAATAGAAGGCTCTGGGTTTCTGGTACCTGTTAGCCTAAAAAAAAGTGTGTGAAAGGCAGCAGGCCTATGCTTCTGGTTCCCTGGCCTGGAAGATTTCTTGCTCTGTACAGACTGCATATAATAATGAATTTCATTCAAGACTGGCCTGGCCAACATGGTGAAAACTCGTCTCTACTAAAAATATTAAAAAATTAACTGGGTGTTGTGGTGGGCACCTGTAACCCCATCTACTCAGGAGGCTGAGGCAGGAGACTCGCTTGAGCCAGGGAGGCAGAGGTTGCAGTGAGCCGAGATCGCGCCACTGCACGCCAGCGTGGGCAACAGAGCGAGACTCCGTCAAAAACAAAAACAAAAACAAAAAAAACAGAAAAGGAGAATGAACTTCAGCTGTGCTTCTGTAAGGAGCAAGGATGCACCAGGTAGCCAGGTCCTATCATGTAGGCCATAGCCTTGATCTCACATATGTCCTTTCCCCATCTTGTTTACTGGTTCCAGAAAGAGAGAGAGAGAGAGAGAGAGAGAGAGAGAGAGAGAGAGGAAGGAAGGAAGGAAGGAAGGAAGGAAGGGAAGGAAGGAGAGAAAGAAGGAAGGAAGGCAAGAAAGAAAAGAAAGAAAACGGGGAAGGGGAAAGGAAGAGGGAAGGAAGGGAGGGAGGGAAGGAAGAAGGAAAGAGCCTTGGCAGGGACCTGGCATACAGGGGCTTAGGCTGTAAACTGAATAACGCCAGGAGATGCCATTCACATGGACTACATCAGTGATGGCATTTCCTGGAATTGTGCACTGTGGAACCCCTGACCCCAAGGGCTCCCAGTGGGCGTTGTCACAGTCCCAAGCCCCAGTCAGCAGAGGTGGTCTGCCTGGTTTGACACTGGTGAGAGTCCCTGTCACCAACCTTGAATTTAGGCTGGGTAGAAAAGGAAAAGAGGCCAAAGCGGGCAGTAAGACTGGGAGGGAAAAAAAAAAAAAGGAAGGTTCAAGGAACTGAAGACCTCCAGGAGATCCAAGAATAGGAGTAGTGCAGGTGTGGGAAAGTGGGAAGAACTTTGCCATCTTCCTCAAAACATGACCTTGGGCAAATTACAGTCCCACTCTGTGTTTTGGTCAATGAGGGACCCATCTGGTGGTCCCAGAAGGTGATAATACCGTATTTTGTTTTTTGTTTTTTGTTTTTTGAGACACAGTCTCACTCTGTCGCCCAGGCTGGAGTGCAGTGACGTTATCTCTGTTCACTGCAACGTCTGCCTCCCGGGTTCAAATGATTCTCCTGCCTCAGCCTCCTGAGTAGCTGGACTACAAGCATGCGCCACCACGCCCAGCTAATTTTTGTAACTTTAGTAGAGATGGGGTTTCGCCATGTTGGCTAGGCTGGTCTCAAACTCCTAACCTCAAGTGATCCACCCGCCTCGGCCTCCCAGAGTGCTGGGAGGCGTGAGCCACTGGCCTAGAACCGTATTTTGACTGTGCCTTTTATATGTTTAGCTATGCTTAGATACCTGAATACTTACCACTGTGTTGCAGCGGCCTACAGTATTCAGCACAGTCCCATACCGTGCAGGTTTGCCACCGGGGAGCAGTAGGCTATGCTGTCTAGCCGGGGTGGAGTAGGCTCTACCATCTAAGTTTGTGAAGTACATGCTGATATTCCCACAACAGCAATGCATTTTTCAGAACCTATCCCTGCCGTTAAGCAATGCGTGACAGCACTTCAACTCCTCTGGCCTGTTTGCTCTTCTATAAAATGCCCACCTCACAGGGGGTTGTAAGGATTAAACAAGACAACCAGGACCTGGCATTTGGTCGGTGCTCAGCAAATACTGGGTTCCTCTCCTCCCCTGTCACCTGGGCTTCAGGTTTCCTGAGCTTATCTGCAAACCTGTGCTGAACAAACAGAGCTACAGCCTGAGTGGCTAAAAAACATGAAGAGAGGACAAGAATGTGATGTGTGGGAGGCAGAGGAAAGGGTCATGGCCACGCAAAACTCTACTCAGAATTGCAAGGGGGTTCCTCTGCTGCCCCTTCGAGCCCCCACACTGAAACTGGCTTTTCTGCTATTTTTAAGATTTGTTAAGTCAGGCCTGCTTTGCATGGGAGCTCCACCTCCACAATAGCCACTTTCTCCTTGGGATCTGACTTGGATCCCCACCTCAGCATTGTCAAAGGCCCCGTGGAGCCTCTGAAGCTCTCCCTCCTGTGGCCTTTTGAGTCTAGTGCCTGTGCTGTGCATGGCTCATCACGCTCCATAAGTATTTGTGAAATCAAAATGTCTCCTTCTTGCCCAACACACACCCATGGCTCCTCACAGCCCAACTCCCCTGCTGTAACCCATCAGCCAATCCAGTCACATTAGACCTCTTGCATCCCCTGAAAAAACTCTATGCCTTTCCTTTGCCTAAAATGCCCTTCTCCCCCTTCACCCACTGTCTCATTCCTCAGGACCCTTCTCAAAAGTCACTCCATCAAAAAGCCTTTCAGATTCCAGCAAACACAAGGGAACTTCCGCTTATCCCCATTCCTCAAATCACTTTGATTGTGAATTAATTAATTAATTAATTAATTTATTTATTTATTTTGAGACGGAGTCTTACTCTGCTGCTCAGGCTGGAGTGCAGTGGCATGATCTCAGCTCACTGCAACCTCCACCTCTAGGGTTCAACAGCTAATTATTGTATTTTTAGTAGAGATGGGATTTCACCATGTTGCCCAGTCTGGTCTCAAACTTCTGACCTCAGGTGATCCAGCCACCTTGGCCTCCCAAAGTGCTGGGATTACAGGCATGAGCCACCACACCCAGCCTGAAAATTTTTAAGTTTTTAACCTTAGCAGCTAACAGCAGAGTTCTTTAAAAGGTATTTAACATCTGTTTTTGGAAGATATGTTAATGAAATTGGATAACTGGGTTTCCTGGGCACGTCAAACCATAGTCATCAACATAATGTACCCTACCTTCTCATCAAAGTCCTAATAAGACAAGCTTTCGTTTCTTTATGACAGAACCACCCTAAGCGTTTAAATTCCTTACCCAGAACTTAAGTCTTAATTTAAAATTTTCATAAATCAAATTATTTGGAAAAATCTCAATACTGATTACAAAATAATCAAATTATTTTACACATTTAAAAATATTCGAATCTATTATCATTCAACTTTTTTAATATTTCAAAATAAGTCACAAGATGAATATCAAATCCTCTTAACTATTTCAAATTAATATCACAATCATAATATGCCAGATTCTCTAACATGACATTCTCCAAAATATTTCAGATGCCTTAAGAAACAAATAATACATACAAATTACCATGATGATTTCAGTTTTTTTCTAAACCTAATGCAAAGTAGTAATATCACGGATTTGGTAGACATTTTTCTTATCACAATGCTTATTTCTACACCTTCACAGCATTTTCCTATGCTTACCACTTTAAGGAGATCAGAATTACTGTCTCAGTTTGGCTGGGGCTGCTCAGTCCAAAATTTGGAACTGAGATGAGTTACAGATTTCAGTTTAGTTAGAGTTTCTGAATTGCATCAGAACAGCTGGGTCTACTTCCAGAGTGGTCCCTCCTGAGGTTTATTTTGACTCATGGTTCTACAGGTTGTAAGGGAAGCATGGCACCAGCATCTGCTTCTGATGAGGGCCTCAGGAAGCTTCCCATCATGGCATATGGCAAAGAGGGAGCAAGCAAATCATGGTGAGAAAGGAAGCAAGAGTGAGCGGGAGGAAATGCCAGGCTCTTTTGATCAGCCGGATCTCGCATGAAGTCATAGAGTGAGAACTCATTCATTACTGCAGGACAACACCAAGTCATTTGTGAAGATTCCATCCCCGTGACCCAAACACCTCCGGGTAGGCCCACCTCCAACACTGGAGGTCACATTTCAACATGAGATTTGGAGGGGACAAACATCTAAACCATATCAAGATTTTTCATTTATTTGTCTAAATTGATTCCTATGTATTTCATATTTTTGTAGCTATTGTAAATGAGATTGCTTTCTTGATTTCTTTTTTCAGATTATTCACCATTGACATATATAAATGCTACTAATTTCTGTATGTTGAGTTTGTATCCAGCAACTTACTGAATTAGTTTACCAGTTCTAGCAGTTTTTTGGTGGAGTCTTTAGGTTTTTCTAAGTGTAAGTTCATGTCATCTGTGAACAAGGCTATGATTTCTTTCTTTCCAATTTTAGTACTCTTTATTTTTTTCCCTTGCCTAATTGCTCTTCCAGGACTTCCAATATTATGTTAAATAAAAGTGGTGAAAAGTGAGCATCCTTGTCTTATTCCAGATGTTAGAAGAAAGGTTTTCAATATACAATGTTAGCTGTGTGTTTGTCATCTACGGCCTATGTTATTTTGAGGTATGTTTCTTCTATACCCAGTTTGCTGAGGATTTTTACTATAAAGGTATGTTGAATTTTATTGGATGATTTTTCAATATCTATTGAAATGGTCATATGGCTTCTGTTCTTGGTTCTGTTAATGTGATGTATCACATTTATTGATTTGCGTATGTTGAATCATCCTTGAATTCCTGGGATGAATTTTACTTGATCATGGTGAATTATTTTTTAACATGTTGTTGAAGTTCACTAGTATTTTGTTGAGAATTTTTGCATCTATGTTTATGCTTGATATTGGCCTGTGGTTTTCTTTTTTGTGTGTATTTATCTGGTTTTGGTATCAGAGTAATGCTGACTTTCTAGAATAAGTTTAGAAGTATTCCCTCCTCTTCAATTTTTTGAAGCACTTTCTTGAATATAATTAGTATTATTTCTTTTTTTTTTTTTTTGAGACAGAGTCTCACTCCATCGCCCAGGCTGGAGTGCAACGGCGCCATCTGGGCTCACTGCAACCTCCACCTCCTGGGTTCTAGGGATTCTCATGCCTCAGCCTCCTGAGTAGCTGGGACTACAGACATCCACCACCACACCCAGCTAATTTTTGCATTTTTAGTAGAGACAGGGTTTCAACATGGTGGCCAGGCTGGCCTTGAACTCCTGACCTGAAGTGATCCACTTGCCTCAGCCTCCCAAAATGCTGGGATTACAGGTGTGAGCCACTGTGCCTGGCAGGATATTATTTCTTCTTTAAATGTTTGGTAGAATTCAGCAGTGAAGCCATCAGGTTCTGGGCTTTATTAATTAATTAATTAATTAATTAATTAGACATAGTCTTGCTCTATCACCCAGGCTGGAGTGCAGTGGGGCAATCTCGGCTCACTGCAACCTCTGCCTCCCAGGTTCAAGTTATTCTTGTGCTCAGCCTCCTGAGTAGCTAGGATTACGGGCATGTGCCACCACGCCCAGCTAATTTTTATATTTTTAGTAGAGATAGGGTTTTGCTATTTGGCCATGCTTGTCTCGAACTCCTGTTCTCAAGTGATCTGCTTACCTCGGCCTCCCAAAGTGCTGGGATTACAGGCGTGAGTCCCCATGCTTACCTGGCTTTTCTTTGGTGAGAGAGTTTTTATTACTGCTTCGATCTCGGTACTCATTATTGATTTGTTGAAGTTTTCTATTTCTTCACGGTTCAATCTTTTTTTTTTTTTGAGATGGAGTCTCGCTCTGTCACCCAGGCTGGAGTGCAGTGGTGTGACCTTGGCTCACTGCAACCTCCGCCTCCTGGGTTCAAATGATTCTCCTGCCTTAGCCACCCGAGTAGCTGGGATTACAGGTGCCCACTACCAAGCTTGGCTAATTTTTGTATTTTTAGTAGAGGTGGGGTTTCATGATGTTGGCCAGGCTGGTCTCTAACTCCTGAACTCAAGTGATCCACCCACTTTGGCCTCCCAGAGTGCTGAGATTACAGGCATAAGCCACTGTGCCCAGCTGTCTTCATGGTTCAATCTTGATGCATTGTATATGTCCGGAAATGTATGCATTTCTTCTAGGTTTTTTAGTTTGTTGGTGTATAGTTGTTTATGTAGTTTCTAATGATTCTTTGTACTTCTATTGTCTCAGTTATGTCTCTTTTTTCATTTCTGATTTTATGTATTTGAATTTTTGCTCTTTTTTTCTTAGTTTAGCTAAAGGTTTATTTTGTTTATCTTTTCAAAAAGCCAACTTTTTGTTTCATTGATTATTTGTAATTTCTTTAGTCTCAATTTCATTTAGTTCCCTGATCTTTATTATTTCTTTCCTCCTAATTCTGGCTTTGGTTTGCTCTTGCTTTTCTAGTGCCTTGAGGTGCATCATTAGGTTGTTTATATGAAGTCTTTCTACCTTTTTTTTTCTTGATTTCACAGTGTTTGGAATCTACTTTTTTCTTATAGGCATTTATTGCTATAAACATCCCTCTTGTTACTGCTTCTGCTGTATCCCATAGATTTTGGCTTGTTGTATTTCCATTTCCATTTGTTTCAACTTTTTAAAATTTCCTTCTTAATTTCTTTATTGACCTATTGATTGTTCAAGAGCATGTTGTTTTGTTTCCATGTGTTGTGTATTGTCCAAGGCTCTATAGTGACCTTCTTTATCTCTTTTTACAGTCTTTTATTTGTAGTCTATTTTATCTGATATAAGAATAACTACTCCTGCTCTTTGTTGGCTTCCAGTTGCATGGAATGTCTTTTGCTATCCCTTCACTTTCAGTCTTGGTGTGTCTTTATAGGTGAGATGGGTTTGTTGTAGGCAGCATATAGTTGGGTCTTGTTTCTTTATCCTGTCAGCCAACCCATGGCTTTTAATTGGAGAATTGAGTCCATTTACATGCAGGGTTATTATTGATATTATTACTACTGCCATTTTGTTGCTTGTTTTCTGATCGTTTTGTAACTCCTTGCTTCCTTTCTTTCTTTCTTCCTATCTTTCTTTAGTCCTGTCTTTCTTTGAGGTTAAGTGATATTCTCTGGTAGTATGTTTTAACTCATTGCTTTTATTTTTAATGAATCTATTTCAGGTTTGTGCATTGTGATTACCATGAGGCTTACCAAAAACATTTTATAGATATAACAGGTTATTTTAAAGAGATAACAGCTTAAAGAAAATAAAAATGAACACGGAAAAAAGAGTTTAACTTTACAATTTAACTCCATCCCCCACATTCTGACTTTATGTTGTCTCAATGTATGTGTATTTCTATAATGTCCATCTCCTAACAGATTGCTGTAGGTATTGTTGTTTTTGATAGATTTGTCTTTTGGGCTGCATACTAGTTATGAGTAGATTGCACATTGAAATTATAGTATTAGAGTATTCTGGGTTTGTTCATGTACTTAATTTTACCAGCAGGTTTCATACCTTTACATATTTTCTTTTTGCATGTTAGTGTTTTTTTTTTCTTTCTTTCTGATTGAAGAATTCTCCTTAGCACTTCTTGTAACACAGGTCTGGTGGTAGTGAACTCTCATCTTTTGTTTGTCCAGAAGAGACTTTATGTCCTCTCCATATTTGAAGGGACACTTTTCCAATACAGTATTCTTAAATGGCAGTTTTTTTCTTTCAGCACTTTGAAAATGCCATCCCATTCCCTTCTGATCTGTATAGTTCCAATTGAGAAATCTGTTGCCAGACAAATTGGAGCTTTTTTATATGTTATTTGCTTCTTTTCTCTTGCTGCTTTTAGAATCCTTTCTTTACCCTTGACCATTGAGCATTTCGTTATTATATGCCTTTTGGTAGTCTTATTTGGGTTGAACCTGTTTGGTGTTCTCTGATCTTCTTGTATGTGGCTATTTGTCTCTTTCTCAAGTTTGGAAAGTTTTTTGAGTGTCCGTGTTTGATTTTGAATAAGCTTTCCACCCTTTGCTCTTGCTCAACTCCCTTTTGAACACCAAGAATTCTTAGATTTGGTCTTTTGAGGTAATTTTCTATATTTAGGAGACAATTTTTATTGCATTTTATTCTTTTTTTGTTTTTGCTCCTCTGTGTATTTTTTAGAAGCCTGTCTTTGAGCTTGCTGGTTTTTTCCCTCTGCTTGATTCATTTCGCTGGTTGAGAGCCTCTAATGATTTTTTTTTTTTTTTTCAGAGACAGAGTCTCACTCTGTCGCCCAGGCTAGAGTGCAGTGGCATGATCTTGACTCACTGCAACCTCCGCCTCCTGGGTTCAAGTAATACGTCTGCCTCAGCCTCCCGAGTAGCTGGGACTACAGGCGCATGCCACCATGCCCAGCTCATTTTTTGTATTTTAGTAGAGACGGGGTTTCACCATGTTGCCCAAGCTGGTCTCGAACTCCTGAGCTCAGGCACCTTGGCCTCCCAAAGTGCTGGGATTACAGGTGTGAGCGACCACGACTGGCCATGAATTTTTTAGTTGAGTGAATTTATTTCTCAGCTCCAAGATTTCTGTTTGATTATTCAAAATTTCAATCTCTGTATTAAATTTCTCTTGTAAATTTCTGAATTACTTTTGTATGTTATCTTGGATATCACTGAGTTTTCTCAAAACAGATATTTTGAATTCTTGGTCAGAGGTTCACAGATTGCTGACTCATTAAGGTCAGTCACTGGTTCCTCACTTTGTCCATTTGGAGTCATGATTCCTTCTTTGCTATTGTTTCCTGTGATGTGAGTCTATGTCTTTGCATTAAAGGATTTGTTATTTATTTCAATCTTCTCTGTCTGGCTTGTTTCAGTTTTTATTTGATATGTTTGCTTGGGGTTTTTATTTTTAATTTACCTGTTGGTTTTATTTATTTATTTATTTATTTTATTTTTCTTTTTTTCCAGCTAGGTCACTGCCTCCTTTTTGACACTAGATGGTGGCATAAGCCCAGGTTTGCCTTGGTTCTGGAAAGCAATTAGTGCCACCCGGCCTGGCGCTGTGGCTCATGCCTGTAATCCTAGCACTTTGGGAGGCTGAGGTGGGCGGATCACGAGGTCAAGGGATCAAGACCATCCTGGCCCACATGGTGAAACCCTGTCTCTACTGAAAATACAAAAATTAGCTGGGCGTGGTGACACGCGCCTGTAGTCCCAGCTACTCGGCAGGCTGAGGCAGGGGAATCGCTTGAACCCGGGAGGCAGAGGTTGCAGTGAGCCAAGATCGTGCCACTGCACTCCAGCCTGGTGACAGGGTGAGACTCCATCTCAAAACAAAAGAGTGCCACCCATCAGGATAAGGGAGGTCTCAAAGGGGACATTTCAGTAGTGTGGGAAGGATGGTTAGGGGTTGTGCCCAGGGGACCTGTGGAACAAACCTACCACATGGTGCTGCTTAACAGCCACGCTGATTTGCTGTCTCCTTTGGCCAAATTAGAGCAGAGTGTCCAGGGCTGGGGATGGTGGTCCTGCCTCCCTACTCTGTCTCTGGCTGTCCTCTGGGATATTTCTTATTCCAGGCACACTTTCTTTCTGTGCCTTTCTGTGGGTTGAGTTTCTGTGGGTTGAGTCAGGGACTCAACCTTTCTGTGGGTTGCTTTCTGTGGGTTGAGTCAGGGACAGGTTTCCTGCCAGTGAACCCACGATGATGGAGAAGCTGGCTGGCCATCTCGATCTCACTTTTTCCAGTGAAGAATGCATGAGTCAGCGAGTTTTCTGCACGCTTGGTGTGGGGCAGATTTGAGGGAGGGGCATGATGGATATAGAAGTCTGAGTCTCAGCCAGGCACAGTGGCTCACACCTGTAATCTCAGCACTTTGGGAGGCCGAGGCAGGCAGATCACCTGAGGTAAGGAGTTCAAGACCAGCCTGGCCAACATGGTGAAATCTGTCTCTACTAAAAATACAAAAATTACCCACGCGTGGTGGCGCACACTTGTAACCCCAGCTACTCAGGAAGCTGAGGCAGGAGAATTGCTTGAACCCGGGAAGTACAGGTTGCAGTGAGCCACTGCACTCCAACCTGGGCAATAGAGCGAGACCCCGTCTTTAAAAAAAATTTTCTTTAAGTCTGATTCTCTTGACAATGTCTCAAAGTTTTTTTCATATGTGGCCCCAGGAACTCTCATCTTCATATTTGAGTTCTGGAACATTGCTGGTGATGATCTTGGTGCTATGTGTTTCTTTTCAGTTTTCTGTTGGGGAAGTAAAGCCAGCTTGCTTCCGCAGCACCATTTTAGAACCCCTAGTAAAATTTTCGATTGAGAAATATTCTGCAAATGTTTTTATATTTTACCTCCTTTTCAGTGATCACCATTCTCTAGCCATGTGATTGACAAGGACTTTCTCATAGTTCTATACCCTTCACCACATCATTCACTCTTCCTCCCGTAACATTATTTCTAGTCAGTCACCTACAACCCTCTCCTCTGTTTCTTCAAATCTCAATGTACCTTTTCTTTTCTTTTCTTTTCTTTTTTCTGAGACGGAATCTCACTCTGTTACCCAGGCTGGAGTGCAGTGGTGTGATCTTGGCTCACTGAAACCTATGCCTCCTGGGTTCAAATGATTCTCCCGCTTCAGCCTCCCGAGTAACTAGGATTACAGGCACCCGCCACCACGCCCGGCTAATTTTTTTGAGATGAAGTCTTGCTGGGTCACCCAGGCTGGAGTGCAGTGGCGCGTTCTCAGCTCACTGCAACTTCTGCATCCCAGGTTCAAGCAATTTTCCTGCCTCAGCCTCCCGACTAGCTGGGATTGCAAGCGCCCGCCACCATGCCACGCGCTCAGCTAATTTTTGTATTTTTAGTAGAGACGGAATTTCATCATGTTGGCCAGGCTGGTCTCAAACTCCTGACTTCCTGATCCGCCCACTTTGGCCTCCCAAAATGCTGGGATTACAGGCGTGAGCCACCATGCCTGGCCAATTTTTACATTTTTAGTAGAGACAGAGTTTCACCATGTTGGCCAGGCTGGTCTCGAACTCCTGACCTCAAGTGATCTGCCCACCTCAGCCTCCCAAAGTGCTGGGATTGCAGGTGTGAGTCACCACACCCCACCAATGTACCTTTTCTTTAAAATATAAATTTAATTGCTATTCCTGCATGTAATTATTCTCAGTCTGGCTTCATGCAACAGGAAGACCCCCTAGCCTGAGAGCTAAAAACTTCTAACTTCTTTACCAAGCACACCATCTGGCTCTCTTTATCCTGGGCTCTGCCACTGACTACCTGTGTGGCATGAGTCACAAAATTTCTCTATCAGAGCCTCAGTGTTGTAGTTTGGTTGTGTAGTGGTGGTGGTTTGGTTTAGTTTTGTTAATGCCAAAACTATTTCAAAAATCTGATGAGACTTATGAACTCTCTTTCCAGAGAAAAGCACACTCACACAAACATTTTTCAAATTATTTCCAAGTGTTTACAAACTTCCTAGAGCCTATCTATGGACTTCAGTTTAACAATCCTTGGACTGGCCTCCCATCCTTTTAATTAAATAGCTCTCTCTGGCTCTAACTCTAATTCCTCTTAGAAATAAAAATAGAAAAGAAACAATTTCTATCTCTGCTAAGAGCTCACCTCTCAGAAAAATGGCGCTGACATCTCTCAGCCACATTCTGAAAATCAGGATTCTGGAAAGTCCTGTGTTCTAAGATAAGTGGTCTAGGCAGGCCGGGCGCGGTGGCTCACGCCTGTAATCCCAGCACTGTGGGAGGCCGAGGCGGGTGGATCAGGAGGTCAGGAGATCGAGACCATCTTGGCTAACACTGTGAAACCCCATCTCTACTAAAAATACAAAAATTAGCCAGGCATGATGGCGTGCGCCTGTAGTCCCAGCTACTCAGGAGGCTGAGGCAGGAGAATTGGTGTGAACAAACTGAGGGCCATTACTTTAATAACTTATTACAACTTGTTAACAGTTTGATTTATTAGCTTTTTCAGGTGTTGTATAGATGCTTAGAAATATTTTTGTATTAAATTTGTAAGTCTAGCAGTCAGCATTTGAAACTTTTAAGAGAAACATGCACATAAAATTTGCGATGTGGTTTGAAATGTCTTAGGAAATGTAATGAATCAAGTTTGAAGTAGTGTTAAGTGTTTAAGGAAGATTTAGTCTCTTACATTTATGAGTTAATAGCACATGAATTAAAGAACAAGTAAAAGTGATTGTTCTTATTTTATACCAATATTACCAGATTAATAAATGGACTGGAGCTGGGCATGGTGGCTCATGCCTGTAATCCCAGTACTTTGGGAAGCTGAGGTGGGAGGATCACTTGAGCCCAGGAGTTTGAGGTCAGCCTGGGCAACATAGTGAGACCCTGTCTCTACAAAAAAAATATAAAATTAGCCAGGCATGGTGGTGCACACCTGGAGTTCCAGCTACTGTGGAGGCTGAGGCTAGAGGATCACTTGAGCCCAGGAGGTTGAGGCTGCAGTGAGTCGTGATTGTGCCACTACACTCCAGCCTGCATAACAGAGCTAGAACCTGTTTCAAATAAATAAGTAAGCAACTAAATAAATAAATAAACTAGCAAGCTTTGTAAGTTGAATTTAAAAGCTTGAAGACTGGATATGGTGGCTAGTGCCTGTAATCCCAGGTATCCAGGAGGCTGAGGCAAGAGGGTAACTTGAGGTCATAGTTTGAGATCAGCTGACCGGCCTGGGCAACATAGTGAGACACTGTCTCTAAAAAAAAAAAAAAAAAAAACAAAGGCCGGGTGCGGTGGCTCACGCCTGTAATCCCAGCACTTTGGGAGGCCGAGGTGGGTGAATCATGAGATAAGGAGTTCAAGACCAGCCTGGCCAACATGGTGAAGCCCCCTCTCTACTAAAAATACAAAAAATTAGCCAGGCGTGGTGGGGGGCACCTGAATCCCAGCTACTCGGGAGACTGAGGCAGGAGAATCGCTTGAACCTGGGAGGTGGAGGTTGCAGTGAGCCAAGATCACGCCAGTGCACTCCAGCCTGGGCGACAGAGTGAAACTCCATCTCAAAAAAATAATAATAATAAATAATGCTTGAGAAGAACTACAATTTAAGTGTTGTAACTCAATGTAAGAATAAAAATAAAAGTTGTCATAAAAAAAATTTCTGAGGCCAGGCGTGAGAGGATCTCTTGACCCCAGGGGTTTGAGGCCAGCCTGGGAAACACAGATATTACATATTACAAGTAATAAAAAAAAAATTAGGCATAGTGGCGCATACCTGTGGTCCCACATACTTGGGAGACTGAGGCAGAAGGATCACCTGAGCCCAGGAGGTTAAGACTGCAGTGAGCTGTGATGGAGCCACCGTACTCCAGCCTGGGTGACAGAGTGAGACTCTGTCTGGGGAAAAAAAAAAAAAAAGGAAAAAAATTCCGCCCACAAAAACCCCTCTTGAACTTAGTAAATCTCAGTTGACACGTTTATTCAACAGTTTATTCAAAACACGTTTATTGATCATCTCCTGTGAGACAGAGGCTGTTCTAAGCACTGGGAATATGGTTGTCTTAGTCTGTTTTCTGTTGCTATAAGAGAATACCATAGATTGCGTAATTTATAAAGAAAAAAAATGTTATTTAGCTCACAATTCTAGAGGCCAGGAAGTCTAAGAGCATGGCACCAGCATTTGGTGAGGGCCTCTTTGCTGTGTCAAAACACGGCAGAGGCGATCATAGGGAGAGAGGGTAAGAGTGTGCAGGTCAGCTCAGGTCTGTTACTCTTTTTTTTTTGAGACAGGATTTCACTCCCATCTCCCAGGCTGGAGTGCAGTGGCACAATGTCAGCAAACCACAACCTCTGCCTCCCTCCCAGGCTCAAGCCTCAGCCTCTCGAGCAGCTAGGACTACAGGCACGTCTGGCTAATTTTTGTATTTTGGGTAGAGACAGGTTTTCACCATGTTGCCCAGGCTGGTCTATGAACTCCTGAGCTCGAGTGATCTGCCTGCCTCGGCCTCCCAAAGTGCTGGGATTACAGGCATGAGCTACCGTGCCCTGCCTATCTTCCTCTTCATATAAAGACACCAGTCCCATTATGGAGGCCCCCACCTTGATGATCTCATTCAAATTACTTCCCAAAGGCCTCACCTCCAATCAACATATGAATTTGGGGATTAAGTTTGTAACATGTGAAATTTGGGGGATACATTCAAAGAATAGCAATGGTGAAAAATGATTTGCAGTCTCTTCTTTCACTGAGATTATATACTAGCAGAGGACACAGAGGAAAAGTCAAATAAACAACATCATTTCAGAGAATGGACACAGAAAGCTCAGTCAATCAGAGACTAGCTCCTAACCCCATCTTTCTCATGGCAAAGGATATTCTGTCCCCTCTCTCACTGTCCTGGAATGAAATCCGTGGCCATTTCCCTTTTCTCATAGCCAAAGACACCACCAAGTTCTCCAATCCCTGACTCTGATTCCTGACATCAATCTATTGCTCCTTGTATAATCAGTCAATGAATCAAAAAAAATTTTTTTGGATATCTACTATCTCCTCAGGATGAGGCTCTGTCAGGGGAAAAGTAAGAACCCAGAGAACAAGCAATAAGCAAAGCAGCCTAATGTTGACATGCGCTTGGCAAGTATTCACAGACCACCTCACACCCAGCCAAGCACTGCAGGTGAGAGCAACACAGGAGTGAGGAAGCCGGGGTACTTACCATCAGTGAGGACCAATCTTACAGATAGGGAAAAACTATATTTCATCCAGTTGAAGACACCCATTTTCTACATTTTAAAATTCCTAAATTAGGCTTTATCTTTCAATGATTTTGGATCATTGGATGAAATACAGTAACAACAGCACAAAGCAGCATTGTGCCCTGAGAGGTGTGCAGAGCCTATAGCAATTAGAACAGTGGTCCAAGGTCAGGCTACACATTAGATGTATCTGGGAAACTCAAAAATACTTATGCCCAGACCCCATCGCAGACCAACAGAATCAGTGTGGAAGGGTGTGGCTGTACACTGGTATTTCAAAAAGCACCTCATGGGATTCTAATACGTAGGCAGAGTTGAGAACCAGGATAGCAATTTCAAATGAGAGTACACATTACCCTGAGGTTACATGAAGACTTTCCAAGGGGCACGCCTTGGAAAGTTTAGGGCACACATCAGTAAACTAGGGCCTATGGCCCAAATCTGTTCTACTGCCTGTTTTTGTACCCTCCGGGGAGCTAAGTTGGTTTTTACAGTTTCAAATGGTCAGGGGAAAAAATCAAAAGGGAAATAATATGTTTGGACAAATGAAAATTATATGAAATTTAAATGTAAGTGTCCATAAATAAAGTTTTATTAGAACACAGACACACTCCTTTGTTTACATATTGTCAATGGCTTCTACAAGGGCAGAGTTGAATAGTTGGGACAGAACTATATGGCTGGCAAAGCCTGAAGTATTTACTATCTGATACTTTCCAGAAAAAAAAAACTTGCTGGCCCTGGCTTGAAGGGAATAGATTTGAAGGGAATGGACCTCCAGAATCTCAACATCCCCATGTCCTCTTCCAGACACTTGCCTGCCAGGAAAGGTACCAGCTGTGAAGATGTCAGGTGTGGGTGGAGGCTCCCTTCCTTCCCCACACTTTTGTTTCCTACTTGTCCTTCTCCCACTTTCAAAAGAAAGGTAGGCCTCTCATCAGTCCTGGGTATTAAGTTTCTAACATGTGAAATTTGGGGGACACATTTTAGAATGTGTAAAAAAGCCCCTGGGGGCCCAGAGCAGTGGCTCACCCCTGTAATCCCAGCACTTTAGGAGGTTGAGGAGGGCAGATCACAAGGTCAGGAGTTCGAGACCAGCCTGGCCAACATGGTGAAACCCCATCTCTACTAAACATACAAAAATTAGCTGGGCGTGGTGGCATGTGCCTGTAATCCCAGCTATTCAGGAGGCTGAGGCAGGAGAATTGCTTGAACCTGGGAGGCGGAGGTTGCCACTACACTCCAGCCTGGGCGACAGAGCAAGACTCCATCTCAGAAAAAAAATAAATAAAATAAAATAAAATTTAAAAAGCCCCTGGGCACTAGACATAGCAACAGTACCAGATACCATTGTGTAATAGGACTCTGATCACAGGATAGGTATATACACATATCGATATACAGAGATAGATAGATAGATAGATAGATAGACATCTATTTTTTTGCAAGTGAGGTAGGTTCCAAATATTGCCTTACTAAAATTGAAGGAGGACCCAATCAAGTTGTCAGTTGCCAAATCAAAAATATTTGACTGGGCACAGTGGTGCAAACCTGTAATCCCAGCTACTTGGGAGGCTGAGATGAGAGGACCTCTTGAGCCCTGGAGTTTGAGTCTAGCCTGGGCCGTTTAGTGAGACCCTATTTAAAAAAAAAAAAAGGTGACAAGATGGCTATGTGATCTTTGCATATGACTGAAAACGGGTTCAAAGAATTGATGAGACAAATATAATTATTTATGTAAGCAATTTTTTAAGGCTTACATCTAAAATATTTTTAGCCTGGGGTGGTAGCTCGTGCCTGTAATCCTAGTACTTTGGGAAGCTGAGGCAGGAGGATGACTTGAGCCCAGGAATTCAAGACCAGCCTGGGTAACATAGTGAGACCCTGTCTCAATGTTTTAAAAAGAAGAAAAATGGTGGCTCACGCCTGTAATCCTAGCACTTTGGGAGGCCGAGGCGGGCGGATCATGAGGTCAGGAGATCAAGACCATCCTGGCTAACACGGTGAAACCCCGTCTCTACTAAAAATACAAAAAATTAGCCGGGCGTGGTGGCAGGTGCCTGTAGTCCCAGCTACTCGGGAGGCTGAGGCAGGAGAATGGACTGAACCCGGGAGGCGGAGCTTGCAGTGAGCCGAGATCACGCCACTGCACTCCGGCCTGGATGACAGAGCAAGACTCCATCTCAAAAAGAAAAAAAAAAAAAGAAGAAAAATAAAATATTTCTTAAATGCTGAATGTTGCTTTGTTCTATGAATAAGCAATATTTGTTCACAGATACATCAACTAATTAGGAATAAAATGAATTTCAAGTAATTCATGTTTAATTACTTATTAACATGTATTATATTTACATTATTTTTTATCAATTATGTACTAATAATGGCAATGATGAAATGAAGATCTCAGTGTCTTGCACTGGGCAGAGGCCTTTCTCATTCTCTGCCACTTGGGCCCCAGCATGGCTTCCCTAAGAGCTAGGAGCTCAGAGGGAGGGGCTGGGCAAGACAGAAGTCAGGATCTTTTTGTAACTTAATCTTGTAAGTGACATCCCATCATTTTTGTCTTCTTCTATTCATATTCTATTGTTAGAACCAAGCCTCTGGGTCCATCCCACACTCCGCGAGGAGGATTCAGAAGGTCGTGACTCCCAGGGGGTGGGATCCTAGAACACATCTTAGAAGCTGCCTACGACAACCGCTGATTTTTAAGTAACAGTTACATCCTCTACATCTATTTAGACTTAGGATGGAGAATTTTAGATGTCATCTTTAAAATGCATGAGAGGATGCAGTTTTCCAAAATTCTTTTAGAAACAGACAATTTGAAGGCCACTGAGCTTCAGGCTTCATTCAGCTGGGTCGTGTCTGCGGGCGGGGCTCATAGAGATGTCGCTGGGGGTCAGCGGGTGCTTCGGGCAGCGAAAAAACCCACCTCTCGAGGGCAGTGGAAAATACAGGGAAAAGCCACTTGAGTGTAGACTCCGTGCGTGTCAAGGCCAGGCAGAGGCGCACTTGATAGGCAAGGAAAAGCGGACGGTGGTGGTCTTGGGAGGAAGAGAGGAGAGGCGAATGGGCAGGAGCGTGTGGATGCACTAGGGCAGGACGGGCTCGAAGCAGGAACCTAGGATAGAGGCAGCGCGGGCCGGCTTGGGAGGGTCCTCCAGGGTCCGGAGAGGAGAGGACGCAGGCTGCACGCGTGCTAAGAAGGAGACTCATGAAATGTGTAATTCGCTGGCGACAGCTTCCGCGGCCGTGGAGTGAGCCTCTGGGAAGTAACGACTCTCTTAGGTGCGGCTGGGACACAGTCTCACAGACCAGGTAAGTTGCCTGCCCTCCAGGAACTCAAGTGTCCCCGAGTCCGAGCCAGGAGGCTGGAAGTGACTGCTGTCCCATCCTCCCTGGAGCCCGGAGCTGTCCTTGTCTTGAGAAAGAGAAAGCAAAGCCAAGGAAAGCAGAGCGAGCAGAACCAGGCAAAGGGGTGGGGACAATAAAATGGGATATGGCCCGCGCTTCCATCTACTCAGGAGGCAGAGGCAGGAGGATCGCTTGAGCCCGGGAGGCCGAAGCTGCAGTGAGCTGCGGTTGCACCACTGCACTCCAGCCTGGGAGACAGAGGGAGACCCTGTCTAAAAATAAAGTAAAATAAAAAACAAAAATAAAAGGGACAGAGACTAAGAAAACGGACTTCCTGAAATCCCAAGTTGGGATTTCACGTCCAGTGACCCACAAGAGAAGCAAGAAGTCTGAACAGGGCCAAGAATCAAGTGAGTGGGGGCGGAGGATTAAAATCGACAGTTGCTGCGGCACGGCCAGGGTGGAGGGTGCATGTGGGGCAGGCGAGGCTCCAGCTGGAGTTGACGCTAGCCCGACGCGGGTGCAACTGGAGGCGCGACGGGCCAGGCCCAGGAGCAGCGGGAGGAGCGCACCTGGGGCGCGCGGGCGGAGGAGGGCCGGGGAGGGACGCCGGAAGGACTGGGTAGGGACGCCCGGAGGACTGAGCGTAGGGCCGAGAGGAGGGGCGCAAGGAGGAACGGGGGGAGGGCCCTGTCTCACCCTAAACCCCTCCCCGTCCCAGACTAAACTCCTCCCCTCGGCCCGGCCCGCCCCTGGGCCCGGGCTGGAAGCCGGAAGCGAGCAAAGTGGAGCCGACTCGAACTCCACCGCGGAAAAGAAAGCCTCAGAACGTTCGTTCGCTGCGTCCCCAGCCGGGGCCGAGCCCTCCGCGACGCCAGCCGGGCCATGGGGGCCGCACGCAGCCCGCCGTCCGCTGTCCCGGGGCCCCTGCTGGGGCTGCTCCTGCTGCTCCTGGGCGTGCTGGCCCCGGGTGGCGCCTCCCTGCGACTCCTGGACCACCGGGCGCTGGTCTGCTCCCAGCCGGTGAGACTCGACGTGGGGAGCGGTAGCCGCCAGGATGCTGCGGACGCGGGGCAAGGTCGCGGAGGGCCGGACGGTCGGGACTACGCGCCCGGGCTGGGGAGGCAGGAAGTCCGCGCCGCGGGCTTAGAGGGGCTCAGAGCCTTGGGCACAGATATCGCGGCGCCTGGGGAGGACCCTCGGAGCGGTGGGAGTTGCGGTGTGGAATACGGGGGGGGTGGGTGGCACATCGCGCGGCGCGTGTTGCACAACCTGGCCCGCCGTCGTGACTGGAGGCGGGAGTGACACCTCCGCCCGGGCCGCGGAGTTCGGGGAAGGAGGGCGCGGCGCTGGGCCAGGCCGGAGGGGCGGCCAGGGCTGATAGAAAGGGGCTGTGGAGAAGGGGCCCGGGGAGGAGCCAGGACGGGTCTGGACCCAGCTCCACGCCTTGCGCCCCTCACGTACCCCGGCGGGGCACGGTCGGCCCTCGGGAGGCCCATCGCGCCCTCGGGAGCTTCCCTCAAGCCGTGCCCTTCATGCCGCCGACGGAGCCGGGCGAGCCCACGTCGTCCGTGCGGAAGGTGGAGTCCCTCACCCGCGGCCCCCAGAGGGACCCCGCTGTCGTAGAGCCACGCGGGGGCCGGAGCGCTGAGACGCGGCACCATGTTTCGGGGAGAGCTCTGCCGAGGGCGGCTGAGGGCCACCTCCCCAGAGGCGCGAAGCCCTGAGGATGGGCAGATGGTTCTTAAGACGGCGCCCTTCCCGCCACTCCCACCCCCGACTACCACCACCTGGGTCTGGGAACCCGGTGAGAGCGCAGTCGGAGGGTCGAACGTTTGTAGCTGTCAAGTCGTAGCCCCGCTGCGCCCACAGGAAGTGACCCACCCGCCTGCCGGGTAGTGGCCTTTCTGTGAGCCAGGACCATCTTAAGGAAAAAAACAAAAAAAGAGCAAAACGCCGTGCCCCTCCACAATATACTCTCCTCTTCCCCGCATCCCCGAGGGGATCTTTCCTCCCCTCCACCTCCACCTCCACCTCCACCGCTGACCCCAAGGAATAATGCTCAGTATCTGAGTCAGAGGATGTAAAACAAAGGGATATTTCTCCTTATGTAGTTTTATGGAGGATTTACCGAAAGAAGGTGGAGGGTGAGTGACTATGTCGCAGAAAAAAAAAAAAAGATGTTTTTATCGTGAATGATGTTGAGAAATGTCCTGTGACTTCCACTATTGGGCAAAGCAGGTCCCTCTGCCCTGCTAGTCCCTCCTGCAGGCTGTGTATGAAGCGTTCTGATATGGAGGGTTGGTGCGCCTGGGTTGACAGCCATTGGTCAGGTGCCTGCAGAGTACAGGGCGCCATACTGGGAACTGGAACTATAAATAAATACTCTGGGGACCCTAATATCCAGAGACCTAACCCATCTACGGGAGGAACAAGGCTTGAAGTTAGGGAACTGTCTAGCAAAGCTGCTTGCACAACTGCTAAGTGTACGGAATTCCAGGAAAAAGAAAAATTGCTTCCAGTTGGGGTGTCCTTCATGGAAAAGGCATTTGGGCAGCCCTGTGGGGGTAGCAGGAGCATTCCAGGTGGTGGAAAGGGCCTGAGCCAAGGTCCTTAAGTGGGACAGGGTACGGTGTGTGGCCGGAATGGAGGGTCTGTGTAATAGGACAGTGAGAAAAGATGCCAGAAGCGGGGATGGGACTCTGCTGTGCGTGGCGTGGGAGCCAAGCTCTGACTTTCACTGCACAGTGAAGCAACTGTAAGTCAGGAGCAGAAGCACGGCCTGGCTCCAGGGAGGGCTGAAGAGAGACACTTGCTGTTCATATTTGTCTGCAGTCTCTCGTTCTCTTCCTTCCTCTCTCTCTCTTCTGTATACACCTGCCTCACAGACAGCTCTTCTCCAGAGATAGACAGCTCTGGGCTCCATTGACTAGTTCTTTTAAAAAGAAAGAAAACACATCCTTCAAATTTCTGTCCCTCACTGGTGTTTTAGTGGATGCAATGTGGTATAGTGAGGGGAGGGAAGGCCACAGAGGTGGCCAGAGGACCTGGATTTGCAGGCAGCATCGCACTTACTGTCTCTGCAGTCGGGCTTTGAGGCTGCCTGGGCCTGGGTTCCCTCATTTCCACAAAGGCAGGACTGGGTGAGCCTTCTCAAAGTAAGTCCATGCCACCTTCCAGAATGTAAGTGTCTGTCCAAAGCCCAGTTCGATTTAGCCTTCCATAACTATCCTCAGACAGGGAGGAGGCTTCTGCACACCTGGCCTGTTCCTAGCTCAGTGCTGGAGCACAGGATGCGGGGGCTATTTGATACATATGTGTTGACTGAACAAAAGAATGCATGAATGAAGGAAAGAACGGTCAGCTCTGCTTGGAAGGTAGTGGCAAGCTGAGACCAACCATAGCAATGGTTCCAGATGCTTGGGGTTAGCACCTCAAAACCCAGATGACTGATTTCCCCACAGAAATCATTACACGAGAAACCATCAATAATTGCATTTCCCTGGGAGTTTCCTTTTGGTTAGCCGTTCTCGCTGCCTAGGCTTCATGCAGGTTTCCCATGACCGCCAGCCTGGAGGAATGCCCATAGGAAAGACAGCAGCAACTTAAGAGTTGGTCAGGGTAAATGTTAACACGTAATTTCATAGACAGGATGTGTATTTCATTACAGAGTCTTTTTTCCTGAGCGTTTGCGGTTTTGACTTGTGGTTGTAGAACAGCTGCTCAGTTTAACCCCTTTATCTTTTGCTTGCCAGAAGCCACTTTCATCATGCCACTCTTCCAGAGGCTACAAAGTTGTGTTCTTTGTGCCAGGCACTGTGCCGGTGGCTCACAAGTATTCCTTCATCCCATACTCAACGACAGCTTACAAGGTTGGCAGGATGAACCTGCTTTTGAGAGGCTGGGTTATTGGCCCAAGGTCGCACAGCTAATGAGTGCTAAGGTGAGATTGAAAGCAGGCTGTGCTTGTAAGTTCAAAGCCCACTTTCTCTGTCAGGCACTCAGTAGTGTTCACTGAGGCACAGAATTGAATACAATCTTCCATTTCTTCCTCTTAACCTTCACCTTGTGGGTAGAGAATAGTGGCCTATTGGAGGTATCCCTTATTTATTTATTTATTTATTTATATTTTGAGAGAGTTTTGCTCTGTCGCCCAGGCTGGAGTGCAGTGGTGCGATCTCAGCTCACTGCAACCTCCGCCTCCCGAGTTCAAGCAATTCTTGTGCCTCAGCCTCCCGAGTCATTGGGATTACAGGCGCCCACCACTACACCCAGCCGATTTTTGTTTTTTGTTTTTTTGACACAGAAAGACACTGTCGCCCAGGCTACAGTGCAGTGGCATGATCTCGGCTCACTGCAACATCCACCTCCCAGGTTTGAGCGATTCTTCTGCCTCAGCCTCCCAAGTAGCTGGGACTAGCAGGCATGCACCATGATGCCCAGCTAATTTTTGTTATTTTTAGTAGAGATGGGGTTTCACCATATTGGCCAGGCTGATCTGGAACTCCTGACCTCAAGTGTTCTGCCCACCTCGGCCTCCCAAAGTGCTGGGATTACAGGTGTGAGCCACCGCACCTGGCCAATTTTTTTATTTTTATTTTTATTTTGAGACAAGGTCTCACTCTGTCATCCAGATTGGAGTGCAGTGGTGCGATCTCAGCTCACTGCAACCTCCACTTCCCAGGCTCAAGCGATTCTCCTGCCTCAACCTCCCAAGTAGCTGGGATTACAGGTGCGCACCACCACTCCCAGCTAATTTTTGTATTTTTAGTAGAGTCGGGGTTTCACCATGTTGGCCAGGCTGGTCTCGAATTCCTGACTTCAAATGATCTACCTGCCTCGGCCTCCCAAAATGCTGGGATTACAAGCGTGAGCCAATGCGCCTGGCCAATTTTTTAATTTTTTTAGTAGAGACAGGGTTTCACCAGGTTGGCCAGACTGGTCTCGAACTCTTTATCTGCCCACCTCGGCCTCCAAAAATGTTGGGATTACAGGTGTGAGCAACCACACCTGGCCCCTTTTGTTATTTAGAGAGACAAGGCAGCAGAGATTAAGATCATGTATTCTGGAGCAAAACTTCGTCATGCAAATGCCAGCTCTGTGGGACCTTGAGCCACTTACCCAACCTCCCTGGGTCTTAGTTTTTTCATCAGTACAATTGGGATAAGGGTGCTTAGCTCATAGGATTGTTGTCAAGATCAAATGAGATATATGTACAAAGTGCTTAGCATGATGCCAGACACAAAAGAGGAGCTCAATAAACATCAGCTGCCATCACCTTCATTGTCATGACAATCCCCCCTCTGATTTCTGCAAGATGCCTCACGTAATGCCATTCACAAGCAGGTAGCTCATAGATAATATTCTGATTCTGCTAGTTTTAAAGAATGGGCAGTGGCCCCACGCCTGTAATCCTAGCATTTTGGGAGGCTGAGGCAAGGGAATCACTTAAGCCCAGGAGTTCAAGACCAGTCTGGGCAACATGGCAAAACCCTGTCTCTACAAAAAATACAAAAATTAGCCAGGTGTGGTGGCGCATGTCTCTAGTCTGAGCTACTGAGGAGGCCGAAGTGGGAGGATCTCTTGCGCCCAAGAGGTCAACACTGCACTGAGCCCTGAGCATGCTGCTGCATGACAGAGTGAGACCCTGTCTCAAAAAACAAACAAACAAAAAAAAAAACGAATGAGAGGTTTGAAATTAGGGATGACTATTGGAGAGGAATTTGTTGGACAAGACAAGATATGTCTTAGTAATATCCTAAGAAGATCCCGAACACTTTTTTTTTTTGCTTTATTTAAAATGTTATGTAATTCTATAAATTTTTTTTTTCTTAGAGACGGAGTCTCGCTCTGTCACCCAGGCTGGAGTGCAGGGGCGCAATCTCTGCTCACTGCAGCTTCTGCCTCCTGGGTTCTAGCAGCTCTCCTGTCTCAGCCTCCCGAGTAGCTGGGACTACAGGCGCACGCCTCCATGCCTGGCTAATTTTTTGTATTTTAGTAGAGATGGGGTTTCACCGTTGTTGGCCAGGCCAGTCTCGAACTCCTGAGCTCAGGCAATCCACCTGCCTCGGCCTCCCAAAGTGCTAGGATTACAGGCGTGAGCCATGAAATTAAATTATAAGGAAAAAAATGTCTACTCTTTCTTCCACTAAACAAATTAATGTTTTCATTCATTTATCTTACTTTTCAGTCCTTTCATTTGTTTGGCATTACATCATAGATAAACTTCTATCTTTTAATTAATTTTTGTCAAGTTACGTATGGTGATCCTCCTTTAAAAATGGTACTAAGATGTTTAAAACAAAAAACAGTAGATCCCTGCGCCACCCCTAAACCTGCTCCCCAAATATGATTCCTTTAGTTAATTCTTCTGAGATATACCTCCATATTTCTAAACATGCTTATAGTGTTAATTCATGATTTGTTAATTTTAGATATTATCTATTGACTTCTAATAGATGAAAATTACATTATCTTTCTGCCACCACTTCTCCCTGTTTTTTATTACAGTTAAATCATGATTTTAGTTAAATTAATAGTCAGCATTTATATAACAATTAAGTAATCTTCACTGCTGAGGCAAGTAAGTGTACTTTGATTATATATTTTTTCTGGTACAATTCCCCTCCCCTCCTGCCCCAGAGATAATAATTGCTTTAATTCTTCACTTGCATAATGTTTCATGTAACTAGTCTTAGTTTTGTTCTATCAGACTTGTCATATCATTTCCCTCCAAATCATCAGATATTCCATCAATTCCATCCCCCGCTTTCCCCAGAGAACTTCCTCCTAGAGCACACTGTTCTCCAGCCCCAGCAAGGTCTGTGCTCTCTAGACCTGTGGCACAACAGGTCTAGACCAGAACAGACATCCTGTCATGGTCTAATCTCCCATGTCCTGGATCCTGTGTCTTCTTCCTCAGGGGTTACTCCCTCATTTTGCTGGAGAATATCATCCTGTAATTTCCTAAGCATATGTATGAGGGATGGATATAGACATATATATCAGGAACATATATGTTAAGTCTTTTCATGTCAACATATCTTTATTCTACCCTCATACCTTTTTCTGATAATTTGGCTGGGTGTGAAAATTATGTGTTAAAGATAATTTTCCCTCAGAATTGTGAAAGCATTGCTTTATTGCCTTCTAGCAAACAGTACAGATGCTAAGAAAGTCAATGTTATTGGCCGGGCGCCGTAGCTTACGCCTATAATCCCAGCACTTTGGGAGGCCGAGGCGGGCGGATCACGAGGTCAGGAGATTGAGACCATCCTGTCTAACGCAGTGAAACCCCGTCTCTACTAAAAATACAAAAAAAAATTAGCCAGGCGTGGTGGTGGCGCCTGTAGTCCCAGCTACTTGGGAGGCTGAGGCAGAAGAATGGGGGGAACCTGGGAGGCGGGGCTTGCAGTGAGCTGAGATCGCACCACTGCACTCCAGCCTGGGTGACAGAGCGAGACTCTGTCTCAAAAAAAAAAAAGTCAATGTTATTATGTGTCTTATTGGTTTATATGACACTTATTTTTTTCTCTCTGGAAACTTTTAGGATCTTCTTTTTATTCCTGATATTACAACAGTTTCAAGATTTGGGGCCTTGGTCTGGGTCTTCGTTGTTGTTTTTGTGCAGGCCATTTAGTAACCTTTTTAATTTGGCAACGTGATACTGTGAAATATGTATTTAGTCTTCAACCCCTTTTTCTGGCATAGAACTCCTAAAATCCTTAGAATCTCCAAAATTGTATCTTTTATATACTAATGATTCATTGGTGGCTGGCAGCCTCTAGGCAGCTTCAGGATGGGGGCTGGTCCCGGGAAGCAAGTTAGGATTAGAGGGCTGGGACGTTTAGCCCCACCCCTTTACCCATCACATCTGGGAAGGGGAGAGGGAACTGAAGGCCCCCTGAAGTTGCAATGGCCAGTGGTTTAATCAGTCATGCTCACATGAAGCCTCCATAAAAACGGGGTTCAGAGAGCTTCCAGGTAGTGGAACATGTGGAGGTTCCTGGAGGGTGGCACACCTGAGGAGGGCATGGAAGCTTTGTACTCCTTCTCCTATACCTCACCTTTTCTTCTGTATTATTTGTGATATCCTTAAAATAAACTGGGAAATGTGTTTCCCTGAGTTCTCTGAGCAGCTTTAGCAAATTAATTGAACTGAAAGAGAGGAGCATGAGAATCTCACGTTGAACCCGGTTGGTCTTAGAAGTTCTGGAGGCCCAGACTTACCACTGGTGTCTAGGGGGTGGGCGGTCTTGGGGACTGAGCACTCAACCTGTGGGATCTGATGCTATCTCCAAATAGTGTCAGAATTAAATTGGAGGATACCCAGCTGGTGTCTGCTGCCGAATTGATTGCTTGCTTGGTGGTGGGAAGAAACCACCCCCCGCCAATATGTAGTCACAGAAGTCTTCTGTGACTTCTGTTGATTGTTGTGGTGATGTGAGGGCAGAGGAAAAATACAGCTTGAGTTTTTCCACACTCTCGGGGAATATGTGTCCTTCTCTTCCAGAATATTTTCTTTCTTTCCTTTTTTAAAAAATAACTTCTTCCTTCTGTTTTTTTGTTAATCTCCTTCTAGAAATCTAGTCAATCATATTTTGTTTCCTAAATTGAATCTCTAATGATCATATATTTTTTCCTATTCTATTTGTGCTTTCAGAGAAATGTCCTCAATTTCATAGACTAACCCTTCTATTGAATTTTTATTTAGTAGAACTTCTATTGAGTTTCAAGGTTCAGTTTTCATTCTCTGCCTGCTCATTTGTCCATGGTGTCCTGCCCCTGTCTTACAGATGCAGTGTTGTATCTCTTCGGGGCTATAATAATTTTACTTGTTTGGTTTAATTGTGTTAACAGCATTGTTTTTTTTTTCCTTCCAGGAGCATTTTTTAATTGTTTTGATCTATTTTTCATACAGAAAACCTATCTCAAATATCTGGTACTCCTTGGCTGTCTGAGAATATTTTAAGAATGAAGTCCTAAAAGCTGATTAAATGCTCTGTGTAGTTAAGGTTTATTGAACATTGGACTTCACTGTATAGGAGGTCAAGCTAATCGTGAACCTGGCCTATTGGGTGACCTCCAAATGCTGAAATCTGGAGGTGTTTTTTTTGGGCCTGGCTGCCAGCATTCTGAGATCAGAGCACGGAAAGAGAGGATAAGGTTCCCAACACTCCATATGTAGACCTTCACTTAATTCTCCCTGCCCCTAAGCCCTGAACGTTATAAGGTTCTGAGGGGCCCCTGGCCTCCTTATCAATAACTCCCTTTTGTAGCATTCAGACAGAAGTTCCTCCACTCAGCACAAGCCAGCTGCCTACTCTGCTGCCACTTGGACAGTTATTTATTTATTCATTCATTTGTTCATTTTTGAGGTTTTATAATTTTATTTGACATCAACAGTTTGTTCTCATCCACAATGTCTGACTGTCAGTTTCTGAAAGTGGTAATGGGTACACAGGTAACCAAAGTATAGAGCTTGCTTGGTGAATCTTCATCCTCATGCTTTCTGGACAGCTGCACATGGACACAGTATGGAACGTTCCTTATTCCTTTGGTCCAGACAGCTTTGTTGAGCCTGGTGTTAGCATATCTGGAGTCCCCATCTCCTTCATGGCAAAGTTCTGGGACTTTTTGAGTGACCAAGGGGCACACTGCTTGACGTCCCCTCCATGGGTGTGCTTGTGGATGCTGATGGCATATTCTGGTGTCACCACCTCATTGGTGGCAGGTGACAGAATAGCCCTTTTATTTTATTTTATCTTACTTTATTTTATTTTATTTTATTTTATTTAGACAGAGTCTCGCTCTGTCGCCCAGGATAGAGTACAGTGGCACAGTCTTGGCTCACTGAAGCCTCTGCCTCCCAGGTTCAAGCAATTCTCCCACCTCAGCCTCTCAAATAGCTGGGACTACAGGCACATGCCACCACACCCAGCTAATTTTTGTATTTTTAGTAGAGACAGGGTTTCACCATCTCTTGGCCAGGCTGGTCTTAAACTCCTGACTTCAGGTGATCCACCTACCTCAGCCTCCCAAAAGTGCTGGGATTACACGCATGAGCCACTGCGCCCAGCCAACACTCTTCTTTACAGGAGCTATGCTGCTGGGGCCAAGTTGGAAAGGACTTTTAAAATTTTGTTCACATCTTTTGTCCACTGAGTTTGGCTCTTTGAGTTTGAGAATTTACAAAAAAAAATGTTCTTTCCTATAATTGTTATATTGTTTGGAGAGAGGGAGAAAATATGTGTATATGGTCAATGCGCTATTACCTCTAATAGAATTGTTATTCTATATTTCACCTATATGTATATTTTTCAGTTTTGATTAAATCTTTTTTCCCCTTATCTTCCCTCATGCCATCTCCTCTGCTTGTGTGCCCTTTGCCCCCAGCAAACTGTGTTAACACCTGTTAACATGTTTCTATTCTCATTTAGTCATACACACACTCTCTCTCTCTCTCTCTCTCTCTCTCTCTCTCTCTATATATATATATATATATATATATATTCAGGGAGATCTTTTTCATGACTTATTTCCATAGAAATTGGGATCATACTATAAAAAGTTATTTGAAACTTATTTTCCTCTCTCATCAACACATTCCAGCCATCTGCAGGTCAACAGATGTCTATGCAACTAATTCTCATTCTCTTTAATATTTGCATAATATTCCATAGTAGATAGCAATCTATTCAACCATTTCTAGTTTGATGGACATTTAGATTTAAACTAGATCTCACCTTAATTCAGCCATTCTCTATTGATGACCATTCAGTACCACAGAAAAAGAGGGAAAGCTGTCCATTTTTTTTAAAGCTAGTATAAGCTTAATTCTAAAACTTGACAAATCTTATACAAAAAGAAAAACTATGGACCAATCTCATTTATGAACATAAATCCATGCAATTCTAAATAAAATATTAGCAAATGTAATCTAGCAGAATATCAAAAGAACAATGCACCATAATCTAGTGGTGCATTAACAAACTTTGTTTGTTAATCAGTGCTGGAGAGGTATATGATGAGGTTCAGAGCTGTTTTGAATGAAAACTATAAACCTAATAGTAACTGAAGGAAAAGACTTATATGCAACCACAACTATCAGAAACCAAGACCAAAAACAGTATTCCATAGGGCATACCAAACTATTTCCCTCCATCTCGGGAATGAGAGGACACCTGCCTGCACCACTGGGAATCAACCAAGTGTGTTGTCAGACCCTTCCACTTTCCTTGTGGTCTTCATGAAGACAAGAGCTTTTCATCATGGGCATCATCCTGCAGTGTTATTGAGTAGCTCCCAGTGGCTAGTAGGAAGTTACTCCAAATGATGTATCTGTTTGCCTTCTCTAGAAGAGTTCCCCATCTCAAGGTGAAATAACCGCTTTTTTTTTATCCTCCACATCCTAGGAATTTTAAGGGAGAGGAAAAATGAGAGGACTCAGGGGAGTTAATCTTCTCGCCATTTAGGAAAGAGTGACATTTATTAGTGTGAGCCTAGGCAGCCAGATGGATTTTGTTGGGAACATGTGCGGAGCCCCCTAGTGGGGTGGTGATGCTAGCCCGGGACCTGTAGGGGAGAATTCAGGAGCTGAACAGGGCGAGAAGCACTTATGAACTGGGGTCCCAGAGAAGGAGGGTCCAGGTGAAATAGCTTGCTAGAGTCAATCCTAGGTGCGTGCAGATGTCATCCTGTGTGTGACCACTCTGTAAATGAACCCTGGTGGCACGGGGTCTTCTCCTGTGCTTAGCCCTACCTCTCTGTTCCCTCTCAAGAGAGAGGAGGGTGTCAGCCCTGGCACCCTACTCACACCAGTCACTTTGTTGGCCTTGAGATTGTGTTTCTGGTCTGCCTCAGCATCTGACTTTCCACCCCGGGATGCGTTTGGTCTGTTTTGCCAGTTAGAGAACTGGAGACACCTGAGCCTGAGCTCCTTCCTAATGGTTACATTTCCCTGGTAGCATTTGTCACTAGGGCTTCTAAATTTGGCCATCAGGATTTCCTCAGGCTTGGAAGGTTAACACATACTGCCCAAGAGGGAGGCAATATAATGTAACATGGGTGCCTCAGCTTCCTCATCTGCAGAATGGGCTGAGGATAATACCTCGTCACGATCACCCGGAACAGGGCCTGGCATACTTTACCTAGCGACTTTGTAGGGACTTAGTGAATGTTCCCCAACAGATCTGTCACAGAAACTGTAAATATTGCCCTTCACCCCTTCCGCACCTCTTGCAGCAGTGTTATCCAGGAAGGTTGGAAACCTTAGGAGATGAAGGGGCCCTTTTCTCAGGGCACTCCAAGAGAACCCTCTCAGTGTCTTTTAAAATTGTCAAGGTCCCAGCTCATAGCAGTTCCTCATAAAATACCATTCCTGTGCCGGGCGCGGTGGCTCACGCTTGTAATCCCAGCACTTTGGGAGGCCGAGGCAGGCGGATCACGAGGTCAGGAGATCGAGATCATCCTGGCTAACACAGTGAAATCCCGTCTCTACTAAAAACACAAAAAAGTAGCCGGGCGTGGTGGCGGGCGCCTGTAGTCCCAGCTACCTGGGAGGCCGAGGCAGGAGAATGGCGTGAACCCGGGAGGCGGAGCTTGCAGTGAGCTGAGATCGCGCCACTGCACTCCAGCCTGGGCGACAGAGCAAGACTCCATCTCAAAAAAAAAAAAAAAAAAGCACCATTCCCTTTGCCATCCCCTGGACTCACTCCTCATCCTATTCCCCAAAAAGTGAGAAGGGCAGGCTGTGTAGATGGCATTCCTGAGAATGAGCCAGTGGAGAGCATCTGGCCCTGGCATGTGAATTCAAGCCTTTTCCCAGCTGTAATAACCACCCTCTTTTTTCCACAGGGGCTAAACTGCACGGTCAAGAATAGTAAGTCATCTTTTTCTGTTCTTCTTCTTGTTGCCTTCTTAATCAAGTGAGAGCCTGCTGCCAACTTCTGACAGAAGTCTTGCCATGCCACTCCAGGTTCAGGCTGTGAGCTACAGCCATCCGCAGGAGGGTTCCCGGAGAATTGTGGATGCGTGCACCTGCGCTTCCTGTCGAGAACATTCATTATGCAAAAGTCAGGAAAGGAGAAACAGAACTGTCATTTGGATTGTGAAAGTATTCTCTGGGGAGCTGCCCTACTGTATCTATAATATAATTTGATTTGCCACAGCTTGTCACTGTAAAGTGAGAGACATCTGTGCTGTTGATTTTGTTTTGTTTTAATTCAAAGAGGCACATATTCAAGTGTCTGAGCCAATTAGAGACCCCTGACATATAACAATAAAGCAGCTCTTACTACAACTGCATCCCTCCTGTGCCCTTATTCCCAATCACAACTTCTTCTCAAAATCAACTTGTGTACTTTGTCTTCTCTCCTAAAATTCCCTTTAGACTTGAGAGGTTTGCAGTGACCCCAGTAAACATTAGAGAAGAGGGAGCAGGGCAGTAAAGCTGAGGACGCGGCCAAGGGCCACAGGCTGGAAGGCCGCGGGCCCCTGAGCTGTTTGCTGTCTAGCTGTCTGTACCTGCTGCTGGGGCATCTCAGGGTCTCGGCTATAAGTCTCTGAATGTTGCTTTTCCCTGGCTGCCAGGTACCTGCCTGGATGACAGCTGGATTCACCCTCGAAACCTGACCCCCTCCTCCCCAAAGGACCTGCAGATCCAGCTGCACTTTGCCCACACCCAACAAGGAGACCTGTTCCCCGTGGCTCACATCGAATGGACACTGCAGACAGACGGTGAGTGGGCATGCCAGCAGGGCCCTGGGGGATTCTCCCTGCCTCCAAGTGGCTCTCCCAGTCAGGCTCAGGATTGGGCTCCCAGTCCTGTGCTCAGACATGGGGGTTCAAATTTAGTGCTATAAGGATCCGTCATTTCATGCAGTCAAATACTTGTTCAGCATTTTAGATATTAACCCACAGTGATACCTTCTCATCACACCATTCTTCATGAAAGGACTTCCTTCAACCTAATATTTTTAGCACCCTGAGGGGAAAAAAAAGCAAGCAGTTAATTTTGTGACTACAGTACCAAAAATGAAGTGGAAAATGGTAACACATTTGTCAACCTGTTCCCTGAATTTAGGGGCCAGCACTTTTAAAACGTCCCCCAAGCCTATTCAGGAATGGAGAGTTTATGTTACAGAATTGGGACGATTGGGGCTTATGAGCACTAGCCCCAGATTTGTGAACGGGGCATGGGGGAAGTTCTTTTTGGAAGTCCCCGCCCTCAGTGCTCCTGCTGACAGCCACAACCTCGTGAGGATGGTGGGGATGGCTGTGTTTGACACCCATGCCAGATTGTCAAAGCCCTCACCACAAGTTTGCAAAGCCTTTACTTCTAGCCCAGTGTAAAGTGTCATTTTTCCTTGCCCAGCTGGGAAATAACTGTCTGCAAGGCGGTAGGCTGAGGCCAGAGAGTGAACTGAAAGGAACAGGATGTGGAGAGTTGGGTAAGACGGCAGATTTTCTTTTAGGAGTGAACAACCGCAACAGATAGGGAAGTGACACACCCAGCACTTGTCTTGGCTGATCTGCATCTGTTTGTCTTCTCTTCTCCCTCTCCTGCAGCCAGCATCCTGTACCTCGAGGGTGCAGAGTTATCTGTCCTGCAGCTGAACACCAATGAACGTTTGTGCGTCAGGTTTGAGTTTCTGTCCAAACTGAGGCATCACCACAGGCGGGTAAGAACACAGCTCCTGAGTGGATTATGTTCCACTGATGACACCAGTACAGACTTCTTGTCCCCAAATTCAGACCCTGATTTAGAGTGGGGGAGACCCAGAGGTGCTGAGGGAGTCTGTGGAATTCAGAATGGCAGCCTGAGATGGGCAGAAGTCAAAAGAGAAGTGGTGTGGCCGCCGTGAGCAATAGTGAGGGACAGAGCGTATTTTTGAAAGCGTCCCTCACCTGCTCACCCCTGGTTTTTCTTCCCACTTTACCTAGCTATTCGTTCGGAAAGGAAGTTGAATTGGAAGGCAGCTTCCACAGCCCTACCTCCTGCCATCTTTGTGTAACTTTGTGTAACATCTTTTATGTGTAACTTGGATTCAGCTGGGGCCTACCTTCAGGAAGAAAAAACCGCCCAGACCAAAGAACTGCTGTAGGTGGGCAAATGAGCACTACAACAGCTTAGTCTCATTTTGCTGCTCACAGCTAAATGGTGAAATGTTGATTCTTGTTTAAGTTTGTTTAAAGCAGTGGGTCTCAAAGTGTGGTCCGTAGACCAGCAGCCTCAGCCTCACCTGGGAACGTGGTAGAGATGTTTGGCCCCACCCCAGACTTCCCAGGCCAGAAACTCTTAGGGTGGGGTCCAGCAACTGGTGCTTAACCCTTAAGTCATCACGATGCGAGCCTTAGTTTGAAGACTACTGGTTTAAATCTGCAAATGGTCACTTGAAAACAAGTTAGATCTCCCACAAACTCAAGCAGCAAAGGCAGAACCCCTCTCCGATGTTAAATTAGGACCCCCAAACTTGACTGCTATGCGAATGGTGAGAACCAGGTTCCTCCGTCCACTTAGAAGCAAAGGACCCCGGCCCCTCCACCAGGGTAACTAGAATGGGGGTTGGAGTCGATGTCTGTAATCTCTAACACCCAGAAAATAACTTAGCACAAATTCAAATATCATTGCAACTGAGGTGCCTGCTGGCCCAGGGTGAGTGGGGGTCTCTAGCTTGTCCTTTGCACCTTTTTACTCCATAATGGTCTCAAGAGGTTCCTGGCTTTTCCGTTTGAGGAGGAAGAATCATTTGACAAATAGTTTTTACCTGCCTGGCGTGTGCCAGATCTCCATAGCCCCAAGTCCCCTGGCTCCGCCCTCTCATACCCATTGTCCTAGAATTTGAGAGGGCAGGTGGGAGGGGTGGGACTACTTCCACTTTCCCCAAATTCTTTTGCCTTATTCACTGTCTACTGATGAGGCCAGATCCAGGTTTAAAAAAAAAAAAAAAAAAAACAGGCAGAAAGGACCAGAGGAAACAAAAAACAAAGATACTGATTTCCCTGACCTTGGATTTTGCTGTGGTTGTTGCTTTGTTCTTATTTTTGGCTGAATATTCGGGAGTGGGTGGGAACGGGGGTCTTTGGGCATAGATGGGTGACAGAGGTGTGTGTAATCCATCCACCTTCCCTTCCTCCCTTCTCTTCAGTGGCGTTTTACCTTCAGCCACTTTGTGGTTGACCCTGACCAGGAATATGAGGTGACCGTTCACCACCTGCCCAAGCCCATCCCTGATGGGGACCCAAACCACCAGTCCAAGAATTTCCTTGTGCCTGGTAAGAGCATCCTCCCAAGACATTCCCTCCCCAATGGCCTCTGTGAGAAGGAAGCACCAGGTGGCACAGATGCCAGCCCCCCTGCTCAGCAAGACATTGGCTGGCATTGCCAGCACCTGGGACCCACAGAACAAACAGAGGCCAAGACTGGGAGTGCTTTGGTGTGTGCTGCAACCTCCATTCCCTGAGGCAGAGGCCATTCTCTGTTGGCACAACAGTGGACGGTGGCCCAAGATCCCAGGAGTTTTATGGGAACCAGAGCACCTCCCTCTATCTAGAGAAGCACCCAGCCTGCCCAGAAAATAGCATAAAGGCAAGCCACAAGCCACTCGTGGGGAAGTTGCAGCCTCTGCCCCCAGCCTGGTCCCAGCCTCCGTGGCTTGCTCTTCTCCTTCCACCTTACATTCTGCCTGCATCATCCAACGTTCATCCCATGCATGGCGCTCTACTCCCCATGCCTATCCACACTGCCTGTGATTACCGCCAGGCTTTTCTTCTCAGGCATCCTTTGATGTACATGTACCTTCTACTTCTCTGTCCTCCCCAGAAGCTCAGCTATTACCTACATTTCTCTCTTTTTGTTTTTAATAGAGATAGGGTCTTGCTTTGTCACCCAGGCTATAGTGCAATTTTGCTATCCTAGCTCAATGCAGCCTCGAACTCCTGGGCTCATGCGATTCTCCTGCCTCAGTCTCTCTACAATTCTCTGTCCATAGCCAGCTATGTCAGGAAGCCCACTTGAAAACAAAGCCTGGGTCTTCTGCCCATTTTTATAATCTCCAGAACCTCACGAATTGCCTTGCATATAGTAGGTTGGTCAAGAAATGCTTGTTAAGGATGGTGTTGACCTTCTTCATCCTGGGACCACCCTGCACACACGCGTGCACACACACTCTGTGCTTACCCTGCTTTATGTCACCGCGTGTGGCTCATCACTCCCTGACTGGTACTGCATGCTGTGTGTTTGCTTTTATTGGTCTCTTCTACTGGGTTGCAATCTCCAGGGGGCAGGGCTTTGTCTTGTTTACCACTGTACCTCCAGTGCCAAGAACAGGGCCTGGTGCATAGTTGGTGCTCAATATGTATTTGTTGAAGGAGTGAATCTCCTCAGTTCTCGCTTCTGTTCCTAAAGTTGACTGACTCAGTCCCTGTCCCTCCATGGTGATTCACACCTGTCACATGTCTTCTCAGCCTGTGCAAAGACAGGGGCAGCCGGGGACAAGAAGCTGTGGGTGGGCAGAGAAGGAACTGGAGGGGACCAAGATTGCTTGGTCACCCACAGCAAGCTCAGGAGGAATGCACTTGCATCAGGAGGGTTCCCCGAGAGATGAGGATCAGACAGGCAGGCTGGCACCCATGCCAAGGTGGGTCCAGCCCTGGAGCTCACTCTGAAGGGGCCACCTGCGGACAGGCTCCCAGTGGGGAAAAGATTGTTGTTCTTGGTGTCAGGAGTCTGGAAGAACAGATTTCTGAAGGCAGAGGCTTAATGAGTTTCCTTTTTTCTGGGTCGACAGACTGTGAGCACGCCAGGATGAAGGTAACCACGCCATGCATGAGCTCAGGTAACAGCTGGCCCGGGAGAGCTTTATTTGGATGCATACACATGCACATGTGCGTGCCCCTCCTCACTCCCAGCCTGCGTGTGTGACCTTGGCAGGCAGCCTGTGGGACCCCAACATCACCGTGGAGACCCTGGAGGCCCACCAGCTGCGTGTGAGCTTCACCCTGTGGAACGAATCTACCCATTACCAGATCCTGCTGACCAGTTTTCCGCACATGGAGAACCACAGTTGCTTTGAGCACATGCACCACATACCTGCGGTAACTCTGCTCTTTTTGACCCCTCTAGCATAGCTCAGGACCACCCCTCCAAGCCCTGAGTCTCTTCTCTGCTGGTCTGACAGAACCGCGTTGCTAGAAGCTCGCGACTCAGGGCTGTGCTTAGTCCATAGTGATCATGGCGCCTTGCCCTTTTTCTTCCCCAGTGATCTTATGCTTGATAGAAAGGCAGTTGACTGTGTCCTGCCCATGACTCAGTCCTTTTTGTTCTTTCCTCCCCCACACGCCCCCTTGTTCTCTTTTTGTTTTGCTTTGTTTATTACAAAAAGGATTTGAGGATTTAAAAAAAAGAAGAAATGTGAAAATAGAGACAAAGGGGAACTAAAGATAAGGAAATAAGGCCAGGTGCAGTGGCTCCCACCTGTAATCCCAATACTTTGGGAGGCCAAGGCAGGAGAATGGCTTGAAGTTGGAGTTCGAGACTACAGTAAGCCATGATGGCACCACTGCACCCACTCTGGGGGACAGAGCGAGACCCTGTCTCTAAAAAAGAAAATAAAAATTGAAAAATAAATAAAGTACATTAATGACATAAAATATGCCAGGCACAGTGGTTCACGCCTATAATCCCAGCAGTTTGGGAGGCCAAGGCAGGTGGATCACTTGAGGTCAGGAGTTCGAGACCAGCCTGACCAACATGATGAAACCCCATCTCTACTAAAAGTACAAAAATTAGCCAGGTGTGCTGGCACACGCCTGTAATCCCAGCAATTTGGGAAACTGAGGCAGAAGAATCACTTGAACCTGGGAGGCAGAGGTTGTAGTGAGCTGAGATTGTGCCACTGCACTCCAGCCTGGGTGACAAGAGTGATACTCCATCTCTAAAAAAAAAGAAATAAAGGTAATACGATGAAGCCAGCTCAGTGCAGGAAACGTGTGCTGTGTGGTTCTGTACAACTGGTGTCCATGAACACAGATTTGTTGCCCCAATTCCCAGCAGCCAAAGCAAAGAGAGACTTACCAGTTACTACACGTACTTAAGGATTTACAATAAACCAGCTTCCATGCAGAAACGGAGTTTTTTTCTGGAATAGAAACCTGAAAAGCATTTCTCCCCTGGCCTTCCTAAGGGGTGCTCTGGACAGCCTCTCCATGGCAGTGCCACAGCGTGTTCTTACCCAACTAGCCTTACCCATCCCAACTAGCCTTACCCATCCTCGCCTCTCTCCTCAGCCCAGACCAGAAGAGTTCCACCAGCGATCCAACGTCACACTCACTCTACGCAACCTTAAAGGGTGCTGTCGCCACCAAGTGCAGGTGGGTGAGTGTGGTGTGGACAGGTGCAGGGAGCAAAACAGGTGGCAATTATAGAGTGGACAGGAGTGAGGAGTGTGCACAGGTGAAGAGTGGTGTGGACGGGAGTGGGGAGTGTGCACAGGTGGAGAGAGTGGTGTGGACGGGAGTGGGGAGCGTGCACAGGTGGAGAGTGTGGTGTGTCTGGGAGTGGGGAGTGTGCACAGGTGGAGAGTGGTGTGGACGGGAGTGGGGAGCGTGCACAGGTGGAGAGAGTGGTGTGGACGGGAGTGGGGAACGTGCACAGGTGGAGAGAGTGGTGTGGCTGGGAGTGGGGAGCGTGCACAGGTGGAGAGAGTGGTGTGGCTGAGAGTGGGGAGCGTGCACAGGTGGAGAGTGTGGTGTGGCTGGGAGTGGGGAGCGTGCACAGGTGGAGAGAGTGGTGTGGCTGGGAGTGGGGAGCGTGCACAGGTGGAGAGTGTGGTGTGGCTGGGAGTGGGGAGCGTGCACAGGTGGGGAGAGTGGTGTGGCTGGGAGTGGGGAGCGTGCACAGGTGGAGAGGTGTGGCTGGGAGTGGGGAGCGTGCACAGGTGGAGAGAGTGGTGTGGCTGGGAGTGGGGAGCGTGCACAGGTGGAGAGAGTGGTGTGGCTGGGAGTGGGGAGCGTGCACAGGTGGAGAGTGTGGTGTGGCTGGGAGTGGGGAGCGTGCACAGGTGGAGAGTGTGGTGTGGCTGGAGTGGGGAGCGTGCACAGGTGGAGAGAGTGGTGTGGCTGGGAGTGGGGAGCGTGCACAGGTGGAGAGAGTGGTGTGGCTGGGAGTGGGGAGCGTGCACAGGTGGAGAGTGTGGTGTGGACGGGAGTGGGGAGCGTGCACAGTCTGGCATTCTTGCTGGTGGACAGGGGAAAGCTTGTCCTCTCTGTGGCACCAAGCACCACTACCAGTCAGGATTCCTTGCCTGGTAAGGCACTGCCCCTGCCTTTCTCCTGTCTGGTTCTCCCACCCTCACCTGGGCAGGGGTTCGCTGACCCGCCCTTGCTGGAGGGAGATGATGGTCACCTGGAGATCGTGGTGTAGCCAGCCAGGATCCCCTCCTCTCACATTGCCGCTGCTGGCTGGAAGGCATGGGCGCTCTACAGTTCTGGAGCCCTTTTCCTGCCCTCTCTGCCCGCAGATCCAGCCCTTCTTCAGCAGCTGCCTCAATGACTGCCTCAGACACTCCGCGACTGTTTCCTGCCCAGAAATGCCAGACACTCCAGGTAGGGGACATGCGGCTGTCCTAGGCCATACTGGGAGAACAAGTGGCTGAAGGCCCCCAGCCTGTGCTGCGTCCTTACCTGGTTCTGAGGGGTGATTAGGGAGGAGAGTTTAGTTTAACTTGGAGTCCTTCAGGCCTGAAGTGTGGAGTGGGGCTTTAGAGTGTCACTCCCTGGGGCTGGACTCCTGGCTGTCTTTCATTAGCTATGTAGCCTTAGGCAAATTACTTAATCTTTTTGATTCTCAACTTCCTTGACTGGAAAATGAGGTGGTTTTTATCCTAGAGCCCTAGTTCTGTGCCATGCACTGAGCGCAGTGCTCCAACATGCCGTCCATTTTTTCATCCTCACTCATTGTGAGTCACGGTACTATGCAGTAGAGGATCCCCCCACCCCAAACCCCAGGTTCCTGGATAAGGAAACTGAGGCACAGAGATGTTGAATAACTTGTCCAAGATCACACAGCAGGGACGCTGTTTTCAAAAGTCGCATGCCCTAATGCACGGGAGGCTGCAGCCACGTGCTCACCAGAAGGCAAGGCGCAGGCATGGAGCCAGGCTGGAAGGAGAACCCAGCCTCCCAAGGAGGAGGCAAGGTGTCTCTTCTTAGACCAGCAACTCAAGTGTCTCTTGTAGATGGTTTCATTAAGTTCAACCTGGATCTAGAGTGCCTGGTGCAGGGCCAACATCATTAAAGCCCTCAAGGGACGTCAGTTGTGTTTCTTGTGATGACTGGGAAGGGTTAAGAATGCTATTTTCCCTTTTTCCTCTGTTCTCATTGCAGAACCAATTCCGGGTAAGCTTGGATCTCTCTCCGACAGCACTGCAGCCCTCAGGGGACATTCCCCAGTGGCCACTTGAGAAGTCCCTGCCTCAGCCAGGCAGACAAGGCTGAACCGAGGCCAGCCCGGGGTGGGGGGTGAGACCATGGTTTGTCGTGGTGGGGCCAGAGAGGACAGAGCCTGGGGCTGGGGAGCAGGGCTGGGGGCCTCAGGGTGGGCAGGGCAGGCCCCGCCGCATCACTCACGCTGTTCTGCTCACCGCAGACTACATGCCCCTGTGGGTGTACTGGTTCATCACGGGCATCTCCATCCTGCTGGTGGGCTCCGTCATCCTGCTCATCGTCTGCATGACCTGGAGGCTAGCTGGTAAGCGCTGGGGCTCTGGCTGTCCTGGAGTCAGGCTCTAATACCAGCACCACCACTCACTACCAAGGCAAATCGCTTTATTCTCAGAGCCTCAGCTTCTTGCTTGAGAACCACGTCATAAAGCTGTTGTAAGGACTGAGTGAAATAAGACACATGAATTCTTAGCACAGAACCTGGCATGTGCTATTTGCACAGTATCTGTTAGCCACGATTATATTTGTTGTTATCAAATGTAGTATTATTAAAATCAATAGTTTGGAAGGAGCCGGAGTAAAGTTTCCCTGTGTCAGGAATGATCATCCAGGCAGGTGGAGCAGCCTGAACAACCCCATCCTGCAGCCGCCAGACGTGGACGCCTGGGGTCAGGGAGAATAGTGAGGGTCAGCATCGGGTGATAGAGAAGGCTCCGGCTGCCCTGAGCCACAGGGGTGGACCCCAGCCCCACCTCATTAGCCTTGTAGTCACAGGCCAGTTACTTAATACACCATGGATTCACTTTTCTGTAAAATGTACTGATAATGCCTCCCTCTAAGGGTGTGACGAAGGTTAAATGAGTAGCTGAGGAAGGTGCTTGCTGGTGGGGATTAGTACATACCAGTGTCTTCTCCCACCTGCAGCCCTCTGCTGGCCAAGTCCTAAGCCGGGAGAACACAGGCCTTCCGGTTGGGGCTTCAGCCCTTGCCTGCCCCACCATGACCCTAGGCTGCTCCTTCCGTCATCTGGGAAGCTGTTTCCACCCTTCCCTAGGCTCGTCAGGATTAGGTGTTAATCATTATTAATTATTATGTGGTAGAAAGAAAACCAGCCAGGCATGGGAGGACCTATGGGAGGTTCCAATAACATTCAGTAGCATCTCGGCCAGTGCTCCACAGGCGGTGCAGCTCTCTAAAGGTTTGGGGCTGGGCGGCGGCGGCGCTTTTGGTTTCCTTTCTGCTGTTGCGCTTCTGTTTTCCGAAGTGTCCTGCACCACAGGGTGAAGGCAAGAGGAGCCTCGCTGTTATTTGGCTGTCTTGTGACAGTTCTGGGGAAGAGCTGAAAGGGTTAGGATTGAGATTAAGGTTCTAAGTCGTTTGCTCAGTCATCTGTGGATCTCAATCCTCCCAGCTGTCACTAAGGAGTTAACCCCCGCAGAGCAGTTTTTTCATCACATCTCTGAGGGGAACAATTGCTTAAGTATGTGGGTTCCCCTTCCTCACCTCAAAAATACCAGGAGGAAATGTTGCAAGCAGCCTGGTGGGGCTGCTTCTGGAAAGAAGTGTGGTAAGATGCATGTCTTCTGTAAAGACACTTCTGGGGAAGAGCTTTTCCTCATGTGGAGTCAGTTTGGGGTGGCCAAATTTCAGGGAGACAGGGCAGACCAGGACCGTAATGAGGAACCAGAATGGACACCACCCCCTGCCCCCCGGCACTGGGGGTCCCAGCTGGATCAGTGCTACAAAATAACTGTGATCCCAATTGATTATGTACAACGTGCCAGGCACGTCACATACACACACTCATTTAATACCCATTAAACAAGAGCAAATACAGACCCACCTCACAGAGGAAGAAGCTGCATTTCAGAGGCACTAGTAACTGCTCCAGGTCATAGTGCTCGTAGTGGCAGACCCAGGACTCATGCCTGTGCGACCACCTAGCACGGCCTCGCTGCTCAGTCTCGGGGCTGCCCCCTTACCCTTCACCCTTTGTCAGGGATGGGGCAGACACCCTGTGAGCTGGTTTCTATTTCTCTTCCCAAAGAACCACTCCAGTGTATTTCTTTTCCTTTCCAGGGCCTGGAAGTGAAAAATACAGTGATGACACCAAATACACCGGTCAGTATTTCCTGGTTTGCATGTTTGCTTATTTTTAAAGCAGTGGAGGGTTCTCCTGGGATAAGTGCGTGGGTCGCCTCCTGTGCTCTAACTCCCAAGTCCCTTCAGGAGACCCCACCTTAGAAACCCCCTTCCAGTACCCCACTCAGAAGGGCCCCCAATAACAAGGCCTGGGTGCCATTTTTTGAATCACTCAGACAAGGAAAGAAAGGTAAGTATTTTGTGAACAGAGGTCCTCCCTGGAGCAGACCAACAGAGCTTGGTGCCTCTTTTTCTTTTCTTAATTAAAGTATAGGCTAAAGACCAGCTAGGAACGTTGAGAGATTCTTTTTCCCACAAGGCAGCAGACTGATTTTTTTCAGGCAGCCAAAGGTGGAATAGTAACATCTGGGTTTTTCCAACAGGCCTCAGTTGGGTTTCTCAGCTTAGGGAGGGAGCCAAGCTCTGTGTCCTGGTCCAGGCCCCTCCTGGGCTGGCAGGCACAGAGCTGCCCTGGGCCCTGGGGTGAGGGTCAGCATGTGTGGTCTTGTTTCCTTAGATGGCCTGCCTGCGGCTGACCTGATCCCCCCACCGCTGAAGCCCAGGAAGGTCTGGATCATCTACTCAGCCGACCACCCCCTCTACGTGGACGTGGTCCTGAAATTCGCCCAGTTCCTGCTCACCGCCTGCGGCACGGAAGTGGCCCTGGACCTGCTGGAAGAGCAGGCCATCTCGGAGGCAGGAGTCATGACCTGGGTGGGCCGTCAGAAGCAGGAGATGGTGGAGAGCAACTCTAAGATCATCGTCCTGTGCTCCCGCGGCACGCGCGCCAAGTGGCAGGCGCTCCTGGGCCGGGGGGCGCCTGTGCGGCTGCGCTGCGACCACGGAAAGCCCGTGGGGGACCTGTTCACTGCAGCCATGAACATGATCCTCCCGGACTTCAAGAGGCCAGCCTGCTTCGGCACCTACGTAGTCTGCTACTTCAGCGAGGTCAGCTGTGACGGCGACGTCCCCGACCTGTTCGGCGCGGCGCCGCGGTACCCGCTCATGGACAGGTTCGAGGAGGTGTACTTCCGCATCCAGGACCTGGAGATGTTCCAGCCGGGCCGCATGCACCGCGTAGGGGAGCTGTCGGGGGACAACTACCTGCGGAGCCCGGGCGGCAGGCAGCTCCGCGCCGCCCTGGACAGGTTCCGGGACTGGCAGGTCCGCTGTCCCGACTGGTTCGAATGTGAGAACCTCTACTCAGCAGATGACCAGGATGCCCCGTCCCTGGACGAAGAGGTGTTTGAGGAGCCACTGCTGCCTCCGGGAACCGGCATCGTGAAGCGGGCGCCCCTGGTGCGCGAGCCTGGCTCCCAGGCCTGCCTGGCCATAGACCCGCTGGTCGGGGAGGAAGGAGGAGCAGCAGTGGCAAAGCTGGAACCTCACCTGCAGCCCCGGGGTCAGCCAGCGCCGCAGCCCCTCCACACCCTGGTGCTCGCCGCAGAGGAGGGGGCCCTGGTGGCCGCGGTGGAGCCTGGGCCCCTGGCTGACGGTGCCGCAGTCCGGCTGGCACTGGCGGGGGAGGGCGAGGCCTGCCCGCTGCTGGGCAGCCCGGGCGCTGGGCGAAATAGCGTCCTCTTCCTCCCCGTGGACCCCGAGGACTCGCCCCTTGGCAGCAGCACCCCCATGGCGTCTCCTGACCTCCTTCCAGAGGACGTGAGGGAGCACCTCGAAGGCTTGATGCTCTCGCTCTTCGAGCAGAGTCTGAGCTGCCAGGCCCAGGGGGGCTGCAGTAGACCCGCCATGGTCCTCACAGACCCACACACGCCCTACGAGGAGGAGCAGCGGCAGTCAGTGCAGTCTGACCAGGGCTACATCTCCAGGAGCTCCCCGCAGCCCCCCGAGGGACTCACGGAAATGGAGGAAGAGGAGGAAGAGGAGCAGGACCCAGGGAAGCCGGCCCTGCCACTCTCTCCCGAGGACCTGGAGAGCCTGAGGAGCCTCCAGCGGCAGCTGCTTTTCCGCCAGCTGCAGAAGAACTCGGGCTGGGACACGATGGGGTCAGAGTCAGAGGGGCCCAGTGCATGAGGGCGGCTCCCCAGGGACCGCCCAGATCCCAGCTTTGAGAGAGGAGTGTGTGTGCACGTATTCATCTGTGTGTACATGTCTGCATGTGTATATGTTCGTGTGTGAAATGTAGGCTTTAAAATGTAAATGTCTGGATTTTAATCCCAGGCATCCCTCCTAACTTTTCTTTGTGCAGCGGTCTGGTTATCGTCTATCCCCAGGGGAATCCACACAGCCCGCTCCCAGGAGCTAATGGTAGAGCGTCCTTGAGGCTCCATTATTCGTTCATTCAGCATTTATTGTGCACCTACTATGTGGCGGGCATTTGGGATACCAAGATAAATTGCATGCGGCATGGCCCCAGCCATGAAGGAACTTAACCGCTAGTGCCGAGGACACGTTAAACGAACAGGATGGGCCGGGCACGGTGGCTCACGCCTGTAATCCCAGCACACTGGGAGGCCGAGGCAGGTGGATCACTCTGAGGTCAGGAGTTTGAGCCAGCCTGGCCAACATGGTGAAACCCCATCTCCACTAAAAATAGAAAAATTAGCCGGGCATGGTGACACATGCCTGTAGTCCTAGCTACTTGGGAGGCTGAGGCAGGAGAATTGCTTGAATCTGGGAGGCAGAGGTTGCAGTGAGCCGAGATTGTGCCATTGCACTGCAGCCTGGATGACAGAGCGAGACTCTATCTCAAAAAAAAAAAAAAAAAAAGATGGTCACGCGGGATGTAAACGCTGAATGGGCCAGGTGCAGTGGCTCATGCTTGTAATCCCAGCACTTTGGGAAGGCGAGGCAGGTGGATTGCTTGAGCTCAGGAGTTCAAGACCAGCCTGGGCGACATAGTGAGACCTCATCTCTACCTAAATTTTTTTTTAGTCAGTCATGGTGGCACATGCCTGTAGTCCCAGCTACTCGGGAGGCTGATGCCAGATGATCACTTGAGCCCAGGAGGTAGAGGCTGCAGTGAGCTATAATGGTACCATTGCAATCCAGCCTGGGCAGCAGAGTGAGACCCTGTCTCAAAAAAAATAAAAAAGTAGAAAGATGGAGTGGAAGCCTGCCCAGGGTTGTGAGCATGCACGGGAAAGGCACCCAGGTCAGGGGGGATCCCCGAGGAGATGCCTGAGCTGAAGGATTGTGGTTGGGGAAAGCGTAGTCCCAGCAAGGAAGCAGTTTGTGGGTAAGTGCTGGGAGGTGAGTGGAGTGAGCTTGTCAGGGAGCTGCTGGTGGAGCCTGGAGGGGAAGGAGGGAGGCAGTGAGAGAGATCGGGGTGGGGGGTGGGGGGATGTCGCCAGAGCTCAGGGGTGGGGACAGCCTTGTGCGCATCAGTCCTGAGGCCTGGGGCACCTTTCGTCTGATGAGCCTCTGCATGGAGAGAGGCTGAGGGCTAAACACAGCTGGATGTCACCTGAGTTCATTTATAGGAAGAGAGAAATGTCGAGGTGAAACGTAAAAGCATCTGGCAGGAAGGTGAGTCTGAAGCCCTGCACCCGCGTTCCGACTATCAGTGGGGAGCTGTTAGCACGTAGGATTCTTCAGAGCAGCTGGGCTGGAGCTCCCCTGAGCTCAGGAAGCCCCAGGGTGCAAGGGCAAGGAAATGAGGGGTGGTGGGTCAGTGAAGATCTGGGCAGACCTTGTGTGGGGAAGGGGTGCTGCTGTGACTTCAGGGTCTGAGGTCCAAAGACAGCATTTGAAAAGAGGCTCTGAAGCCAGTGTTTGAAGAATTTGTTCCTGAAGTACCTCCTGGGGGTAGGCTAGAGGCTTCTGGCTTCAGGGTCCTGAAGAACACATTGAGGTGCCGTCTGACACTGGAATAGGGTGCCCTTCATTCCTATGCCTGAGTCCTTAACTATATTTCCAACCTCCAGTGAGGAGGAGAAGATTCGGAAATGTGACAGGAGAGCAAACAGGACAGTTTGCATGTGTGTGTGCGCACACATACATGTGCGTGAAAGATTATCAATAAAAGTGCATAAATTTGTTGATCTGGTAAGAGTTTCTAGCAGGAAGGTCGAGCCACTTACTGTAGGTCAAGAAGTTGCTAGTTGCGGAGTTTTTTCTTGCAGTTAGACTTTACCTAGTGGTAGCAGGGCCACCAAAGCTCTGTGTCCCAGATGGTGTATGGCCCATAATCCACCCAACAGCAGCAAAGGACCAGGCAAAGGAGAACAGGAGCAGAAGCCTCCCAGCCACTAGCCTTTTGGGCTCAGTCTCTCCAATAATCCTGGAGAGGGGCTTCGTTGGGTCTGGACACCTACCATGCATTCTGTGACCTTTCCCTAGCTTCCAATAAATAACTGTTTGACGCCCAGAGTACAGGATACCACAATGCACTCTTCCTGCGTAGAGCACATGTTCCCATCTGCTCCCATTCCTCAGGAACCTTGAATTCTAGCTCTGCTGGCCTTTGAGCCCATGCCAGTAAATGTCCTGATGGGCATTGCCTACTATCTCCAGGGCAGCTGCCTTTGTCCTCCTAACAGCTTTATTGGAGTACAGTTCACTTACCATACAATCCACAATTGACCCTGCACAATTTGATGCCGGTTTAGTATAGTCACAGTTCAGCAGCCATCAGCACAGTCAGTCTTAGAGTTTACTACCCCCAAAAGAAATCCAGCCCCCCTTAGTCACCACCCCAACCTCCCCATCCCTAGGCACCCCTAGGCTACTTTGATCTCTGTAGACTTGCCTCTTCTGGACATGACATAGAGAAAGGAGTCATAAATTCTCCAAGGTGTCTGTTTCTTCTTTAATGTCATTCCCTGTTTCTCCTCACATTCCCTCCCCATTTCCTGGGCCCAGTCTCACACTGGTCCTTGCTTACCCTAAATGCTATTAATTCCATCACTCTGAGTATGGTGTTTGCTGTCCGCTGAATGCCAAGAGCTTCAAGAGTGTGTGTAAATAAAGCCACACCTTTATTTTTGTATTATTCTGAACCATGGCTAATAAATTGTTTCACCAAGAAATGTCTCTCTAAGAACAGGTGCCCTCCACGCTGTGCCCCTCCCACCTCTTCAGCTCGTCTCCTGAGTGTGCAGAGGTGGTTCCGGTTGGGAAAGAAGCAGCGGAGCATCTAACCATGCCTGTGTCCAGGCCGATTATGCACGCAGCCACCAACAAGCTCCCAACTCCCGCGTAGAGTTTCATGACTTTTTCCTGCCTACTATCTTGATCCTAGTTTTTTTTTTGTTTTTTTTTTTTTTAAGGAATAATTACTTTGATTCAAAACCAGTTTCTCTTTTCTGCATAGGAAGGTCCTTGAAGGTGTTTAGGGTCTAAAAAGGGTGGTGTTCGGTCTCTGAAACATCCATTCAGCAGTTTGAGCTGGGATCTCTGAATGCAAGGGTATGATGGATATACTTCTTTCTTGCTTTTGTTGTGTTTTGGTTTTTTGTTTGTTTTTAAGTCAGGGTCTCTCTGTCACCAGGCTGTATTACAGTGGTGCAATCATGGCTCACTGCAGCCTCGACCTCCCAGGCTCAAGCCATCTTTCCACCTCAGCCTGCCAGTGGCTAGAACTACAGGCGTGCACCACTGTGCCCGGCTAATTTGTGTGTATATATTTTGTAGAAATGGGGTTTCACCATGTTGTCCAGGCTGGTCACGAACTCCTGGGCTCAAGCCATCTGCCCGCCTCATCCTCCCAAAGTGCTGGGATTATAGGCCTGAGCCCACCGTGCCTGGCCTTTCCTGTTTATCTTTGAAAATTAAATAGGGCATAAGAGAGAAGAAGATGTACTTACAATGCAGTGGGTGGTTTTAACTCTATAGCCTTTGGGCTCTGTGGTTGGTGCTCCCCTTCCTAAATAAATGAGGTGTATGCAGGGCCCTCTTCTGCCTTAGCGCCCTGCCAGCTGGGACTCCAGCAAGGCCCGGGGCACCTGAGGACAGAGTGAGATGGAGGGCCGCTGCTCCAGCAGCCGGGCCTGCATCCCACAAGTCAACTGTGTCGGACAGAGGATCCTTACAAAGAAGAGGCAGCAGGGTTGGGGGCTGGCCAGCTGCTCGTCCGCCCTAGGTAGCTTGCTCATCTGTAAAGTGGGTGGGGCAGGAGTTCCCACCTCATGGGGTCCTGGCAAGCCTGCAGTATCCCCGAGTGGCACCAGCCTGCTTCTGGGGCAGAGCAGTTTGTGCCCCCTGAGGTACCACTGATCCTCTTTCCCTGCTATTAGGTATTGCTCTCTTCCTCCGGTGTTTGCCTTTTCAGATTATAGAAGTAATATGTGTTCCCATATTTGGCGTCTCTCAGGAGCTCAGGAAGTACTTGGCTGAGTGAACATGTCCATTGTGGAAAAATGGCAACAATATGGATTCCATGGGTATATTTTATAGAAGAATATGAAGAAAAGCAGCTACCCCTAAACCCATTGCACAAGCTGTTCATGTTAATTCTGTACCCGACGCTTTCCCCACGGGGCCTCCCCTCACTCTGAAATGGCATCCAGGTCCATCTTGCCCTCCACCTCTGCATGGCTCTCCATGCCCCATCGCCTCTCCCAGATCCTAGCACTGGGTCCACACTCTCGCCCTGTCCATTTAGGTTGATGAAAGCAGGCAGTCACCCGGGTGGGCCAGTCTTGCCTGTGGGAGGAACATGCAGTCTCCTGTCTCATGGTTTGAAGTGTGCCAGGAAGCCTGGCCCAGCCCACCTCCCCCTGGAGTCCTTCCCAGGAGGAATAACCCCTTAGGTCATTGACTATAAGATGAGTTCGCTCACTGGATCCTTCCTCTCTGATGAGACAGGAAGAAGGTACACAGTGACCAGGTAGGAGGAGGAGAGGGAGTAGAAAGGAGGGATGCGGGTGGCTGGTCCCTGCATTTGCCTGCTTCCCTGCACGGGTGTCCCACTGGCCGCCTCTGCTCACCAGTGTCATGGGATTCTCTCAGAAGATGAAAACAGCCCCTGCTTTTTTGCTAGAATGGCTGAGCTTTCATGGAAAGGAAGCTGGACCCAAGCAACAGCCGACTACCGAAGGTTGCCTGGAGCAGTGCAGATGTGGGAGGAAGAAGGGCCTTGGTGCACACTGGCTTTTCTTCCTGACTGCAATGTGGCATTGTGCCAGCTACCTCCTCTTTCTCGGCCTCAGGAAAATGGAGAGAAAGCAGCCCTGAAGGTGGCTGTGACGAGGGAAGGGGCAGAGGGCCTGACAGTCAACCACGCGCTATATTTTCCTGTTCTTCCTTAGGGCAAGAACTGCATGGCCAGACTCAGGCAAGGCCTAGGTGTGGGCTGGGCATTGCCTACACGTGAAGAGATCACTCCGCGTCCCTACTGCACCTGTCACAAAGTGCCTTCTGATATGCCTGGCAAACCAAAATCGGTGAGCGCCAGCTTGCTTCCCTAGAAGACATTTCTAAATATTCATAACATGCTTGCTCAAATCAATCACCTTATTTTACATCCGCTCCAGGGAGAAATGAAGACATGGTCCTACGTTGTTCTGTAATTATTTTCTATGTAAATTTTGTTCCTTGTTACAATTATATATGTCTTAGGGGAAAGGACCATTTCACATGTGTCACCTCATGTGATTCTCACCACAGCCCTGTGATTGCTCCTGTTTTATAAATAATGACATAGTTCCAGTTGATGGCCAAAGCCACAGCTAACGAGAGGCAGAGAGAGCTCAGGCTCCCAGGAGCTTCCACTCTCAGACCTTGCCTCCCGGGCTGCCCTGAGTGAAACGCCTGCTTAGCATTTGGCACAGCCAGAAGCAGCAAGCTAGGGTCACAACACAGAGAGGGGCTGTGTAATACTGGCTGCCTCTGTGCTAAGAAAAAAAAAAAATCACTGTGTGTTTGTTTATTTTGGTGCAGGCCCAGTGTTCTTGCTTAGACTTAATACTACCCTTCATGTTAAAATAAAACCAAACAAAAACCCATGGCCTTGTTCTTCTTATTCATACGTAAGAATTTGTGCTTCTGGCTGGGGCAAGAGTGATAGAGGAGGGCACAGTATTTAAAAATTAGTTTCTCAAGATGTTCCCCCTTTGGAAAGCTACTCTTTTAGAAAGAAATGGGAAGCCGGGCGTGGTGGCACACTTCTGTAGTCCCAGCTACTTGGGAGGCTGAGGCAGGAGGATTGTTTGAGCCCAGGAGGTTGAGGCTGCAGTGAACTATGATGGCGCCACTGCACTCCAGCCCAGGTGACAGAGTGAGACCCTGTCTCAAAAACAAAGAAAAAGAAAGAAGGAAGGAAAGAAAAGTGAGAGAGAGCCGAGGGTGATGAGAAAAAATCGTTCTCAGGCTGAGTCCATTAGAGCTGAGCTGGCTGTGCCAACAAAGCATGTCAAGACACTCACCAGCTCCAGGCCACAGCTTCACTGCCTCCCTGAAAAACATGCCAACTGCCTAGAAGGGCCAAGGTGTACCCATAATGTTAACACAAACTTATAAAATAATGGCGAATGTCACAGTGACATTTAAGAATTTTGTAAGGAAACCAGGACAGAAAAGATCTTAAAACAAACCACACAGGAAGCTTGTCACAAGTCTCAAGTTTTTTATTTTCAGAACAGAGTCTGGTTTTATTTTTAAAAAGAGAAGGAAAAAAGTGATAAATGCTAGTGAGGTGCCACTTCCCTCCTTCTTCCAGGCTCTAACCGCCAGCTAGCTCTCTTTCACAAAACCCACGGATGCAGAATCAGGACATGTTAAAATGGAACAGTCTTTAGAGAGGGTCTAGTCTTTTTAAAATAAGTAAGGATTTGGGGACTAACAGAGAGGAAGCCCCTGACTTGCTGAATTGTTAGGAGCAGGCGGTTCTCGAGATTCTGAGCCCAGGATCCTTTTCTGTGAACCATGCACGTGCTGGCACTGGCCTCAGGAGACAGTGCCCTGCCTTGGCTGTCAGGTCCACGGAGAAATCTCAGGTTTGCCCCTTCACTAGGGATGCCCTAGAAAGCAAGGGCAAAGGAAGCTTTAGGGGTCATCGTGACTGGGGCAGGGGAAGTGAGTGCAAGGACTCAAGAAAAACACAGCAGAGGAAGGGACTGACCCTCTGAGCACACAGTGGTTGACCCACATGTGTAAAAGAGGGTGACTGGGGCTGAACTGGGGGCCTGATATCTGCCAGAATTGGCCAAGTTGCCATCAGCTTCTTGACATATCCAGGGAAGTGGCAGCTCATTGGAACTTATCACAGCCTCCCACCAAAAACCTAACAAACAGTACAGAGATTTTACAGTCAGGGAGGCCCAGCAGGAGATGGCCATCCAAACAATAGAAGGGGGGCAGATCAGGGGGCCAGCCAGCGGCTGGCCATGGCTCAGACACAATGTCCTTTCACAGTCACTGAGATTAGGTAGCAGAGAAACACAGCAAAGCTGGAGAGAGGACATGGGAACAGCGAGCAGCTGTTGGTACCCACCCAGGGCCCAGGCCCCAGAACCTTGAGTACAATCAAAGGGAGAGGAGAGGAGTCAGTGGGGGCAGGGGAAGAAGGCAGAAAAAAATACCAATTAAGTGTGAAATCCAGCCAGCTATTGGGCCACATAGGGTGAGGGACTGGAAGCACAGATTGTGCATGGAGTGTAAACATTTTCCCCCGCTGTTCCCTGCTCTGAGAGCATGAGGAGGCTCAAGAGAACTCTGGTCAAGCCTTCTGCCCCTCTTATGTCTGTCTACAAGGGTGTCTTCTGCTCCAAGCCCCCAAAACAGTTGTAAGAGGGGGCTTCAAGTGGGAGGCGGGGGCTTGGCCTGGGTGCTGAGTTAACGGCCAGTGACTTGGCACTTCTGACCCTCCCTGTGCACTCTGCAGCTGTGCCAGGCCCTGCCCCACACCCAGCCCAGGCACCCAAGCCCTCCCTCCGGCCTTCTCTGCTGGGGCTTCACACACCCAGTACAGAGCAGGGAATGTTCTGCAAGTGCAGCCTGGCTGGCTTCTCTCCCAGCCACCTTTACAGGGAGCATCAGGACCAGGGCTTTCAAGAGCCACAAACTCAAAAGAATGTGAGAGCTGAAATTACCTTCAACCTTAGAGATCACTCATCTAACTTCTACTTTTTTAATGTGAGAAAACAGGCCCAGGAAATAAAAATATGTCACTCAAAGCCAATGAGTGACAGAATCAGAACTAGAATCCACATCTTCTGGTAACTCGTCTAGAGTTTGTTACACTACATAAAACTTCCCAAACGTAAGAAGGGAGAAGGGGAAACAAAAATTCTTCAAGTTTCACCCCCACCACATCCTGTTGAGGGTGGAGGGAAGTGAGTATTTCCTGGCCTTGTTAGCTGCTGTCCTCCTGCACCCTTAAAATATGTAAAAATACTTATCCTGCCTCAAAGACTGCAAGAGTGACATTCCACACCGACTGTAAGTGCACAGTCCCCGGATGTCTCTTGTCATCACCCTCAATGAGAGGAAGAGGGAAAGTTCTGCAGCCTGCCTTGGCCCTAGTGAGACTCTTAACCAGACCAGAGGTGGGAGGTCACCACCTCACTTTCTGATCTACACTTCCTAGAGGAAGGACAGGTGGGGAATGGGGCTTCCTACTCCCTTGGGCCCATGGGAGGCCCAACTTCACATCCATCCAGGAAACCCACCAAAGCTATTACTCTAAGCCCAGATCCGACCCAGTCGGCACCAAACCACAGGAAGGATAAGAGTTCTAGGTGCAGAGGGAGGAACAGAGAGAGGCCAAGCCAATGGCTGATACTCCGCAGACCCTGTAATAACACTGGCACCAAACCCCAGCTGGAGCCAGTGGCCATGGCAAATGCAACTTCTGAGTATTTTGTCTTCATTTTTTGCAAGCAGCATCAGTGCATGATGCAACAAAAGTTGAAAGCACGGAGGTAGAAATGCTCACTCACCCAAGAAAGGGTGCAGTTTGGTCCTTAGAGAATGGATCCCCTCCTCTCCCTGAGCTGAGAAGAGAGGAGCAGTATTGAGGAAGATCCTGGGTGAGATTCTCCCTTCAAGGGGAGTACCTGGGCAGCTCCCAGGGGCCCAGCTCTTCCTGGGAATTCATGGTCACAAATCCAGGCAGAAAAGAGGAGGGTGGTGATAAGTATGGTGTAGGGGGCAGGGCCTCCCCAGATCTCCTACCCATTGCAAAGGGCCACAGGGTGGACACGAGAAAACAACACTACACACACAGAGACATACACTTTGTATCTATCACCTGGAAGAAATCCAAGAGACACATCAGTGGAAAGTGGGTTCTGGGTCAATTTCAAGGCATGGGACAATGGCCACTAACCACAGCCTAAAAGAGGCTGGCACTTCTAAGCAAGGGAGAAGGTCCAAGGCCCAGCACCCCTCTCCTCCTAATGGATGGGAATTAGAGTGGAGGTGGGCAAAGCAAGAAGCAGAGGTACCAGCCCCTTGGAGGTCAGGATTGGGGTAGGATAGGAGAAGAGAGGAGAGGGTAAGTGCACCTACCTCCCTCACCGTTAACTGCTGGTCTCCCTCCAAGCCGTCCTCACCCCAGGGTGCAGAAGAACACCCTGGCCCTTAGCCCTGAAAAGGGTTACCTCTTCCAAATAGACCCTGATCAAATCTAGGTGACAGAAGGTAGAAGACAAGGGGGTTGGGGACTCTCAACCCAAAAACAAGGACCCGTGCCCTTCACCCTCAATTCTGAGAGGCCACAGCCAGGGTGTTGACATAGCCATGAGCACCCCCCTCGTTCTCCGAGATGCAGTGGCCCAGCTGGGAGCCTCCCTGAGGTGGTGGCGGAGGTGGTGGAGGGGCGGAGGGCGGAGCACCGTAGCCCCCTCTGGCCCGACTCGGGGAGGCCCGATTGCCCCGGTCCCAGCAGCCCTCCAGGGCCTCCAGGCCCCGGCAGCCGAGGAAGAAGAGGTTCTTGAGCATGAAGATGGAGAGGGGCTGCTGGTAGCTGACCACCAGGAGGCAGCGCAGCGCCAGCAAGGGCACGTCCACCAGGCAGCCGCCCAGCAGGCGCAGAAGGCGGCTGCAGCTGCCAGGCCCGGAGGCCTGGCCCCAGGATGCAGCCGCTGCGGCCGCGGCGTTGAGCTCGTAGAGCCAGAGCACCGGCGAGGCGAGGGTGAGGAAGTAGACGGCGATAAGCAGGTAGCGCAGGTGCGCGGGCAGCGGCACGCGGCCCTCCAGCATCAGCTCCACCAGCGTGAAGCTGTCGAGCAGGTCCAAGCACGTGCCCAGGAAGCATCCGGCCGCGCGGTGCCGCTGGGGCTGCAGCAGCAGGGGTCCTGCCGATCCCGGGGGCGCGCCCGCCTCGCTGATGGCCCGCACCAAGCTGTAGAGCAGGGGCACCGACAGCGCCATGGTGAGACGGAAGCCCGTGGTGCCGAAGGGCGCGCGTAGCTCGATGAGGTCTAGGATGGACGTGCCCAGGATCAGCACCACCTTGGGAGTGAAGGCGATGGAGTAGATAAGCCAGGCCAGGTAGGCGAAGGCGAACTCGCCCGCTGCCGCGGCCGCCCCCAGGCCGCCCCCCGCGCCGCCGGCGCCCCCGCGGGCTCCGCGTGCCTTGGCCCCAGCGGTAGCGGCCGAGGGGGCGGGCAGATGCAGGGGCGGCGCGGCGTGGTGGTGGTGCAGGTGGTGGTTGTGCGCGCCGCTGGCTGCGCCGCCCCGACGGCCCCGGCTGTTCTTGGCGAAGAAGATGGCCCAGCCCACCACCACCACCAGGTCAGTGGCGATCCAGGAGCACCAGTACAGGTCGGTGACGGCGATGAGGTACAGGTCCAGCAGGCCGCCCTGCGCCAGCAGCAGCACCACGGACAGCGCCTGGTAGCCCCAGCGGCACCTGGGACTGGGGGCGCAGCCGCGGCGCCGACCTCTGCGGCCGGGGCGGTCTGGGCAGCCGCAGCAGCAGCAACACGGGCAGCAGGAGGCGCCGCTGCCGGTCCCGGTGCCGCCCGCGCCCCCCGCCGAGCGGCTCCCGGGGCCCCCGACGGCCCCGGCCGCGGCGCCCCCGCCGAAGTCCGCGGCTGTCATGCTGCAGGAGGAGGTGGGCGTGGAGGTGGAGGAGGAGGTGGCCGCTGAGGAGGAGAAGGCGACAGGCGCGGGGCCGGCGGGGGCGCCCACCTGAGCCGGCGGCCCCAGGAGCGCGGCGTTGGGCACCAGCGGCTTGCTGACGCTGAGGCTCTCGTCGTCGTCCTCGCGCTCGGCGCCCGTGCTGCTGCTCGGGGAGCCGCCGCCCCCGCCGCGTCTGCCGCCGCCTCCCCCGCGGCTGGTGCTGGTGCTGGTGCTGCTGTCGCCGGAGCCTCTCCGGCCGCGGAAGGAGCCCCCGCGGAGGAAGAGGGGCTGCAGCCGGGCGGCTGCCGGGGGCGGCGGGAAGGAACCGGACGCGGAGGAGACCGAGCGAGGGTGGCCGAGCGCCGGGCGCATTGTCCTCCGAGGGGCTCTGGGGCCGCCCAGCTGTTCCCTCCCCGCCAACCCCGGGCGGGCGAGGCGGGCTAGGCGGCCGAGGGGAGCCGGGGCCCGCCGCCTCCCCAGCAGTGGGGACTCGCACCTGGGCCGGGCGGCGGCGAGATCCGGACTGGAGCCACTGGACTGGGCGAGCCGGGCCGGGCGGCAGGGAGAGGGGGCAGGCGGTGAACCGAGCGGACCGCGGTGAAGACAGGCGAGGCGGGGGCGGGGCGGGGCGGGGCGGGGAGCGAGTCCCGCCGGGAGGGAGGGAGGCTGGCGGCGGGGAAACCAGGACTGGATTCGAGGGGGAGAGGAAGCAGCGAGACCAGAGGAGGAGAAAGCGCGGCGCGCTGGATCAACGGGAAGAGAAGGGGCGGGGGTGCAGTGCGTCACAGTCGGGTCGGGAGCCCTGTGGCCTGGAGGAAGCGGGAGGAGGCGCGGGCAGCCGCCAGGGCGAGGCGACCCGGTGCGGGGGGACTCCCATGGAGCGCGGACTCCTAAGGAAGTCGCTGGGAATCCCACCGGCTGTACCGCAGGGCGTTAGTACCTAGATGGCTTCGGTGCCCCCAAGCGATGGGCTCAAGCTACAGGGCGGGCTTTGCACCTGGCCTTCTCAGCTCTGAGGCAGGCAGTGGGCAGCTTCGCCTCCACCCTCCGTCCAGCGCCCTTCCCATGGGGCCATCCGCCTCTCCCTAAGGCACTAAAAACCAGTGGAGGAGTCAGGCCATGTTGGCAAAAAGGGCTCGGGCAGCAGCCCCAGACCTATAGTCCTAAATATCCATGTACCCAGCCCTGGGGTCGCGAGCCATCTCAGGGACGACCCGATTCCAGCGGATGGAGAAGTTCCCTGAAAACACCTGCCTGGGAGGAGAGACGAGGGAACGAGATTGGGCAAGTGGCATCCGCCCAGCGGGCTTCTCAAAGGTTTTTAAAGCAGAATGGGACGTAATAGGAAGATGTGTCTAGCAGAGAGTAAAATAAAGGGGCATTTAGAGGTGTGGGCACCTGGATGAAAACAAAGGCTCCAAAGGGATGATGGTGAGGGTTACAGCCCACCACAGTAGACAGAGACACCAAGGAAGGAATGCAGTCAGTGGCCCTGCGTAGACAGTCTCAGGAGAGAGCACACCAGCTCACCCCAGGACTCATCCAAGGCTGGGGATGGATGTCGATGCAGCAACTCTGGAAGGCAGAAGGTAGAGTGCTGCCTTTAGGGGTTTAAGGGAGAAGGAAATGACTAGAGCAGTTGGGGCTCAAAAACAATCTGAGGTTCACCAATAATGGAAACATCCCATTCCCAGCCCCATGAAAACAAGGCAGAAAGCTTGCCTGCCCTATTGGCCTCTGCACCCTTGTGGGGCCTGTGGGCTCCCTGATTTCATGACCTTTGAAGCTGCTGCTGCGGGCTCATCTCCCCTAGGTAACAGCTTGCAGCGTGATAACACCATGCAGTGTGAGGGAGCTGTATGCAGTGGAGCCGCAGGGGTTAGTCAGGCCTCGCCCCTAAATCTGCCTCTTAAATAAGAGTCCGTTTCAGCCAAACCTGCCTTTTCCAGTTCCGTGGAGGTCAGTCTGCACAGCCAATCCCTGGTAAATATACAATTTAGAACCTGCACCATCTCCACCTCCCCCACACACACCACTTTTGGAAAGCTGGCATGGTGGTGAGGGCAGGAGCTCTGGGGCCGCCATCCCACCTGTGCCACTTAACACCTTTGTGGTCTTAGCCTGAATATTTCACCTCAGAATGTTGATCTGTAAACAGGACCCCACCCCAGCCGGGCGCGGTGGCTCACGCCTGTAATCCCAGCACTTTGGGAGGCCGAGGCGGGCGGATCACCTGAGGTCGGGAGTTTGAGACCAGCCTGACCAACATGGAGAAACCCCATCTCCACTAAAAGTACAAAACTAGCCGGGCATGGTGATAATCCCAGCAATTTGGGAGGCAGAGGCGGGCAGATCACCTGAGGTCAGGAGTTTGAGACCAGCCTGGCCAACACAGTGAAACTCCGCCTCTACTAATAATACGAAAATTAGCCAGGGGTGGTGGCACGCACCTGTAATCCCAGCTACTCGGGAGGCTGAGGCAGGAGAATCGCTTGAACCCGGGAGGCAGAGGTTGCAGTGAGCCAAGATTGTGCCATTGCACTCCTGCCTGGGCAACAAGAATAAAACTCCATCTCAAAAAAAAAAAAAAAAGGACCTCACTCCTACCTTAAGGGATTGTTGTGAGTATGAAGAGAGATCATGTGTGTAATCTCTCTTCGATGACAGAGCCAGTCCCTGGCTCAGAGTCCATGCTCAGTTAAAGGTCTCTGTGTTATCATCATTCCATTAGCCCATGCCTTAGCCTCCCAGGGAACATCGACTCATAGCAGGGGCCACCAATGGCTGTTTTCTGCCTGGACTCTTGAGTTCTGCTCCCCAGTAGCGTTGCACTTTGGTAAGTGCCCAGGAACAAAGCTGCCATGGTTAGGAGCACTGATTCTTGGAGCCGGTCTTCTCAGGCTCACAGTGTGAGACATTCAGGGTGCCAGTTGGGGCCAGGGTCCACCCATGTGGGGCAGGGTGAGGTCAGGAGTTCAAGACCAGCCTGATCAATATGGTGTTTCACCAATACTCCGTCTGGGGGGAAAGCAAACAAACAAACACTTCAGTCCTACCTGAGGTGCCCAAAAATAAACAAACAAACAAAAAACCTGGCCGGGCACATTTGAGATCAGCCTGGGCAAGATAGCAAGACCTCATCTCTAAAAATAATTTTTTTTTTCAAGACAGAATCTTGCTCTATCCCCCAGGCTGTAGTGCAGTGGTGCGATCTCGGCTCACTGCAACCTCCGCCTCCCGGGTTCAAGCGATTCTCATGCCTCAGCCTCCCAAGTAGCTGGGAATACAGGCGCCCGCCACCACACCTGGCTCATTTTTGTATTTTTAGTAGAGACAGGGTTTCTCCATGTTGGTCAGGCTGGTCCCGAACTCCCGACCTCAGGTGATCTGCACGCCTCAGCCTCCCAAAGTGCTGGGATTACAGGCATGAGCCACCACACCTGGCCATAAAAATAATTTTTTTTTTAAGTAGCCAGACGTGGTGGCATGTGCCTGTGACTCCTAGCCACCCAGGAGGCTAAAGTGGGAGGGTCATTTGAGGCCAGGAGTTCGAAGTTACAATGAGCTATGATCATGCCACTGTACTCCAGCTTGGGTGACAGAGCAAGACCCTGTCTCAAAGAAAAGAAAAGAAACCTTTAGATTTCAAGTATATAGTAGTCCTCCCTTTATCCATGAGGGATTCATTCCAAGACCTCCAGTGGATGCCTGAAACTGAAGATATACATATACTATGTTTATTTTCCTATACATACCTATGATAAAGTTTAATTTATAAATTAGGTACCATAAGAGATTAAGAATAGTAACTAATAATAGAACAATTATAACAATATATTATAATAAAAGTGTATGTGAATGTGGTGCCTCTCTATCTCAAAATATCTTAATATTTTCAGACAGTGCTTTACCATGGAACTGAAACCATGAAAAGTGAAACTGCAAATGGGAGAGACTGCTGTATAGTCACTGAAAAATTAATGGATGAGCTCAACAGCAAATTAGACACAACTGAAGTGAGTAAATTTAACAATATATATGAAGACATTCTCTAGAATGTAGTACAGAGAGCTAGAGACTGAAAATATCTAGGAGACAAGAGACATGAGAGATAGATTGGAATATCCAAAATATGTCTAACAGAAGCTCCAGAAGGAGAATATAAAACAATAAGGGAAGGACAATACAGAAATTTGAACTGAGAATTTTCCAAAATTGGTGAAAGAACTTCTCCAACCCACAGATTTAGGAATTGCAATGAATCCTAAACAGGATGAATAAAAATAAACATGCTCCGAGATGTTTTCAAGTAAAATTGTAGAACTCTAGACAAGAAAAAGATCTTAAGAGAAATCAAACAGTAAAAAAAAAATTACTTACAACAAACAACAATTAGATTAATGGCAGACTTCTCATCAGAAATAACAGAAGTCAGAATGCAGTGGATGGTAGAAATAAAGCTAAATAATCAGTAATCACAATAGATGTCATATTAAACGACACATGATCAGATGGATTTTTTTTAAATGTCCAGTTATAGGCTTTTATAAGAAATATCCCATGGCCTGGCATGGTGGTTCACGCCTGTAATCCTAGCACTTTGGGAGACTGAGGCAGAAGGAACCCTCAAGCCCAGACTGGGCAACAAAATGAGATGCCATTTCTACCAAAAAAAAAAAAAACCATTTTTTTTTTTGAGGGACGCAGGTTTTGTTTTTGTTTTTGTTTTTTTTAATGGAGTTTCACTCTCGTTGCCCAGGCTGGAGGGCAATGGTGAGATCTCAGCTCACCACAACCTCCTCCTCCCAGGTTCAAGCGATTCTTCTGCCTCAGCCTCCCGAGTAGCTGGGATTACAGGCATGCGCCAACACACCCAGCTAATTTTGTAATTTTAGTAGAGACGGGGTTTCTCCATGTTGGTCAGGCTGATCTCGAACTCCTGACCTCAGGTGATCCTCCCACCTCGGCCTCCCAAAGTGCTGGGATTACAGGCGTGAGCCACCATGCCCGGCCTTCAAAAAATCGTTTTTAATTAGCCAGGTGTAGTGATACATGCCTGTAGTCCCAGCTAGTCAGAAGGCTGAAGTGGGAGGATCCCTTGAGCCCAGGAGTTGGAGGTTGCAGTGAGCTATGATCACGCCATTGCACCCCAGCCTGGGTGACAGAGCAAGACCCTGTCTCAAAAATAAATAAATAAAAGAAAAAGAGAAACATCCCTAAAATATAAAGACAAACAAAGTAAAAAAGGGCTGAAGAAAAAATACACAAATATAATTTAATGCATGTATATAATTAAACTAGGCAAATATCAACTTTAAAAAGTGGGTTTGGCAATATTAATACCAAAAAAATAAACTATATGACAAAGAATATTCTTAGGGATAAAGAAGTTCACTATGTAATGATAGAAGACAGTACACCATAGTAGTGAAGGGCACATACTCTATAGCCAGACTACCTGGATTCAAACCCTGACTCCACCATTTAGTTTTATTTTATTTTTATTTATTTTTTTTATTTTTTGGAGACGGAGCCTCACTTTGTCACCCAGGCTCGAGTGCAGTGGCACGATCTCGGCTCACTGCAACCTCTTCCTCCCAGGTTCAAGCAATTCTCCTGTCTCAGCCTCCCAAGTAGCTGGGATTATAGGCGCCCGTCACCACACCCAGCTAATTTTTTTTTGTATTTTTAGTAGAGACAGAGTTTCACCATGTTGGCCAGGCTGTTCTTGAACTCCTGACCTCAGGTGATCTGCCCACCTCGGCCTCCCAAAGTGCGGGGATTACAGGCATGAGCCACCGCGCCTGGCTGACTCCACCATTTAGAAGCTGAGTGACCTTAGGCAAATTACTTAATCTCTCTTTCCTTGATTTTCCCACTAGAAAATGGGGAAAATAATAGTACCCACTTCACAGAGTTGTTATGAGGAGTAAATGAATTAATAGATAGAAAGTGCTCAGCACAAAGTGCTATATACATATTTGCTGCTGTAAAAGGACCAAGTTCCAGAAAGACCATAGTTCTGAATGTGTGTGTATTCAATAACATTGCCCTAAAATATATAAATAAAAATGGGTAATATTTATGAGACACTGGCAAATAACCTAATGATAGTAAGAAATATAAACACATCTCTCAGTAATTGATAGTTCACACAGATAAAACATTGGTACAGATGTATACAAGTTGAACCATATCATTAACAAGCTTGATCTAAATGGCTGAATTTAGAGCTCTGTACCTCCAAAACTAGATACTACACATTGTTTACAATTTTACATGCAACATTTACAAAGCCTGACCATGTACAGACCAATCCTTTGACCTCACAACAATTAGATTAGAATAAAATAACAAAACAACGACCAACCACCCCCCACATATTTGGAAGTGTAAAGACATACTTCCAAATGAATCATCCAAAAATTAGAAAATATTTAGAACTAAATGAACATGAAAATACCACCTGTCAAAATGGATGGGACATAGCCAAAGCAGAAGAAGAACATTTATAGCTTTAAATGTTTGTGTTACAAAGGAGAAAATTGAACATTTAATAAGGTAAACATCCAACTTAATAAATTGGCTGAGCACAGTGGCTTGTCATTCCAGCACTTTGGGAGGCTAAGGCAGGAGGGTCACTTGAGGCTAGTAGTTTGAGATCAGCCTGGGTAACATAGCAAGACGTTGTCTCTATAAAAAATTAAAATATTAGCCAGGCATGATGGTACATGCCTGTAGACCCAGCTACTTGGGAGGCTGAGGTGAAGACCTCTTGAGCCCAGCAGTTTGAGGCTACAGTGATCCATGATCACACCACTTCCAGCCTAGGCAACAGAGTGAGATCCTGTCTCAAAATAAGTAAATAAAAGTTGGAGAAAGAAAAGCAAGTACAATGAAAACACAAAGAAGGAAATATGGTTGGGCATGGTGGCTCATTCTTGTAATCCTAACACTTTGTTTTTTGTTTGTTTATTTGTTTGTTTTGTTTTGAGATGGAGTCTTACTCTGTCGCCCAGGCTGGAGTGCAGTAGTGCGATCTCAGCTCACTACAACCTCTGCCTCCTGGGTTCAAGCAATTCTCCTGCCTCAGCCTCCTGAGTAGCTGGGACTACAGGCACACGCCATCATGCCCGGCTAATTTTTGTATTTGTAGTAGAGACGGGGTTTCACCATGTTAACCAGGATGGTCTTGATCTCCTAACCTCGTGATCTGCCAGCCTCAGCCTCCCAAAGTGCTGGGATTACAGGCGTGAGCCACCGCACCTGGCAATCCTAGCACTTTGAGAAGCCAAGGCATCAACTTTCAAATTGGGTAACAGGTAGAGGCTGAAAGAGTTTTGAGGTGTATGCTAGAAATGTGGACATTAAGGGTGATCCTGATGAGGACTCAGAAAGAAAAGAGGAGAGCTGTAGCGAAACCTCAATCTTCTTAGAGAATACCTAAGTAATCCTGAACAGAATGCTGGTGGGAATATATAGTAAGGCCATTCTTTATTTTTTTTTAATTTTTTTTTTTTTAACAAAGTCTCACTGTGTCGCCCAGGCTGAAGTGTAGTGGTGTGATCTTGCTGCAACCTCCACTTTCTGGGTTCAAGTGATTCTCCTGCCTCAGCCTCCCGAGTAGTTGGGACTACAGCTGCATGCCACCACACCCGGCTAATTTTTGTATTTTTAGTAAAGACGGGGTTTCACCATGTTGACCAGGCTGGTCTAGAACTCCTGACCTCAAGTGATCCACCCGCCTTGAGCTCCCAAAGTGCTGGGATTACAGGCAGTAAGGCCATTCTGATGGGGCCACAGATGGAAATGAAGAACATTTACTGGAAGCTGGACAAAAGGCCATCCTTGTTAGGAAGAAGCAAAGAGCTTAGCTAAATTGTGTTCATGTTCTATCATTTTGTGGAGGTAACAATTGCAAGCAATGAAACTTGCAATTGGATGTTTGGCTTAGGAAATCTCTAAACAAAGTATTGAAGGAGTTACCTAGCTCCTTCTGACTGCTTCCAATAAAATTCAAGAGAGACATAAATGACTTAAAGACAGAACTGTTAAGCAAAAAGTAATAAGAACTTGAAATTCTGAAAAATGATCAGCCCATCCATATAGAAAAGAACGAGAACCCAGTTTGGAGAGAACACTAACGGTGTTGCTCTGTTGCCAAGCTCCTTTAGTAAGAGTAGTATGGATCAGCCATTGCAACAGAAGCTAGGAGCTGTTCTCCAAGATAATGGAAGAAGGACCCTGAAGGCAATTCAGAGATCATGAGAGTTGGCACTCCCATCACCAGCCCAGAGTGCAAGGACCCACAGTGCAGAGCAGATTCAAAGGCTGGCCACCTCTCTGGTCCAGGCCAACCAAGGAGCAGGAATTAGGCCCTCACCAGACACCAAATCTGCTGATGCCTTGATCTTGGACTGTCCAGTCTCCAAAAGTATGAGAAATAAATTTCTGTTTTCACAGGACACCCAGTCTATGGTCTTCTAATAGCCTGAATGGACTAAGACATAGACCAATTGCACTTATGAACATAGACAAAGAACTCCTGAACAAATTACCAGCAGTAGCGGCCAGCAACATGTAACATAACCAACTTGGTTTTATCCCAGGGATGAAAGAAAGAGTTAAAGATGACAACAGGCTGGGCATAGTGACTCACGCCTGTTATCCCAACATTCTAGAGGCCAAGGTGGGAGGAGCGCTTGAAGCCCAGGAGTTTGAGAGCCGCCTAGGCAACATGGCAAGACCTCACCTCTACAAAAAATTAAACAATAAAATTAGCTGGGGTGTGGTGGCACATACCTGTAGTCCCAGCTACTTGGGAGGCTGAGGCGGGAGAATTGTTTAAGCCCGGGAGGTCGAGGCTGCCGTGAGCCAGGACTGCACAACTGTACTGCAACCTGGGTGACAGAGAGAGACCCTGTCTCCAAAAAAAAAAAAAAAAAAAAAGATAAAAACAAAATATATTAATATGGTTTACCATATTAACAGATTAAAGGAGAAGAACACTTAAGATCAACTCAACAAATACAGAGAAACAAACATTTAATATCTATTCATGAATTTCAACAAAAATTGAGCAAAACAAAATTTTTTGCTCTATTGGTCTTGCTCTGTTGTCCAGACCAGAGTGCAGTGGCACAATCATAGTTCACTGCAGGTTTGAATCCTGGGCTCAAGCAACCCTCCTGCCTCAGCCTTCCAAGTAGCTGTGACTACAAGCATGTGCCACCACGCCCAGCTATTTTTTTGTTTGTTTGTAGAGAGAGGGTCTCCCCATGTTGCCCAGGCTAGTCTCAAACTCCTGGACTCAAGAGATCCTCCTGCTTCTGCCTCCCAGAGTGCTGGGATTATAGGTGTAAGCCACCAAGCCTGGCCAGAATTTCTTTATTCCTAGTAAATAGTAATATGGCAACAGAGACAGACTAGATGCTGTTCAATCCCATTTCCTCTTCCTAGACAGAGAAAGACCACATTTCCCATCCTCTTTGCAGTCACATTAGAACCATGTGGCTAGCCAATAAACATGCACACATGTGGCACCCACCACAGCCTGGTTCGGCCATAAATCCCTTCACAGTTATCCATTCACACTCTCTCCCACAGACCTTGGACCCATGTGTGGAAGATGACAGCATCACCAACTGGAGGGTGCCTGGATCCCTGAGTCACCACTTGAAGCAAAAAGGTCAAGAGTAGCCACCTGACCCATATCAGGCTATGAAATGAGTAAGAAAGAAAGATTTTGTGAGGCCACATTTTCATACATGTGTAGGTCTGTTTCTGGGTACTCTCCTTTGTGCCATTGGTTTGTGTCTCTCCCTCTGCCAGTAGTACAGTGTCTTAATTACTGTAACTTCATAAAAATGTTTGATATCTGATAGGCAAGTCCAGGGTCAAGACAGGATGAATTCCTCTAGAACAAGGGAATTTCTCGTTTCTTTTCTTTCTTTCTTTTTTTTTTTTTTTTTTTGAGATGGAGTCTCACTCTGTCATCCAGGCTGGAGTGCAATGGTGCAATCTCGGCTCACTGCAACCTCCGCCTCTCGGTTTCAAGTGATTCTCCTGCCTCAGCCTCCCGAGTGGCTGGGACTACAGGCACGTGCCACCTGCCTGGCTAATTTTTGTTTTGTTTTGTTTTGTTTTTAGTAGAGATAGGGTTTCACTATGTTGGCCAGGCTGGTTTCAAACTCCTAACCTCAAGTGATTCGCCTGCCTCGGCCTCCCAAAGTGCTGGGATTACAGGCGTGAGCCACCGAGCCCGGCCCTCATTTCTTAACACTGCATTTGGTAGGAGAGCAACAGTCATTTATATGTGAATAAATGAAGCCGAAAGAGGAAGTTAGAAAGACCAAAGGGGCCGGGCGCGGTGGCTCCCGCCTGTAATCCCAGCACTTTGGGAGCCCGAGGCAGGCGGATCACGAGGTCAGGAGATGGAAACCATCCTGGCTAACACAGTGAAACCCCGTCTCTACTAAAAATTAAAAAAATAAAATTAGCCGGGGGTGGTGGCGGGTGCCTGTAGTCCCAGCTACTGGGGAGGCTGAGGCAGGAGAATGGCGTGAACCCGGGGGGCGGAGCTTGCAGTGAGTCGAGATCGTGCCACTGCACTCCAGCCTGAGCAACAGAGCGAGACTCCGTCTCAAGAAAAAAAAAAAAAAGAAAGACCAAAGGAAGAAGCAGACAAGAAAGGAAGAAGGAACACCCCTCCCCTCTCCAAAGAGACAGCTCCAGGAACGCCAAGGCTGCTCGCCTAGGGATGCAGAGCCAGAAAGCTCAAATCAGAGGGGGAGGAGGTAGGGAAGGAGTTTCAAGCTAGACTCCTATTCTCTCTCTCCATCCCCTCTCACCCCAAAAAGAGAGAAAATGACACGAGGCTTTGGAACCAAGAGCTGGAGGAACCTGGAAGCGAAAGCTGAGGCTGTCGGCTGCCCAGCAGTTAACACCCTGAGACCATCTTCCCACTTCCAACACCCACAGAAGCTGCCACCCAAGGGCCCCTGTGTCCCCGCATGGCCCACCTCAGCAGTATGATGCAGCACTGGGGAAGTGACAGAATGTGAAAAAAACTATTATAGCTGAGATATTTTAAAATTCCGCCCTCCAGGCAGCATCTGGTTGCTACAGCAACCCCAGCTCTGCAGGGTGTCCCGATTACCAGCAGGCTCCCTGCACCTGCCTCAGGCTGAGAGCAGGCGGCTGCCGCCAAGGGGAACACCAAGGAAATGCCCATGTTCTGATTCCAAGGTAATGGCTCAGACCCAAGGGGATTTTATCTGTTCAATGTGCAACCTGATGAAGTTTTGTCCCATGTTAATAATTTCATTAAAAATATGGCCTTACATCCTATTCGATGCACTCAGTCTTTTTTTTTTATTCACTCGGCTCCATCAAAACACAAAAAGATAACATTGTCATTCATTTGGGATTGAGCAAATGAAAGCAGCTGGATGAGTTTTGGTTCCAGGGTTTAGACAAAGCCCCTAAGGGACAAAATTGGAATCAGAGCTGAGTGGCTGGCCCTGCTCTCTGGATTTGCATAAGTCATGTGGCAGGACACTTGCTCTTTTGCACCCAGCCTAAAATAGCTTATGATATCTTTAGGAAACCCAAACGAGTAATAAATAGGGGGCTGGGCACTGTGGCTCACACCTGTTATCCCAACACTTTGGAAGGCTGAGGCAGGGGTATCACTTGAGCCCAGGAGTTCCAGACCAGCCTGGGTAACATAGCAAGTTCCTGTTTCAATAAAAAAATTACAGGCTGGGCACGGTGGCTCACGCCTGTAATCCCAGCACTTTGGGAGGCTGAGGCAGGTGGATCACCTGAGGTCAGGAGTTTGAGACCAGCCTGGCCAACATTGTGAGACCCCATCTCTATTAAAAATACAGAAAATTAGCTGGGTGTGGTGGCGGGCGCCTGTAATCCCAGCTACTCGGGAGGCCAAGGTGAGAGAATCACTTGAACTCGGGAGGCAGAGGTTGCAGTGAGCCGAGATTGCACCACTGCACTCCAGCCTGTGCGATAGAGCGAGACTCCGTCTCAAAAAAAAAAAAAAAAAAATTACATTAGCTGGGTGTGGTAGTGCACACCTGTAGTCCCAGCTATTTGGGAGGGTGAGGTGGGAGCATCACTAGAGCCCAAGGAAGTCAAGGCTGCAGTGAGCCATGATCACGCCACTGCACTCCAGCCAGAGTGTGTGGTGTGTGGTGGTACACACCTGTAATCCCAGCACTTCAGGAGGCTGAGGCGGGAGAATTGCTTGAGCCCAGGAGTTCAAGACCAGCTGGGTCAACATAGCGGGACCCCATCTCAAAATATAATAAATAAATAAGTGAAATTAAATGAGAAAGAATGAATGGTTTCTGACTTTGTGCCTTCATTTCTGAAAATGGCATAGATAAGAATTCTCTCTCCATGAGGGGCTTTGTGAGGCTCTAACAAAGTAGGAACGGATGACACCTGTTTCAAAATGCTTTGGAAAATGCTAACCACCATGCAAATGTGAGCCAGCAAGACTGGGTCCTGGCCAGCAGCTCAGATGGCCAACACAAAGGTGCTTCGGAGGCCAGGGCTGGTCTTCAGAGACTCAGAGACTTGCGTCATGTCCTGGAGCAGCTGCTCTGGGTGCAGCCCAGATGAGCTCAGGTCAGATAGGTCAACAGGTCAACCTCACCACCCAGATTGACAGAATAACCCAGCTCAGTGCCTTGGTGCTGTTGGCGCCACGAGGCACCTGCCCAACACGCACCCCATGAGCCTTTCACACACAACCCGAATTTTGTTTGAGCGACAATGTGCCAGTCCCTGCCTGTCACTGGGGGTGTCTGTGTGACCCCCTCGTCATCACCTGCAGAACTGGAGGTCAGAAGGGGGCACTCCTGGGGATGAAGCTCCATGAGCTCTGCTCTGGGCCCTTCCCTCCCTCCCCCTTCTCAGTGGGGCTGAGGGGCTTGCACGTGTAAGGGGGCCACCTTGCCACTGGACAAAGCATGCGTGCTGAGGATGGTGGGGTGGGCACTGAGTCCTCCAGGATAGCCTGGCACTGCTCCCAGCCCTGACATGCCACTTCTGACCTTCCCATCACTTAGAAAAATAACCTCCTGTTGGGTCAAGCCACCAATCAAACTTCTGTTAGAGGCCAGGTGCAGTGGCTCATGCTTGCAATCCCAGCACTTTGGGAAGCCAAGGTGGAAGGATCACTTGATGCCAGTTCAAGACCAGTCTGAGCAACATGGTGAGACCCCATCTCTAAAAAAAAAAAAAAAAAAAAAAAAAATTAATTAGCTGGGTGCAGTGGGGCACACACCTCTACTCCTAGCTACTCAGAAGGCTGAGGTGGGAGAATCACTTGAGCCTGGGAGGTAGAGGCTGCAGTGAGCAGTGATTGTGCCACTGCACTTCAGCCTGGGTGACACAGCAAGACCCCAGACTCTAGAAGAAAAAGACCAAAAAGATTTCTGTTAGGAACAGAACATAATCTGAAATGATACAGAACTGTACTTATAACAGCTCATTTATTTCTCAGATAGTCCTATGAAACAAACATTGCCAATGCCAATTTCACAGGTGAGAAAATGGAAGCTTGGAGGAGTGAAGGAAGTTGCCCAAGGCCCTATAGCTAGTGGATGGCCGGGCTGGGACTCCATCGCCAGGCCTGCAGTCCTTTCACTTCTGCCACGCTCCCTGGGGAGTGAAGGCAGAGGGAGGCGTTTTCATGTCCAAGGGCCCTGTGGAGGACTCACCATAGGAGGGTCTCAGGGGCCATCTACTATCATCTTTTGAAGCCTGCCAAGTGCCAGGCATGCAGGTGTGGGGACAGGGTTATGAACCAATATGGACAGAGTCCATGGAGTAGTAGAAGACATAGAATCAGCAAGTATATGTGGGTCATGGGGCGGTAGGTACCATGAAAACATTAAGTAGGGTAAGGATGATGGTGCTATGTTTACAGAAAGTCAAGGAAATTGGAATGGCACATCCATCCATCAGACCCATAAGTGGGTCTGGGAAAAAAAGAAAGATGCTTGGCCAGGCACAGTGGTTCACACCTGTAATCCCAGTACTTTGGGAGGCCGAGGCGGGCAGATCACGAGGTCAGGAGTTCGAGACCAGCCTGGCCAACATAGTGAAACTCCGTCTCTGCTAAAAACCAAAAAATTAGCCAGGTGTGGTGGTATGCACCTGTAGTCCCAGCTACTTGGGGGGCTGAGGCAGGAGAATCACTTGAACCCAGGAGGCAGAGGTTGCACTGAGCCAAAACCTCGCCATTGCACTCCAGTCTGGGGCACAGATCGAGACTTCATCTCAAAAAAAAAAAAAAAAAAGGAAAAGGAAGGGATGGCATGTGCCACATGGACACCGTGGCCCGGCAGAGGGGCTGCGAGAGGCCCTAGGCAGGAGTGAACGTGGAGAAGGGTGGCGTGTGTGAATGATGATGGGGAAAGCAGCAGGTGAGGTCCCGGGGGTAGCGGTGGGACAGGATGAAGAGGCATTTGTGCCATGGTAAGAAATCACTGCTTTTGCTCTGACTGAGACGTCACTGGAGGGCTTTCATCAGAGAACAGACCACGTGATCTGCCAATGAGTGAGCAGAGCAAGTGGGAAAGAAAAGGGCGGAGGCAGGGAGGCCATGAAGTGTGGCTGTAACAGCTCAGGTGAGGCCAGGGGCCTAGTTGGGGCGGGGCGTGGTGGGTAGCAGAGCTCACTTGGGAAATTAAGAGGAGCTCAGCAGGACGCCAGGCCCTCGGCCTAGACAAGGAGAGGAAGGAGCTGCTGCAGCCACCTAAGCTGGGGAAGACAGTTAAGCAGGAGGTGTGGACTGCGCTCAGTGTCTGGTCGTGGACACAGCAACACTTACACCGAGGGAATGAGCACAGCTCCTCAGCACTCAGCCACTCAGCCTCCAAGACACCGGCTCTCCTGTTTCATAGCCACTCTCTCAACCTCCTTTGCTCCCTAACCTCTAAACACCTCTGAGGCATCCAAGCAAAGGTGTCAAGAAATCAGCTGAGGGCCGGGCGCGGTAGCTCATGCCTGTAATCCCAGCACTTCAGGAGGTCAGGCAGGCGGATCACCTGAGGCCAGGAGTTTGAGACCAGCCTGGCTAACAGTGAAACCCCATTTCTACTAAAAATACAACAAATTAGCTGGGTGTGGTGGCACGTGCCTGTAATGCCAGCTACTCAGGAGGCTGAGGCAGGAGAATCGCTTGAACCCGGGAGGTGGAGGTTGCAGTGAGCCGAGATCACGCCATTGCACTCCAGCTTGGTAAACAAGAGCAAAACTCCCGTCTCAAAAAAAAAAAAAGAAAGAAAGAAATCAGTTAGGCCGGGAGCAGTGGCTCACGCCTGTAATCCCAGCGCTTTGAGGGGCCAAGGAGGGTGGATCACTTGAGGTCAGGAGTTTGAGACCAGCCTGGCCAACATGGCGAAACCCCGTCTCTACCAAAAATACAAAAATTAGCTAGTCAGGCGTGGTGGCGGGCGCCTGTAATCCCAGCTACTCGGGAGGCTGAGGCACAAAAATTGCTTGAACCTGGAGGTGGAGGCTGCAGTGAGCCGAGATCATGCCACTGCACTCCAGCTTGGTAAACAAGAGCAAAACTCCCGTCTCAAAAAAAAAAAAAAAAGAAATCAGTTAGGCCGGGAGCAGTGGCTCACGCCTGTAATCCCAGCGCTTTGAGGGGCCAAGGAGGGTGGATCACTTGAGGTCAGGAGTTTGAGACCAGCCTGGCCAACGTGGCGAAACCCCGTCTCTACCAAAAATACAAAAATTAGCTAGCCAGGCGTGGTGGCGGGCGCCTGTAATCCCAGCTACTCGGGAGGCTGAGGCACAAAAATTGCTTGAACCTGGAGGTGGAGGCTGCAGTGAGCCGAGATCATGCCACTGCACTCCAGCCTGGGTGACAGAGTGAGACTCCATCTCAAAAAAAAAAAAAAAAAAAAAAAAAGAGTAGTCAGGTGGAGAGAGCCAAGAGGGCTTTAAGAATGAGGGAAGGAGGCCGGGCGTGGAGGCTCACACCTGTAATGCCAGCACTTTGGGACACCAAGGCAGGCAGATCATTTGAGGCCAAGAGTTTTAGACAAGCCCGGCCAACATGGTGAAACCCTGTCTCTACCAAAAAAAAAAAAAACATTAGCCAGGCGTGGTGGCATGTGCCTCTAGTGCCAGGTACTCAGGAGGCTGAGGTGGAATTGCTTGAACCCGGGAGGTTCAAGTGAGCCATGATCGTGCCACTGCACTCCAACCTGGGTGACAGAGCAAGACTCCGTCTCTAAAAAATAAAAAAAGAACAAGGGAGGGAGGCATCAGCTATGTCAAACACAAACAGCTACTGGAGTAAAATGAGGACGAGAACTGACTGGGGGATTTGCAGATGCTGAGGCCATGGGTGACACAGACAAATGAAGAAATGAAGTTGGTTACTCCTAGAGGAAGGGATGCAAGAAGCGGCATGTTTTCTAGAATCACTGCAGGAAGAGCTGCTTCCTTTAGAACAAACCAGTAACAAGATCCCTCTTCTTTTCCACACCAGGGAAGTTGCTAAGTATATGCCAAAGCCAGGCATACTCATTCATAGACAGCCTCAGGCTTCACAGCCCAGAATGGGTGTGGACTTGGGGGCGGGAGGTAGGAAAGGAGATGTGGGCACCTCGTGGAGCTGAAATGCCACCCATCTCCCAGACCCTGGGCCGCCCACACCACTCACTCCTCCTTTCCCCACAGGACTTTTAGTGCACTCCAGACAGAGCTTCACAAGAGTCAGCATCATGAACATTTATTATGATTATTTTATTTAAAAAAAAAGCCCCACATCTCCGGGCAATAAACTACAATACAGTAAAAAGTAGCATCTGGTGTTAAGACACTCTGCCGACAGGCTGCATGCCTTCAGTGCCGGCAAAGGCTCTGCACAGACATCCACAGTATTCCACACTGCCTCCCCCATTTCAGAAGTCCCTACTGAAATGAGAAGGACACTGAGGCACACAGGGGAAGAGAATGGCCTGAGGTTAGACTGCCACGAAAGGCACGTGGGAACTGGGCCCAGAAAATTCCAACCGTTCCATACAAAATGCTACCCAGCAGGGAAAAAGAGTCACTGTCTTCTTCCAAGTGACCAGTAATGCCACACTCATGGGGCAGCAAGAAGGGTGGCAAGGGAACCAAGCCCTGACCTGAGCCCAGTGATCAGGCCAGAGCCCAGCCAATGGGACTCGCCCACAGGTCCAGGCTCACCCCCTCACCTCCACCGCACTGCCCTCACTCCAAAGCCCAGCCCTCCTTGCGGAAGACCAGCTGCACAGCCTCATTCACGTCATTCACCACGTGGGAGGCCTCCATGAGCCCTGGACTGAAGCATAAGTCTCGGTGCCCGTGGAATGGAGGCTCCCCTCCTCCAAGGACAGGCTCCGTGGACTGTGGGTTCCTGGGATTGTAGACGCCTGTACACACCAGGATGGAGATGCAGCTCTGGCTTGCTGAGGGCTGTTGCTGCCGTGTGCCCCCGGCCCCTAGTTCTGGCGCCCCATCATGCGTTGCCTTCTGCAGGTACTGGTGGAACAGGTTGGCGCCGTATACGTCAGACATAGGGTTATCACTGGCAGGGGCAGCCACACCGGAAAAGGAAAAAGGAGAAAAAACCCTAAATCAATGTTGCAAAGCAAAGGGAGCAGAGAAGAGTTTCGGGGCAGAAGAGTGAATTAGATATAGGGAAATGGGGGTGAGAGTAGAGGAGGAGGGAGAGAAGGGGATGTCATAAAAGGGACAAAGGAGGGAGAGCAGAGCCTACCCCACAGCATAGAGCTTCCGGATGGGGGCGGCCCAGCCCCGCCTCTCCGCCTGTCGCCTGATCAGGTCCTCGGCATACTGGTAAGTGAGGATGCTGGGTTTGCCCATCAGGCCCTCGTATCTCAGCTCCTTGCCCGTCACTTTCTGGTAAATGGTTTCCAGGCACAGCAGAAAGGTGCCATGTCCAAACCTGCCAGAAACGAGCACGCAGCAGTTCAGTCTTCCTGATCTCCAGGCTCTTCTAGAGAACACGACTGCCACTGTCTAAGCAGCAAACACACAGACCAGCCTTTTCCCCAGGGTAAGAGCTGACATGTAGCAGACACTGTGCAGGCACTGGAGGCAGCATTTCACATTTCCCTCTCAGAAAAACTCTATGAGATGACGCTATTTGTAAAACGAGGAAACCAAGGCACAGCAAGATTAAGTAACTTGTTCAAGAGGGCAGAGCTAGGATTACAACTCAGTCTGACTCCAGAGCTTAAATCCTGCTGTAGAGCTGAGGCAGACTACGGTTGCGCTTCTCCCCTTCTTTGCTGGTGTCCATTTTCAGCTGACCATATTGCCACTAGGTGTGAAAAAGACCTTCGCTTGCCTCCCTGCCAGCGAGGCGTGGCCATGTGACTAAGCTACAGTCAAGGAAAGCAGAAATGCTGGGCTAAATTTTCAATAAGCATCCTTAAAATTGGGGACAGGCGGCCAGGCGCAGTGGCTCATGCCTGTAATCTTAGCACTTTGGGAGGCCAAGGCAGGTGGATCACCTGAGGTCAGGAGTTCAAGACCAGTCTGGCCAACATGGTGAAAGCCTGTCTCTACCAAAAATGCAAAAATTAGCTGGGTGTGGTGGCACATGCCTGTAGTCCCAGCTACTTGGGGGGCTGAGGCAGGAGAATCACTTGAACCCGGGAGGCGGAGGTTGCAGCGGGCCAAGATTGCACCACTGCATTCCAGCCTGGGCAAAAGAGCAAGACTCCATCTAAAAAAAAAAAACAAACAAACTGGGGACGGTATTCTTCTCTGCCCTCTCTGCCCTCCCCAACTCCTTCTTGACACCTGGAATGCTGATATGATGGCTGGCGCTTGGGTACAATCTCAGCTCACTGCAACCTCCACCCCCTGGGTTCAAGTGATTCTCCTGCCTCAGCCTCCGAGTAGCTGGGATTACAGGCACCTGCCACCATGCCCGGCTAATTTTTATATTTTTAGTAGAGACGGGGTTTTGCCATGTTGGCCAGGCTGATCTTGAACTGACCTCAGGTGATCCACCCACCTCGGCCTCCCGAAGTGTTGGGATTACAAGCATGAGCCACCACATCTTTCAGTGTCATTTATGTAAATAATTCTACTTTTAATTAGAAAAGTTCATCTAAAATCTGGTTTGTAAATTGAAATCTGCCCCTTGCTTTTCAGTTCACAGAGACATAACCAACCAAGCCCACTGATCTAGTGTCAGCATACCCGCCTCTAGGAATAATACTTCAGAGACAATGCCAAGCCTCGAGCCACAGACATACACTTTAAAAGTGACAAGAGCATACCATACCCCGTCTCTCTGGGACTACTGAGACGGGCCCTGAGGCAGTACTGGGCCGTGCCCACCCTCTGCTGACGAGCACTGTCGACTGGGGGTCAACAGCAGGCTGAGACTCAAGAGACTGGCCATGCAGATAACAGCAACCGAACAGTACACAGCAGCTGTCAGCTGGCCTTCAAGTAAGCACCCTGAGGCCAAAAAAGGGCTGCCTCTATCTGTGCTAGCCCCAGAATAAGACAGGACACATGACACCAACACAGCTGAGCAGGGAGTATAGGCACCTGCATGCCCCTGAGAAAGCCACTTATCTGCTGGGTCTCAGTTCTCTGGTCTATACGACTATCAGAACAATCCTTGGCCGGCATGATGGAGCACGCCTGTAATCCCGGCACTTTTGGAGGCTGAGGCACGGGGGTCACTTGAGGCCAGGAGTTCAAGGCTGCAGTGAGCTATGACTGCACCACTGCACTCCAGCCTGGATGAGAGAGTGAGACACTGTCCCCGCAAAAAAAACAAAACAAACAAAAAACGACAAATCCTTGCTTCCTCCTGCCTTATGTCTGAAGGGTAAAAGGAAACCAGAAAGTCAAAGAACCAATGCTACAGGATGGAGCCAAGGAAGGAAGAGCAACTGAATAATGTGCACAGATACGGTACAAAAAGTGCCCACGGTTTGGGATCCACCAGACACCAAGAGCATGTTCTGTAAAGATTACAGGGGGCAGGGGTCACGTGTGAAACATCCTCTCAATACATCCTCAGACTCCATAATCTGTAGTTTAGGTTTAGTAACTAATATGTGGAGTGGTCCTTGAAAGCCCTTCCAAAGGCCAGGTTACTGCAGCAACAACAGGGCCTACCTAAGTGAGGTCCCGGCACCTGGGGTGTCAGGACGGATGGGAACTGCCTGCAGGACTGCCCAGGCAGCAGCCAGGAATAGACCACCAGGCCAAGGCTGGGAGCTTTGTGTCCTCACCTGGGCATCTTGGCTTCAGCCATCCACAGGAGATCCATGTTGCTGGCTAGGACGGGGAGGTGGGGGTAGGGGGGTGTTGCCAGGCCAGCCCCAGGGCTCCCATTGCTGAGGAGGACATCCATGATCAGCTGCAGGCTGGTCTCCCAGCGGACCGGCTCCCCTAGGAGGAGCACCCCTTTAAAGAACAGAGGCGCAGGTGAGGGCTGCAGGGCAGATGGCAGGCGGCAGGCCCTCAGGATGCCAGCTAGGGCTACCCATCCACAAGCCCTCCACCCATGGTGCACCCAGCTGGGCAGGGGCACAGCTCCCCAACAAGCCCAGTAGAGCCCCTTACCCATCCACCCTGGGTGCACAAGGCCCAGGGCCCAGGAAGGAGATTCCTGAGGGCTCCCATTCTGACTTCAGTCCACCAGTGCTTCACAGAAGAGGTTACAAAACAAAAGCAGCATGTCTCAGGGCTACTTCTCCTTGCTGGCTGGGACTCTGCCACCACATTCTCCCTCACATGACTTAGCAAGGGCTCCTGTTCCCTCAGTCGCTTCTCTCTGAGCCCCAGGGACTGGCAGAACCTAACAGCCAGGACAGGGGGTGTGGAGTGATAGAGACTTGAAACCCAACCTGGACTCCACCGATTCTCCTGTATGACTGTGGCCAAGTAACTTCTCTTCTCTAAGCCTCAGTTTCCTCAACTGCAACTACATAACAGCAACAGCACTTAGCTATTGTGAGGATAAAAATGAGCTACATCATCGGTAAACAGCCCAGGACTAGACACACAGTAAGCACTAGGCAAAGAACACTGCTGACACTAAGGTACAGGGCCGGTGAACTGCACCAGACCAGTGATTCTCCATGGGGCAGCACCGCCCCTGCTGAGGTGCTTTACAAATCAGAGGCAATTTTAGTTGTCACAATGACTAGAACCTAGCAAGTGAAGGTTGTGGGAGGGGGCCAGGGACGCTACATACTCAGGACAATCCTGTGCAATCAAAAACTATCCCACACTAAAATTAATTTTTAAAAAAACCATCCCATGGCTGCGTGCGGTGGCTTGTGTCTGTAATTCCAGCACTTTGGGAGGCCAAGGTGGTAGGATTGCTTGAGCTCAGGAGTTTGAGACCAGCCTGGGCAACATAGTGAGAGCCCGTCTCTACAAAACAACAAGAAGAAAAAGAAAAAACTTTCCCATGTCCTCATAACATTTGAATGTCCCACCTGATATCCTGGTATCCACACAGGTGAACAACCTTTTCAGAATTACTTGAACGATTCTATTTTACATACAATCACAAAGCATTTTTGTACAGCTTCAATAAACATCAATTTTTCCAAAAATACAACTATCGTGTAAGTCAAGAGAAGACTGTACTTTGCCTTTTCAAAACTCTACCAAGAACTGTTACCTATTTTGGAAAATCACTTGACCAACGGCAATGCTGCCCCTAATTTCTGAGTCACCGGTAAAACACGCCTGTCACACCTATAAACACACATCAGCCTGCATTTGTAGCTGTTAACATTCATGGTGATTCTGTTTAGTGCAACCATTTTACTTCTTGGATAACTACTACATACTGAAATACATTATCTTCTTACTAAAAATGTTTCCTTTTATATCCCCCTATTACAGTTAGGGCTTTATACTGAACTAATTTTTAATATGTGTGTACAGAAGTTATATTACCTAAGAATTTCACTTCAGGATAATAAAGGGGATATTCCAATGTTCTTGGTATAAAAAGGGGAGAACTGGGTTTAAAAGTTGAGAAACACTAGACTAGATCACCTCTAGGTGTCTTTCCACCACTAAAATTCTCTAAGCTTACGGTTTTCCTGGAATAGTGAGTGGCATGGGGAAGGAAAGACTAACAACAGTCTCAGAGGTGGTAAGTGGCAGATCCAGACCAGAGCCCAGGTGTCCTGACTCCAAGGCCCCTTGCTGCTGAACCAGGCTGCAGGCAGTCACACTGAGACAGCCTGAGGGCCAGAGAGGAGACGGAGAAAAGACCTCACAACTCATCAAAGAGGACCTCTCTTACCTTCAATGCGGGGGAAGTCATTCCTCGGGAGGGGCTGCAGAGAGACAAAGGAGAGGCTATCAACACAAGTCGCCTTCCACTCCAGGAGAACCACAACCCCACCTCCAGGGTGCTGGGAGGGGAGGGGAGACACACTCCACAGACCCCACACCCGTGGTCAAGCCCAAGCCAAGGGAAAGCTGGAGAGGACTGAGAAAGATGCAAGAAAGGCGAAAAGACAATGGCCAGGTGGGGCCACAGAACAGGCAGGACACCATGGGTGAAGTCACCAGGAGGAAGGGTGGTCAGCTGTCTTTCTCTGGTGGGAGAGGACACAAGATATAGCCAAGCAAGAGTCTAAAATCAGGCAGCTAAGGTGAGGCCGTGGAGACGAAGGCGGCATCACGCCTGATGGGCCATTTCTCCTCATGTCGGTTCTTGAGCAGGCAGCTTCACTCGACCAGCCTCGAGGGTCCACTCCATCCCCAGGCCATGGTAGTCTTGGCTCTGCCACTAAACAACTATGTGACCCGGGACAGGTCACTCCCCTGTGTGGGGCTGTCTCTGAGCTATTCCGAGATCTGTTCCAACTCTGACATTCTGGTTCTCCACAGAACTTGCACAGGTCAGGGAGAAAGCCCTCACAGGGGAGGAAGTGCTCTGTTCCATCAGAAAGCGCTGGAGGAGGAAGGACTTAAGCTATATCAGCAAATAAAAAGTAAGTTATCTGTTTATAACTGCATGTCGTCAAACTGTGAGAATGGTCTGACTCAAGACCTGGGCTATGTGATACACAGACGGTGCGATGAGGAGAAAGTGAGCCAACGGGCACCTCAAGAGATGGCAGTCATGCTGCAGAGGATCACCAAGGGATCAGATGAGTTAGGGGACAAAGTCAGTGCTCAAAAATGAGCCCAGCGCACAGGGCACCTGGGCAGATGTGCAGACTGACCAGTGCTTCCTCTGCAAGCAAGCTACCTCTCCCGAGGGCAGCTCAGTGCCGGGCCTCAGGATTGCTAACTTCACAATGGCCAGCTCTCCTGGGCAGCACTGGGAAGGCCAGCCAGTAAGTCTGGAACTCCTTGTTGGACGGGATGCTGTGGCTCTGAAACGGGTTCCCAGCTAATTATAAGCAATACAGAGAGGACAGGGCATAAAGCCGTTCGCTTCTCTGGGCTTTTTCCTTTTTTTTTTTTGAGACAGGGTCTCACTCAGCCGCCAAGACTGGAGTGCAGTGATCACAGCTCACTGCAGCCTCCAACGCCTGGGCTCAAGCAACCCTCCTGCCTCAGCCTCCTGAGTAGCTGGGACTATAGGCATGCGCCACCATATGTGGCTTTTTTTTTTTTTTTTTTGAGACGGAGTCTCGCTCTGTTGCCCAGGCTGGAGTGCAATGGTGTGATGTCAGCTCACTGCAACCTCTGCCTCCCAGGTTCAAGTTATTCTCCTGCCTCTGCCTCCCGAGTAGCTGGGATTATAGGCATCCATCACTGTGCCCAGCTAATTTTTGTATTTTTAGTAGAGACGGGGTTTCACCATGTTGGCCAGGCTGGTCTGGAACTCCTGACCTCAGGTGATCCACCCGCCTTGGCCTCCCAAAGTGCTGGAATTACAGGTGTGACCCACCATGCCTGGACAATTTTTTAAATTTTTTTGTAGAGACGGGGTCTCACTATGTTGCCCAGGCTGGTCTTGAACTCCTGGGCTCAAACAGTCCTCCTGTTTCAGCCTCCCAAAGCGTTGGGATTACAGGTGTAAGCCACCGCAGCCAGCCTCTGGGCCATTCTCATAAATTCAGGGAACAAAACCCTTAGCCAGATGTGCCTCCAAAGAAGCATGGACAAATCACAGCTCTGCAGGAGGGCTTGCAAGGTCAGCGACACAGCCAATGCAGGGCACTGGAGGAGTGAAGGATGAAGACACAGCCCAACCCATGCTCCTTATTACCGTGGTCTTTAGCCGCCGCTCCAGGTCCACCATGTCAAGCAGAGGAAAGGCCATCCGCAGCTCATCCACGGTGACGACATTTCGGAAGCCCAGTCTGGAGCAAGCTCAGGAAGTAATGCTGGACAGTTCTTGGGGAAGATGCCTTTCTGAATGCATCAAATCACAAGTGAAGGGAACACAACCCACTCCTGATCAAGCCAGGCAGGAGGGCACCAAGCAGAGCCCAGCAAGGATGGCACAAATCCTGCAGGTGCTGGCAGGCAGGCTGTAACTGCACAGGTAGAGTAGAGAGGGCAGCTCCTGGGTAACCCACCAGCAGTCACCAGGCACATGCCAGCTACCAGGTCCTATGCTGGGCACAGCCTAGGGGGCAAAGGCACATAAGAATCTCTGTCCCCAGCTGGGTGCAGTGGCTCATGCCTGAAATCCCAGCACTTTGGGAGGCTGAGGCAGGAGGATGGCTTGAGCCCAGGAGTTCCAGCCAGCATGGGCAACATAGTGAGACCTTGTCTCTACAAATAAAGTCAGCTAGGCATGGTGGTGCACACCTGTCGTCTACTCAGGAGGCTGGGGCAGGAGGATCATTTGAGCCCAGGAGGTCAAGGCTACAGTGAGCTATGATTGCACCACTGCACTCCAACTTGGGCAACAGAGTGTGACCCTGTCTCAAAAAAAAACAAAAAACTCTGTCCCCAAGGAGCTAGCACATTCAGAGCCCATCAAAACCAGTGTTCTCTGAGAACAGTGCTGCTAGTCAGTGCTGAGTTCAGAAGAGACTCCTCAGTGGGCTGGGGAGTCCAGAGGAGTCATGGAGAAGTAGGGCTGGAGCTAAAATCTTAAAGGATGAACCCAAATCATCAAGGAAGAGGCGGCCTTGGGGAGGGGCAAGCCAGCTTCAGCCTATCTCCTCTAAGATCTGCCTCCATTTTCCTATCCTCAATTCCAACTTGCAATCTTAACTGGACATGGTTTGATTACTCTCAAAATGAATTTCCCCAAAATCCTGATTCTATCAGATTGCCCCATCAGCAATAAAGCGTGCCCTGCTTTCCACTGCCCTGAGAAGTCGGTCAGACTCCTCAAGTTTACTTCCAAGGTTCCCGACAACCTGGCACCACCCTTCCTGTTCTTTCCTTCCTCTCCCTATCCCATTCCCAACCTCCTACTTCCCCTGCTTAGGAGCTTAGCCATCTCCTGGGGCTCCGCTGTACCCCTCCAAGAAGCCACAGGCAACTCCTGCCCCAGGGATACTCCAAGCCCTCCCCTCCACACCTGTGGCGCCCTCCTGTGAGCTTACCGGCCTTCAATCACATGCCATCGCACACGCTCCACACCTGTGACGCCCTCCTGTGAGCTTACCGGCCTTCGATCACACGCCATCGCACACGCTCCACACCTGTGGCACACTCCTGTGAGCTTACAGGCCTTCGATCACACGCCATCGCACACGCTCCACACCTGTGGCGCCCTCCTGTGAGCTTACCGGCCTTCAATCACACGTCATCGCACACGCCCCACACCTGTGACGCCCTCCTGTGAGCTTACCGGCCTTCGATCACACGCCATCGCACACGCTCCACACCTGTGGCACACTCCTGTGAGCTTACAGGCCTTCGATCACACGTCATCGCACACGCCCCACACCTGTGACGCCCTCCTGTGAGCTTACCGGCCTTCAATCACACATCATCGCACACGCCCCACACCTGTGACGCCCTCCTGTGAGCTTACCGGCCTTCAATCACACGTCATCGCACACGCCCCACACCTGTGACGCCCTCCTGTGAGCTTACCGGCCTTCGATCACACGCCATCGCACACGCCCCACACCTGTGACGCCCTCCTGTGAGCTTACCGGCCTTCGATCACACGCCATCGCACACGCCCCACACCTGTGACGCCCTCCTGTGAGCTTACCGGCCTTCGATCACACGCCATCGCACACGCCCCACACCTGTGACGCCCTCCTGTGAGCTTACCGGCATTCGATCACACGCCATCGCACACGCCCCACACCTGTGACGCCCTCCTGTGAGCTTACCGGCCTTCGATCACACGTCATCGCACACGCCCCACACCTGTGACGCCCTCCTGTGAGCTTACCGGCCTTCGATCACACGCCATCGCACACGCCCCACACCTGTGACGCCCTCCTGTGAGCTTACCGGCCTTCGATCACACGCCATCGCACACGCCCCACACCTGTGACGCCCTCCTGTGAGCTTACCGGCCTTCGATCACACGCCATCGCACACGCCCCACACCTGTGACGCACTCCTGTGAGCTTACAGGCCTTCGATCACACGCCATCGCACACGCCCCACACCTGTGGCGCACTCCTGTGAGCTTACCGGCCTTCGATCACATGCCATCGCACACGCCCCACACCTGCGACGCCCTCCTGTGAGCTTACCGGCCTTCACATGCCATCGCACACGCTCCACACCTGTGGCACACTCCTGTGAGCTTACCGGCCTTCGATCACACGCCATCGCACACGCCCCACACCTGTGGCACACTCCTGTGAGCTTACCGGCCTTCGATCACACGCCATCGCACACGCCCCACACCTGTGGCGCCCTCCTGTGAGCTTACCGGCCTTCAATCACACGCCATCGCACACGCCCCACACCTGTGGCACACTCCTGTGAGCTCACAGGCCTTCGATCACATGCCATCGCACACGCTCCACACCTGTGGCGCCCTCCTGTGAGCTTACCGGCCTTCGATCACACGCCATCACACACGCCCCACACCTGTGACGCCCTCCTGTGAGCTTACCGGCCTTCGATCACACGCCATCGCACACGCTCCTTTACTGCTCATGGTGTTATTCTTGCCTCCAGCACAAGCCCTTGATTGATTCATAAGTCCTACGCCCTCATCCTGGTCCTCGTCCCATTCAGAGTGTGCGGCAGACCGCTGGTACACAGGACGTGCTCAGCACAACAGTTGCTTAAAACGGGCCAGGTATTATTCCGCAGGCTCCCAGAGACAGGCTCCCGGTAGCTGCTTCACTACCACTGGCTAATAAACTGACTGGGCACCCCAAGGAAGAGGCTAGAGCAGGGGTTCCCAAACCCAGTTACAGAACCACTAAGAGAGGTGTTTTGTTTTTTAAAAAATACAGATTCCTGAGTTTTACCCGAGACCTAGTGAATTAAGGCTCCAGCGCAGATACCCTGGGATCTGTATTTTAAGCTCCCCAGAGGATTCTGATGCAGGGGTATGAGAACTGGCTTTTGGAAACCACCAGACATGAGGACTGACCACAGTCGGGAGCTGTCCTCCCTCCCCTGAGCCCACAACATCGCCTGTGTACCCCAGCACCCAGCACTCCTCACTACAGTCCCCACTCAGCTAAGGGAGGAAACACCTCAGCCCTGCCCCTTCCCTTCAGCCAGAGTTAAGACCAAAAGGATACCCCTGGGCATTTTCCATCACGGGCCCCTGTCCAGACACCAGCATCCGCTTCTCATGGTACTCGGAGAAGAGCTTCATGGGGCTGTGAGAGAGGATAACTTGGTCTGCATCCACCTGTAGGGACAGCCAAGACAGGGGAGGGCAGAGGAAGACAGAACTGTTGAGGGAAATAATGAGACAGGTGGCAGGTCCTTTAGCCTAGGGAAGGAAAAAACCCGCTCAGAAAAAGAACGGGGAGGAAAGCCCTTTCTAGCACCCAGCAGCACTTCTGAAAGGCACCCAAACAGATCTGAGAAGAACCTGTCTCATTTAGTTCTTGCCACACAAGAGACCAGAAATGCCACAGATGTGGGTTCTGACCACTTGCCACCGCTACCCCGTCAGGTTCAGTTTGGATTTCCCAAGCCCCCACTTGGAAGCCATAGGGTTCATGTGTGCTCCCTGTCACTGTCGCAGAAACTGGTCTTTTACTTTCTATTTTCATTCCTGCTAAGAGTTAGCTGCTTAACATTTATACTAACCCTAACAATGCAGCCTTTACTTGGAAGGTTTTTGGAATTCTCTCTGGAAATCACAGCAAGGAACCAATTTGATTCCGTCACATTTTACATGCAACTTTGAGCAGCATCATCTAATCAATCAGCTATTTTATTTACTCTCCTGGTTCCAAAGGACTCTTTCCAAAAGCTGAATTCACCCTCAACAAACAAGAATGCATCAAAGTTGGGATATGGTGCAGGGCTGCAGGTGGCTGAGGAGGACAGCACTCCTTCAGGTGCACACATCATACCCAGGAAAGCCAAGGTGTGACGCCAGAGCCACACCTGCTATTCCTGCTATGCAAGTTCTAGACATGTGTGTGACCTTTGCTTTCCAGGGACTCACACCCCCAATGCCCAGAAGAAAAGAAACAGATACAAGGACATAATCTACAACTGCCAAATACACAGGCAGGATTTCTGTGTTCAGCTGTGGCCATGACCTAGGACTAGGTGATTCCATATCCCAACCCAGGGGAAAGGGACTTGGAGCTGGGGCAGCGGCTCCATTAGGAACCAGGTCCTTGGGCTTCCATGCCTCTGGCTGCCTTCTCACCTCGCACCCCAGCAGGGCTGACAGCTCCTGGGCTTTGCTGTGTTGTAAGATGTTCCCAGCATTTGTAACAAAAACCACGGGCACCCGCAGCTGCCCCTGGGAGTTCACCAGCCTTCGGAAGGCTTTCAGAGCAGCAGGGATCACTCTGTGGCCCCGCACAAGCACTCCATCGATGTCCAACAGGAACCCAAAGGTGGGTGGGCTCTGCAGAGATGGTAAGATAATTACCAGTACGTGAGTAACAAAGAAACAACCCTTACAAAGAGAGGCTCAACACCATCCTCGGGTCACTCATGTCCCTTGAAAACCTATGTCAGAAAGAACAAAAAAATGAAGATGGGATTCTGATAGGGCAATCTTTAAATAGAAAATAGAGAAATCCAAAGAAAATATAATCCCAACACTTATTTTTAATCATTCGCTTTTACAGAGTCTTCCCGTTGCCCAGACTGGAGTACAGTGGCATGATCACGGCTCACTGCAGCCTTGACCCACTGGGCTCAAGGGATCCTCTCGCCTCAGCTTCCTAAATTTAATGCTAGGATTATTAGGCGTGAGCCACCGAGTCCAGCCTAATCCCAACACTTTAAAACAACCAATTAATAGTTCCCCTTTTTTCTCTATTCTCATATTTGTCTTGTAGCTACAAATGAACTATATGCCATTTTACATCATCTCGTTCTTTTTTGCTTGACATATCATAAATATTTTTATGGATTACAATAGTCTTTATAACCATCTTTTAAGATTTTATTATAGCAAAAAGTTAAAAACAAAATAACCTCAATCACTACAGACAATATAAAAATGTTTCAAAAGTTTCTTGTCTCCAACTTACTTAGTCCTATTCCTGTCCTGCATAATTTCCAGAAGGCTTTTATAAATCTATAGTATACACACCTTTCTAATGTTAACACACACATAGAATCATGTTGACTTTGTTTTCCATCTTACTTTTTTAGTTGGTATCTCTTGGCTGTCTTTTTTTTTTTTTTGAGACAGAGTCTTGCTCTGTCGCCGAGACTGGAGTGCAGCAGCGTTATCTCAGCTCACCGCAACCTCTGCCTCCCACGTTCAAGTGATTCTTCTGCCTCACTCTCCCGAATAGCTGGGATTACAGGTGCACCCCACCATGCCCACCTAATATTTGTATTTTTAGTGGAGACGAGGTTATGCCATGTTGACCAGGCTGGTCTTGAACTCCTGACCTTAGGTGATTCACCCACCTTGGCCTCTCAAAGTGCTAGGATTACAGGCTTGAGCCACTGCACCCTGCCCTATCATTCCATATTAATTATGCATAGCTCTATTTCCTAAACATCATTTCTGGCTACATACTATTCTGAGTGAATAATTCACTAATATTGTTCTCTATATTTTGGACAGTTAGGTTTTTCCACAATTTTGCTATGAAAAATAATGCTACAAGGAACCTCTTCAGGAATACTGATTTTTTTCCCATATTATGGGTATTTCCTTGAGCTAGATTCTTAAAAATAGGAGTAATAAATCAGAGAGAGCAAATGTAATTACATAAACACCAACTGACAAACTGCTGTTCAAAAACATGTCCACTGGCAACGTACTTTACCCTTACAATATTGATTTTCACAACTGTTAATTATCAAACTTTTTTATAATTTAAAGGTAAAAAAATTATCTCTTTTCTATCTGCATTTCCTGGATTTATAAAGCTGAATGCTGTTTTTAAAAATCATTCCATTTCTCATTTTATAAACTGCCTGTTAACATACAAGATGTTCTTCAATCATCAAAAAAACCTAACCTAACTTGTTTGCTATTTTTCTTTGTTGGTGCCAACTAGGTCAAGTCATTCTTACTGACACACCTACTCTACGCACAGAGCTCCCTTTATAGAGCAACCAGAAACAGAAATGGCGCTACAGGCCAGGTGTGGTGGCTCACGCCTGTAATCCCAGCACTTTGGGAGGCTCAAGAGGGTGGATCACTTGAGGTCAGGAGTTCAAGACCAGCCTGGCCAACATGGTGAAACCTCGCCTCTACTAAAAATACAAAAATTAGCTGGGTGTGGTGGTGGGCGCCTGTCATCCCAGCTACTCGGGAGGCTGAGGCAGGAGAATCACTTGAACCTGGGAGGCAGAGGATGCAGTGAGCCGGGATCGTGCCACTGCACTTAAGCCTGGGCGACAAAGCTAGACTCTACTAAAAAAAAAAAAAAAAAAAAAAAAAGAAGAAGAAAGAAAGAAGAGAAGAGAAGAGAAAAGGCGCTCCAGTACCTACTTTTTAGCTAAGGTGACAGAGCAAGCAACCAGCCTAGAAAGCAAACTCTAAAACAGCAGCATTTTTGCAAGTGCAAATCAATTCTAGGTAAGTTCTAAATAAATAAACAGAATTAAACAAAGGCAGTTTCTTCAAAGAGAATTTTGAGCCAGACAATGAAAGTGTTAAATACATCCTGTAACAAAACTCTTTGCACCCCCCAGTCACCCCCAGACTAGATGAGTGGTTCCTGCCTGCCTACCTGGTTCAATGAGAAGACAATTAGACAGGCAGCCCCAGGACAGTCTACAGGGAGCCTTGCACTAAGAGATAGGCCCACACCAGAGGAACCTGACCCACAGGGGTGGGGAAGATTGGCCATCACAGGTCTCCGAGGCCAATTTAAGGAGTTTGAAAATGGAAAGTGGTATCATCAGACCTGAACTATAGAAAAAAATTTGGCTGCAGAGAAAAGACTGCATTGGGTGGACTGAAGGGAGTTAACTGAAAGACCAGGTGGGACCAAATGCAACCCAAGACAGAGAAGATGGAGCATTTACCTGGGAGAGTGGTGGTAAGAATGGAGATCAGGGGGCATTATCAGAGACAGAACAGTCATGACTTGGTAACCATCCAGATACAGGGGTGGAGGGAAGAGGGAGCCACACGGACTCCCATGCTTTTTTATTTTGGTCTGGGAACCCGGGAGGGTGGATGCGGGTATGAGTCACTGAACCAAAGGGCACAGTAGGAGCGGGCAGCGAGAGGTCATTGGAGGATACAAGGTTAAGTCCCACTTTGGACCTGGGAGACAGGCAAGTGGAGACATCAGCACTGGACAGGTCCTGGAGATGAAAATTTTGGAAGGTCTCGCCTCTCAGAGAACCAGGAAGAACAATACTACTTAATAATGGACCACACAAGACCTGCCAGCAAAAGACAGTGCAAGGAGGAAAACCAAGAGCGTGTGGGGTCCAGGAAGCTGAGGTATGTCTCGGGTCCAGTAAAACAGGGACTGGAGTGGCTGTAATGATCCCATCTTCTTTCCACTGAACAGGCAAGACCCCCGGGAGAGGCAATCTTCCAGCTCCTCCTCCATGTTAGCTTGTACATGAGCCCTCCAAGCTTGGACAATGACAGCTACAGAGCCAAGCAGGAGGAGGGCAGGGACCCTGGAAAAACAGGAGGAAGCAACTCGAGCCAACAAGATATCACACCTGAACACCAAAAAACAGCTGCCAAGAGAAAACTGACCAAGCCCCACACGCCACACAGGAAATGCCTGGACAAATGGTGCCTCTAACCCTTGGCTTCACAGGCTTATGCTGTTGCACCCAGACCTGTCACTGTCCCAAGCACTCAGCCAGACATGTAACAAAGGCATTTTTATGTATTCTTTTTGGCAGCCCTTTGAGGAAGTGTCAGCATCTCCAAATGGCCTTGCCTGGCAAAATGTGCCGGTTTATACAAGGTGTTCAATATACAGGCACTAAATTACCTGACTGGACAAATAAGGCATCAACCTCAAAAAGAACTCAGCAAGGGTCACCCAGTTCACAAGTGCTGGATTCAGGATTCAGTCTCAAATTCAGCTGGCAACTCGGCAGCACCTCAGAGAAAACAGGGGACCCCAGGACTGCTTCCCCCACCTCCTGCCAGCTCCCAGCTGTGAGTTCCATTTCTTCTCTCTCCTCAATACACTCATGTACCCTCAAGGATCCCTGGAGCCCCTCCCTATTCCCCAAGAAATCTCACTAGAATGGGGGTCCTAACCTAGGCCCACAGATAGATTTCAGGATGGCCATAAATCCCCTTTAAACACTACAAGCATTTTTCCTGGGAAAAGTAACCATAGCACTTTTCGGATTTCATTTTCTTATTCTTCTCAAGGAGAATCACTACCTGGGCTTAAAGGGAGGAGGGGATGTGATTTGCCCTTTACCCCCATACCTGACACAGTGCTTAGACTCACAGGTGATTGACAAAGGCTGACTGGATGCTGAATGACCCAAAGGATAAATGGTTAGGGAGAAATAGATACTTCCCGACCACCCTATCCCTTTCTGAAGGAAAAGAGTGGCTCTTAGAAAGTAAGTCCCTTAAGGACTGGGTGATTCCAACACTTTTTTGTGGCGTGATCTTGGCTCACCGCAACCTCCATCACCTGGGCTCAAGCGATCCTCCCACCTCAGCCTCCCAAGTAGCTGGGACTATAGGTGCGCACCACCAAACCCACCTAATTTTTGTATTTGGCAGAGATGCGGTTTCCCCAGGTTAGTCTTGTCTCAAAGCTGGTCTCCAACTCCCAACCTCAGGCAATCTGCCCACCTCGGCCTCCCAAAGTGCTGGGATTACAGGCGTGAGCCACCGCGCCCAGCCAACAATTTTTTTAAGAAACAGTGTTTCTTTAAGAAACTTGGCTGGGCACAGTAGCTCACGCCTGTAATCCCAGCACTTTGGCAGGCCGAGGTGGGCAGATCGCCTGAGGTTGGGAGTTCGAGACCAGCCTGACCAACACGGAGAAACCCTGTCTCTATTAAAAATACAAAATTAGCTGGGCGTGGTGGCACATGCCTGTAATCCCAGCTACTCGGAAGGCTGAGGCAGAATTGCTTGAACTCGGGAGATGGTGTTTGCAGTAAGCCAAGATCACATCGTTGCACTCCAGCCTGGGCAACAAGAGGGAAACTCCATCTCAAAAAATAAATAAATAAAAACAAAAAATAAATAAATAAATTTTTAAAAGGCCTAGATTTTAAGTGATATTAAGGAATTACTAATGTTGTTAGGTATGATACTGGCATCGTGGTTATGTTCAGAATGTCCTTATTTTCTTTTTTTTTTTTTTTTGGTTGAGACAAGACAGGGTCGCACTCTGTCACCAAGGCTGGGTGCACTAGTGTCATCTCAGCTCACTGCAACCTCAACCTCCTGAGCTCAAAGGATCCTCCTGCTTCAGCTTCCCAAGTAGCTGGGACTACAAGTATGTGCCACCACATGCCTGGCTAATTTTTTTTTTTTTTTCTTTTGTAGAGACAGGGTCTCCCTATGTTGCCCAGGCTGGTCTGGAACTCCTGGGCTCAAGTAATCCTTCCAACTCCCAAAGTGCTCAGATTACAGGTGTGAGCCATGGCACCCAGCCAGAATGTCCTTATTTTTCTTAGAGGTACACACAGAAGAATTTAGGTTTGAAATGACAAGAAATCAGAGATTTACTTTAAAATCTTAGAGCCACAAAAAAAGGAGGAGGGAGATAAGCAAAGCAGGTGTTGAAAAATGTTAATCATTGCTCAATCTGGGAGATGGGCACAGGGGTTCATATTATTCCCCATTTTTGAATTTTTGAAAACTTACATAGTTAAAAAACAGCTCATTTGTACAATGGTTGCAAAATTTACCATACATAGTTTTAACGGTCATTGCCTAAACAGTCACAAGATTTGCTTTCCTTTTTTTTTTTTTTTTGTTTGGTTGGTTTTTTTTGAGACGGAGTCTCACTGTCACCCAGGCTGGAGTGCAGTGGTGCAATCTCGACTCACTACAACCTCTGCCTCCTGGGTTCAAGTGATTCTCCTGCCTCAGCCTCCCAAGTAGCTGGGACTACAGACGCGCGCCAACACACCTGGCTTATTTTTTATATTTTTAGTAGAGACGGGGTTTCACCATATTGGCCAGGCTGGTCTCAAACTCCTGACCTCGTGATCCGCCCGTCGCGGCCTCCCAAAGTGCTGGGATTACAGGCATGACCCACCGCGCCCGGCCCAAGATCTGCTTTCTTAAAAATAAGAATCCATAGCCCCTGCTACTTAGAACAGCAAAGTTTTCAGGAAAATTGAGCAATATCCATAAGGCTCCCTCACCCATCACTCCAACCCCTCCCCAACCTTCAGGATGTACACAGAGAACCAGGCACCCAGTACCATAAAAAGTGAAGGTGTACATCAATTATAACAAATGTACCACACTAATGCAAGATGGTAATACAGTCACGCACCATAACGATGTTTCAGTCAATGACACACTGCATATACAATGGTCCCTTAAGATTATAATGGAACAGGAACTCATAGCTGAAGAAGAGGCAAGAGAAAAGGTAGCCACAGAAAGAAAAGAACATCCAAGAAAATTCACAGTGAAGGGTTCAGCAGCTTTTACAGACCTCAAGTTCCTTAAAAAGTCTGAAACATGAACTCCAACGCCAAAAGGTTTTCATTACTAGAGAAGAATGTTTATGGTACATTATCTGTTTACAAGCAAACCTATGACAAAAAAAAAGAAACCAAGCAAACCACAATGGACATATTTCTGATAAGAGTGACACCTCAAGAGCCTCAGAGAGGTCCTTCAGAAGATATCCAGAAGAAAGCACTGTTATCGCAGATGACAGTTCCATGCATATGACTGCCCCCTAAAGACCTTCTAATGGGACATGGTGTGAAGGCAGAAGACAGTGATATCAATTACCTGACCCGACCTTATGTAGGCCTGGGCTAGTAGGTGTTTGTGTCTTCATTTTTAACAAAAGTTAAAAAAAAAAATTTTTTTTAAGGTAGGGCACTGTGGCTCACGCCTGTAATCCCAGCACTCTGGGAGGCCAAGGCGGGCGTATCATGAGGTCAGGAGTTCGAGACCAGTCTGGCCAACATGGTGAAACCCCATCTCTACCAAAGATACAAAAAATTAGCCGGGCGTGGTGGTGCACACCTGTAATTTTTTTTAATAGAAAAAAGCTGCCTGTAATCCCAGCATGTTGCAAGGCCAAGGAGGGCAGATCACGAGGTTAGGAGATCGAGACCATCTTGGCTAACACAGTGAAACCCCATCTCTACTAAAAATCCAAAAAATTAGCCAGGCGTGGTGGCAGGCACCTATACTCCCAGTTACTCCGGAGGCTGAGGCAGGAGAATGATGTGAACCCAGGAGGCAGAGCTTGCAGTGAGCCGAGACCACGCCACTCCACTCCAGCCTGGGCAACAGAGCGAGCGAGACTCCGTCTCAAAAAAAAAAAAAAAGCTGGCTGGGCACGGTGGCTCATGCTTCTAATCCCAATACTTTGGGAAACCAAGGCAGGCGGATCATGAGGTCAGGAGTTCGAGACCAGCCTGGCCAACACAGTGAAACCCCGTCTCTACTAAAAATACAAAAATTAGCTGGGCGTGGTGGCAGGCGCCTGTAATCCCACGTACTTGGGAGGCTGAGGCAGGCGAATCACTTGAACCTGGGAGGCAGAGGTTGCAGTGGACCGAGATGGCGCCACTGCACTCCAGCCCGGGCAACAGAGCTAGACACCGTCTCACACACATACACACACACACACACACACACACACACAAAAGAAAAAAGCTATGGAACAATGATATAAATGAAGATATATTTAGTACAGCTGTACAATGTGTTGTGTTTTAAACTAAGTGCTATTACAAAAGAGTAAAAAATTTTAAAAATTAAAAACTTGGTAAAGCAAGAAAGTTAAACTAAGGTTAATTTTCTTTTTTTTTTTTTTTGATAAGAGTCAGGATCTGTTGCCCGGGCTGGAGTGCAATGGCCCGATCTCCGCTCACCGCAACCTCCCTCCCAGGTTCAAGGGCTTCTCCTGCCTCAGCCTCCCGAGTAGCTGGGATTACAAGTAATAGATCCATTACATAGATGGGGAAACTGAGCTTGGAAAGCTATGTAAATTGCCTTAAGTGAAGCCGCTAACAGACTGCACAGGATTCAATTCTAAAGCTCGTGCTCAAACTCTGTCATCCTGCATTCTTCTTTTTCTGCTCTACCGGAAGAGTCACTTGGAGACATTTCGGGACTCTGCAGAGATGCTAGAGCCAATACAACAGTTATAAATAAGGGCGATATTTCCTTATATTTATATCCTGACAGTTTGTAAGTCCTTTTATCAACATATTCTAATTTCAAACTTCCACCTTGGTCACGTCTAGCTATGTGACACTGGCCAAGTCACTCAGCTGCTTTGAACCTTAGCTGCTCCATATTTAAAAATCATAAAAATAATACAGCTGTTAAGAGCTTAGACTCTGGCACCAGACTACCTGAGTTCCAGATTCTGCCACTTACCAGCTGTGTGCCCTTGGGTAAGCTGCTTAACCTCTCTGTGCCTCTGCTCCATCTATAAAATGGGAAGACTAATAATAGTACTTTCCTCGGAGTTGTTATAAAGATTATACGAATAACTGTGAAGTACTTAGAATAGTGCCTGGCACAAAGTAAGCACTATGTGTTTTTTTCATGCAAGTAATTTGGCCGGGTGCACTGGCTCATGCCTGTAATCTCACCACTCTGGGAGGCCAAGATGTGAGGATCATCTGAGGTCAAAAGTTCGAGACCAGCCTGGCCAACATGGTGAAACCCTGTCTCTACTAAAAATACAAAAATTAGCCGGATGTGGTGGCGGGTGCCTGTAATCCCAGCTACTCGGGAGGCTGAGACAGAAGAATCGCTTGAACCCGGGAGGCGGAGGTTGCAGTGAGCAGAGATTGCGCCACTGCACTCCAACCTGGTGACAGAGATGCCGTCTAAAAAAAAAAAATGCAAGGATTACTGTGAAATCCGTATGTTAATGTAAAATATTACTTGTGCGTTTAGAAGACAAAGTGATTCCTTTTTCCAGAAAAGGCAAAACGGCCCAAGGGAGCGTGAGAGCCGTGGATCTGACCAACCTGGTTTAGTGTCCTGTGCCGTCTCCCAGCTGCAGGACCTGAGAAAACGTACTTGAAAACTCGTCAAGCTTCGGCTTCCTGACCACACAAGGTCACACCTTCTCAGAAGTTGCGGGGAGGCTCACACATCACTACCGCGCCGGGCACACAGCAGGCGCCGGCTCCAGCCCTCCTGCTCCCGCCCGCGGAGCCTCCAGCGCTCAGTCGAGGTCACAGCGAGCTGAACTGAACCCAAGGCCCGCACCAAACCCACAGGCACTTGGGGGCGGAGCACCCGCAGGCGCGGCTCCCGGCGCGCGGCCCAGTTTCCTCCACATGCAGATGAAAATCACGACCCAAACGTCCTCATGGTGGAAATCAGAAGACGCGCAGGGAAAACAGGGACGCGGAAACTGCCGGGAAGCGCAGGGGCTGACAAGCAGCCTGGCCCAGGCCGTCCCACGAGCGCTCTCCCGCGGGAGTAGCGTTTCCGAGGCCGCCAGCGAGTCAGAGGAAGGCAGGGCGCATCCGCCCTCCAGCAAGAACGCGATGCACTCGGGCGCGACGACGGTCCAGGCAGTTCCCAGGAGGCTGGGATACCAGCCCGGCCGCCCCTCCTTCCCCGCGGCTCCCCGCCCCGCCTCCGGCCCTGAGTGGCGAGTGGCTCGGCCAGAACCCGGACGTCCTCACCTGAGCGGGGCCCACAGCATAGCACCTGCGGGCGGGGCGGCCCTGGAGCCCCGCAGCCGCGCGCGCCGCCCGCCAGCAAAGCCCACGCGCCGCGCCGAGCGCAGCCACACAGCCCCACGCAGCCATCCGGCCGTCGCCGTGCGCACGTGCACGGCGTGCGGCCCCCCCCCCCCGCGAGTCCGTCCGCTGCACAGCCAATCAGCGGTCGGCGCGCGCGGCATCACGGGAGTTGTAGTCCTGTAAGCGCGCGGAGCCCGTCGGGCGCCTATGGAACTCGACCCGCAGGCCAAAGGGGCTCCGTTGCAAGGAAGAAGTGCGGGGTCCCGCCGCCTCCTAGACCGAGATCGCGGTGAGCTGGCCGCGGCGCACAATGGGCACGGCCTGGGCGGCGGCGTCCGTACTATCGCCCTGTGCCTGCGGATCCCGGTAACATTGCGCGGCAGGCCCCAGGCCGGCCTCCCTCAGCTTCGCGGACTGTCTGGGCCGGGGGTCTCAACCTTGACTTCAGGGCCGGGCCGCTGGGGCAGACCCTTAGTGATGTTCAGGTCCTCTGGGCCCCTGCCAGTCAAGGGACGCTCGTCGCGCGCCAATTGTTAAGTCTTTCATTGTTTCTGTAAACCTGCTGACGCCCTCCCAGCGCATAGGGAGACTGCGCACGTGAGTCCGCCCCCGCGCGCACTGCGGAGAGGTAGAGGCACGAATGTAGTACAAGGTACAAAATGACTACTCCAGAGAGGGCCAGATGACTAAGTCAGCAAACACTTAGGGAACACGACTGTGTCCGCTGCGCGTTTCCCGGAGTAGACACAAGGGTGAATGAACAAAGAATGGATTTCGGTCACTGAAAGTGGAGAGGTAGCCGACTCCGTCCGTGGAGGCCCTTAGCAGAGCTGGATCTGGTAGTCCCCCGGTCATGAGGGGAGATTCTGCTGGAGGAAAGAGGTCTCCATTCCCACCGTTTGAAATGTGTAGGATGCCCTCAGATTCTTTGGCCCATTCATAGGTATAGCTATGCTAAAAACGCGGGACCCTACAATGTACTTAGCACTAGCAGAGAGGGAGTCGAGGATATGGACAGAGACTGCACTAGCTCACACATTAGCAGGCCAGGGTGCGGTGGCTCACCCCTGTAATCCCAGAACTTTGGAAGGTCAAGGTGGGAGGAAAACTTGAGTCCAGGAGTTCCAGACCAGCCTGGGCAACATAGGGAGACCCCTTCTCTATTTTAAAAATAATAAAATAGGGCCGGGTGCGGTGGCTCACACCTGTAATCCCAGCACTTTGGGAGACTGAGGCGAGTGGATCAGGAGGTCAGGGGTTCAAGACCACCTAGCCAAGATGGTGAAACCCCGTCTCTGCTGAAAACTGCAAAAATTAGCCAGGCGCGGTGGCAGGCGCCTCAAGTCCCAGCTACTCGGGAGGCTGAGGCAGGAGAATCGCTTGAACCCAGGCAGCAGAAGTTGCAGTGAGCCGAGATTGCGCCAATGCACTCCAGCCTGGGTGACGGAGTGAGACTCCGTCTTGAAAAAAAAAAAAATAATAATAATAATAATAAAATGAAGAAGTAGTTAGCGGTGTCCTTTGGTCCTCAGCTTTGAAGGGCAAGATCTTAATTCAGTTCAACTACAGCTAATCAGAATTTGGAAGACTAATTCAAGTCAGTCAAACTCACAATAGCCCGACACTTAAACCCTGCCAGGGGACATAGCTCTCTAGGATTGCAATGTTCCTAATCCCTTCCTTCTATTAAACTACCTAGAAACTGATTTAGTCATTAGAAATTTCTTGGTATGATGGCTTTTAAACATGCCCACAGTTTTTTTTGACAATCGGCTCCTCAAAAGCATAGCCAGGCGCGGTGGCTCACACCTGTAATCCCAGCACTTTGGGAGGCCAAGTCAGGCGGATCATCTGAGATCAGGAGTTCAAGACCAGCCTGGCCAACATGGCGAAACCCGTCTCTACTAAAAATACAAAAATTAGCTCGTCATGCACCTGTAATCCCAGCTACTTGGGAAGCTGAGGCAGGAGAATCGCTTGAACCTGGGAGGTGGAGGTTGCAGTGAGCTGAGAGCGTGCCACTGTACTCGAGCCTGGGCAACAGAGTGAGACTCTATCTCAAAAAAAAAAAAAAAAGAAAGAAGAAAAAAAGGCCGGTCACAGTGGCTCATGCCTGTAATCCCAGCACTTTGGGAGGCCGAGGTAGGTGGATCATCTGAGGTCAGGAGTTCGTGACCAGCCTGGCCAACATGGTGAAACTCTGTCTCTACTAAAAATACAAAAATTAGCCAGGCATGGTGGTGTGTGCCTGTAATCCCAGCTACTTGGGAGGCTGAGGCAGGAGAATCACTTGAACCTGGGAAGCAGAGGTTGCAGAGAGCTGAGCTGAGATTGAGCCACTGCACTCCAGCCTGAGCGACAGAGCGGAACTATGTCTCCAAAAAAAAAAAAAGCTGGAGTTGGGTGGGTATGGTGGTTCATGCCTGTAATCCCAACACTTGGGAAGCCGAGGCAGGTGGATCACTTGAGTCCAGGAATGCCAGACCAGCCTGGGCAACGTGACAAAACCTTGTCTCCACAAAATATATATATAAAAAAAAAATTAGCCAGGCATAGTGACACACACCTGTAGTCCCAGCTATTCTAGGAGGCTAAGGTGGGAGGATCGCTTGAGCTCAGGAGGCAGAGGTTGCAGTGAGCCAAGATTGTGCCACTACAGCCTGAGCAACAGAGTGAGACTCTGTCTCAAAAAAAAAAAAAGAAAAAAAAAAAACCTGGAGTCTAATTCTAATTCCCCTCCCATTGAGTGTGGGCTGGACTTCACTGACTTTTTAATAAATAACATGGGACAGAAGTGAGTGTAGTTGATTTCCAAGGCTAGGTCATAAAAGATACTGTGACTTCCACCTTGCCCTCATTTAGATAACTCATTCTAGGAAAGCTAGACGCATAGTAGAGTTGTCATGTGGTGAGGCCATTCAAGCAGCCCTATAGAAAGGCCCACATGGTGAGGATCTGAGGCATCCTACCAGTAGTCAGGAGAGAGAATCTTCTTGGAGGTGGAGCTTCCATTCCTGGCGGAACCCTTGACCAAAACCTCATGAACCACCCTGAGGCAAAACCACCCAGCTAAGTCACTCCTGAATTCCTAACCCTCAGAAACAGGGAGATACTGAAGGTTTGTTGTTTTAAGTCATTACACTTTGGGATAATTCGTTATACAGCAAAAGATAACTAATATTCTTGGTGATCAGGACTGTGTCATACTTAGTGTTATTAATCTTCAGGAGTTTCAGCCTAAGTCAGCAGTGTTCCCCACATGGGCCTGCCTTGCTTTCATTCTTCCTCCATTGTGGACTGAATGCCATAAGACCATTCCAGCCCATCCAAAGCAGGAACCAGAAATGGGCTGGGTTTTGCTGTTGTTTTAGTTGGTTTGGTTTGTTTGTCTGTTTGTTTCGGGGAAAGATGACAGAAGGTGCACTGTGGGAGATTCCAACATGATTATTGAATCAAAGACTGTGTGTGTACGTGATAAGTCTTTATTAGATTCTCTGGGTTCATAAGCCAGTAAAAGGTAAGAACCATCCTCTAAGGAGAAATCTCACAGCTAAGGCTTGCCATGTTAAAGAGTTTGCACTTCCAGGAACAAGGGCACTCACGTCTACCCTGTGCTATTCTAGGTGTCTTCCCATCCTGCCGGATGCACGGAGCACATATTCTGCCACCCCTAGCTCTATCCTTTGGGCAGTGCTGAATAAACACTAACAAACTCAGGCTCTGTGGCTGACATTGTAAGCAGAACCCCTGCCCTGCTGTTGCTTAACGCATCTTTATTTTGATTCCCAGTCATGTTACGACACAATCACATTAAGATGTTCTTTCGTATTCAGGTTCAGAATATTTGCTCTGCTCACTTGATTGAATTTGGAGACTTCCCAAATCTTTATATGAGCACGTCTTCTGAGTTTATCCAGATTATGTTTTGTACCGTCTGTTGTACAAATGGACCGTGGATGTTAATTAGAAGGGCCTCGCCAGTCTTCAATCACATGTTACTCGTGGGGTTTGTTAAATCAGCTTTTGTCTCAGAGAGGGCTTCGGTGCTTGGATTACACTATATTTGGAATTTGTAGCCTTCTATGCGCTGACTTGCCCCACCTTGCTACCTGGCTTCAGAGGTCCAGGATTCTCTAACTTGAGCATCCATCAGAATCACCTGGAGGTCTCCTAAAAACCCAGATTGATGGCGCTCCCTTTGGAGTTTGGATGTGCATATCTGATCAGCTCCCCAGGATGCTCATGCTGCTGACCCACTTTAGGAAGCTCTCCTTTAGGAGTTAGCATGTCTCTGAGCAGACGCTGGACCAGTATGTTCTGGAGACCATACACTTCCCATCCCAGAACAGATGCTGCTCCCTGTTCTCTATCCCCAGCCCCCAGCCACACCTATATGACCACAGTTCTGTTCAACTGGTGCCCCAGCACTGATATCTGTGGGCCCTGCTCATCTCAAGTGAGCCACATTTTTCTCCCAGGCCTGCCTTGCTTTCGGTCATCCTCAGTTGTGGCCCAAACCCCATAAAACAGCAGCCATTCCTGGCAGGAATCCGAGGTGAGCCAGTTCTTTTCAGGAAAGGTAGCAGAACAGAAGATACACTGTGGGAAGTTCCGGCCTCACACGTGTACAAGCTCGATGCCCTGGACTCTAAGCTGCTTGAGGGCAGTGTCTCTCTGATTCACCTGTCTCCCTCACAGTCCTGTCATGCAGGATGCCTTGCACATGATGGGTGCTCAGTTTACATTAATAGGCAGGTGAGGCCAGGCACGGTGGCCTGTAATCCCAGCACTTTGGGAGGTGGAGGCGGGCAGATCACCTGAGGTCAGGAGTTCGAGACCAGCCTGGCCAACAAGGTGAAACCACGTCTCTACTAAAAATCCGAAAATTAGCTGGGCATGGTGGCACGCATCTGTAATCCCAGCTACTCGGTAGTCCGAGGCTGGGGAATCGCTTGAATCCGGGAGATGGAGGTTGCAGTGAGCTGAGACCGTGCCACTGCACTCCAGCCTAGGCGACAGAGTGAGACTCCATCTCAGAAAAAAAAAAAAAAAAAAAAAAGCAATAGGTGAATGACTGTTCATACTCCTACTTTCTCCACAAACTTGCACAAATGTGTCTGCATCTAGATGTCTGTAAACCTGCTAACACCCACACACATTTTCTATTAGTTAGGATTAGGTTTGGCTGTAAGACACAGAAACCTCCAAAGAGCAGTGGCTTAGATAAGAAAGAAATGTGTTTCTCTCACATAAACGAAGTAGTTGGGAGAGAACAACACAGCCTTGGTATTGTGGTTCCACAAACTTGTTAGGTACCCAGGCTCCTATTTTGCTCCCTCACGGCCTTCACTGCACAGCTGCCACTTCATGGTCTAAGATAGCTGCTCAGGCTCCAGCCCTTATGTTCACATTCCAGCCACCAGGAAAGAGACAAAAAGGGGTATCCCATTTCCCTACAGGTGCACTTCCAAGGAGTCTCTTATACCACTTCTGCTTACACCTCATTGGCCAAAACTTAACCACATGGTCATGCCTAGCAGCAAAGAAGGCTAGAAAATATAGCCTTATGACTGGCTAAAAGTCATGGTTGCTTTTCCACATGAGAAGGAATAAAGGATAAAAGGAGGGAAACTGGCATATCCTACCTCACACCAGTAGGAGGCAGACGAAAGAAAAGAGAAGTTGGTTCCCAGTACAGGAATGGCAGGGAAGCTGTGGCTGGAAGAACAGGGGTGGAGGATGGCCAACAGGCCACAGAGAGATGGGCAGGTCCCCCTGGCTGGGGTCAGGAAGGGCTTGCAGGAGGGTTTACTGCTCACTGTCTCTCTCTCTTTCTATCTCTCTCCATCTCTCTCATCACACACATACACACTCAGTCTTGCTGAGGGAGAATTCTGAGAAGGTGGAGTTCTCTGTAGGGAAGGGATACATATTTCCTACTAGTCATGTTTCCCTGAAAATGGGACTTCTGTTAATAATACTCCTGGCCTCTCTCTACCTGGGGAAGAGGAAACGTGAGTTACCTGAGAGAAGCTGGGAAGAAAGAACCAAGCATACATGATTTAGTCCCCTCTCCTCTTTAGGAGCCAGCTGGTCCACCAGAAGTCTGTGTTCTGCCTGTCCCTGCAGCACGGAGGGCTGGGCTTTATACCTGTGCCAAGGACACCAACGGCAGCATCAGCAAGTCCGTGTTGTCTCCCAAATAAGTGGTGTTCTCCAACAAGCTTTTAGCAGTAATAAAGCTGACATTTTTATTCTCATATGTCCCTTGTCTCTTTTTCAATGATTTAGATTTAAGCAGGAAAGCCTGGGTTCCTTTTGTGTGTGTGTGACAGGGTCTCTGTCGCTCAGGATGGAGTGCAGTGGCGCGATCAAAGTTCACTGCAGCCTTGACCTCAAGCAATCCTCCCACCTCAGCCTCCAAGTAGCTGGGATCACAGGCTTGCATCACCATGCCCAGCGAATTTTTTTTTTCTAGACACGGTCTCACTATGTCACTCAGGCTGGTCTAGAACTCCTGGCCTCAAGTAATTCTTCTGCCTCCACCTCCCAAAGTGCTGGGATTACAGGTATGAGCCACCATACCTTGCCTTTTTTTTGACATGGAGTCTGACTCTGTCACCCAGGCTGGAGTGCAGTGGCACGATCTCAACTCACTGCAACCTCCACCTCCTGGGTTCAAGCGATTCTCCTGCCTCAGCCTCCAGAGTAGCTGGGATTACAGACGTGCGCCACCACACCTGGCTAATTTTTGCATTTTTAGTAGAGACAAGTTTTCACCATGGGCTCCAGTTTTACCATGTTGGCCAGGCTGGTCTTGAACACCTGACCTCAAGTGATCCGCCCACCTTGGCCTCCCAAAGTGCTGGGATTACAGGCACGAGCCACTGCACCTGGCCTCTTTTTTTTTTTTTTTTTAAGAGACAAGTTCTCACTGTCGCCCAGGCTGGAGTGCACTGGTGCAATCCTTCCACATTAGTTTCCTGAGTAGCTGGGACTACAGGCACACGCCACTGTGCCAGGCTAATATTTTTTGGAAATGGGGTCTCCTTATGTTGCCCAGGCTGGTCTCAACTCCTGGCCTTAAACAATCCTCCCGCCTTGGCCTCCGAAAGTGATTTATTCCTAAAACTCCAACAGCCTCTTTCCCCACCAGCCCCATACTAGAGACCCCTACTGCACCTTCCCATCCCCCGCAGATGAGCAGAATAACTGGCGCCTCTGTTGTAATGAGAGTTCAGGTGCCCATGCCATCTCGGGACCGTTCCTCCCTGACTCCCCAGGTCCCTTCTGAAGGCAAGAACCACAGGGAGAACAGAGAATGCTAAAAGGTGAGCTCATTCCCTCTGTGGCATCAATACCTGACACTTGGTCCTATCCTGAACATAAACTCTGCACGTGGCAAGGAAGGCAAAGGCAAGGGGCACTATGAGAATGACAAGGCGAAGCGACAGGCAGAGACAGGCCCGAGGGCTCCAGTGGCAAGCTTACACACTGCACGGATTTTGGGACAAGTTCTTTCATGTTATCAAGCCCACCTGTCTCTCCTGCTTAGAAAAAGTCAGGTGCAGGACATGGCCATGTTAATTCTGGGCTGAGGGTAACAAGATTTTGACTCCCAAACTCTCAGGCCCCTTTATGGCTGTGCCCAGGCATTGGGAAAAAGAGGTGATGAATGAGGTGCTTCCAAGGCTTGCCAGAGATATGTGTGCTAGGGCTGCAGTGGACTGGGGCTGGGGTCCTGGTCAGTAAGCTGGGATGGTGACCCAGTCTGAGATGGAATGTGTGGCCCTGATTCATAGGCAGGTGACATTTATAGAAAAGATTAGGCACCTCCCAGGCTGAACACTCTGTCACTGAGCCCATCCACCCTCACCCTCGGCCTCAACGCTCCTTGCCATAGCTGGGGGGCAGGGGTGGAAGGGTGACCTTCCAACATCCTGACCCATGTATAGAAGAAAGTAACTCAGGGAGGCCGGGCACGGTGGCTCACGCCTGTAATCCCAGCACTTTGGGAGGCCGAGGCGGGCAGATCACAAGGTCAGGAGATCGAGACCATCCTGGCTAACACGGTGAAACCCCGTCTCTACTAAAAATACAAAAAATTAGCCGGGCGTGGTGGCAGGCACCTGTAGTCCCAACTACTCGGGAGGCTGAGGCAGGAGAATGGTGTGAACCCGGGAGGTGGAGCTTGCAGTGAGCCGAGGTCGCGCCACTGCACTCCAGCCTGGGCAACAGAGTGAGACTCCGTCTCAACAGAAAAAAAAAAAGGAAAAAGTAACTCAGGGAGCTTCCTGGCCAAACAGACACCGCTCCTCAGCCCAGTGCTCCTGATGGGGTGCTCCCATCCCCAGTCCTGCCCAGCTTCTGCCTTTGCCATGTCCCCCTGTTCCCTTCCTGTGTCAGTACCATCCTCTCCCCGCCCATCGTCACTTGCTCCAGGGAACTCTGGCCCAAAAGAGGCCAGCTGGCCCAAAGCGCCTGAAATGCTGGCAAGGGACAGAGCCCTTGGCACGGTCCCTGTGGAGGGTCAGGCTGGGTCATGGCTCCAAGTGCAGGCAGAGGAGAGAGCACTAGAGATTCAGGCTCTGAGTTGCCCCCAGGGCCAGTTGCGCCAGGCTGGCTCCTTCTGCCCAGTCCACTGTATCCACGTTGAAGACAGGCTGGTTTCTTGTGGGAAAGGGGCAATAAAAAGGAGAGGAGAGGAGGGAATAGGAGAAAGGAGAAGCTAGAAAGAAAGAAAGAAAAGGAAAGGCAAGAGAAGCTTGATCAAGGAAATTTTAAAACCCAACAGAGATGAAGAGGAGGGAGGAAGGAAACATCAGAAACATCAGTAGACAGAGTTCTTTTTCTTTTCTTTTTCTTTCTTTCTTTTTTTTTTTTTTTAGAGACTGGGTCTCCTTCTGTTGCCCAGGCTGGAGTGCAGTCACTCAGTCTCGACTCACTGCAGCCCCGACCTCCTGGGCTCAAGCAATCCTCCTACCTCAGCCTCCCCACCACACCCAGCTAAATTTTGTATTTTTTGGCAGATATGGGGTTTCGACGTGTTGCCCAAGCTGGTCTCAAACTCCTGAGCACAAGCAATCCACCCGCCTTGGCTTCCCAAAGTGCTGGGATTACAAGAGTATGAACCACTGCACCCAGTCTGACAGAGTTCTTTTTTTGTTTGTTTTGTGTTTTGTTTTGTTCTGTTTTTTTTTTGAGACGGAGTCTCACTCTGTTGCCCAGGCTGGAGTGCAATGGCACAATCTCGCCTCAGAGCAACCTCCGCCTCCCGGGTTCAAGTGATTCTCCCCCTTCAGCCTCTGGAGTAGCTGGGATTACAGTCTCCCACCATCATGCCTGGCTAATTTTTGTAGAGATGGGGTTTCACCAAGTTGGCCAAGCTGGTCTTGAACTCCTAACCTCAGGTGATCCACCTGCTTTGGCCTCCCAAACTGCTGGGATTACAGGCTGGAGCCAGCGTGCCTGGCCCCTGACAGAGTTCTAAGCATGTGGGAAGCATGCGAAGTCCACGCAAGTCCCTGGGCTGGGCTGCTAGCCTCCCTGCTTGGTACCTGGTGGCTGTTCCCCAGGAGGGCAGATAGACTCCCTGCTCTCTGCCCTCTTGTCATTGTGAGCTCCCTGGCCCATCCCTAGGCTGCACTGCACTTCCCAGTCAGGGCAGTGCCTGGACCCTCCAAATACAGCTCCTGCCATGGCCTCTTCCGAATCCTAGGGGCAAACGGGGCATTGATGCACTTAGCTCAGCCCTCACACTCTCCTGCCACCGACCCTGAGAAGGGGCAGCTGGCACCAGAGAGTCTCTGAGCTGAACCTGGGCTCATTCTGCAAGATCCTTCCTAGGGAGACTGGCATGCAGGCAAGGGGATCAGCTCCTGAAGGCCCCCAGACTCCCATAGGAGGGGAGGGAACTCCAGGGATAGGCAGAGGGAAGGCTCCTGGGGGAGTCAGTTGCCCTCCAGAGCCCAGGCTTACGGGTGGGCTGAGCAGATGGAGCCACTGCCTGATGCTGTCTCCCCATGCCCTGACTCCAAGTGACCCCACTGGCTGCTGCCCCTGTGGCTCCAGCCATGGATGGGTCCCAGCCTTTGACTGGCTGCACTTCATTGTATTTGATGGTTACTTTTTGGAGTCAACTTGACTGGATTGAGGGACACCTAGATAGCTGGTAAAGCAGTGTCTTGTGAGGCTGCTTCCAGAGGAGACTGGCGTATGAGTTGGTAGGCTGAGTGGGGAAGACGCCCTGTCAATATGGGAGGGTACCATCCAATCAGCTGGGAGCCTCGGTAGGACAAAAAGGCAGAGGAAGGGCAAATTTGCTGTCTCTCTCCTGGAGCTGGGACAGCCTTCTTCTCCTGCCCTTGGACATCAGAAGTCTAAGGGTCTTGACCTTTAGATGCTGGGACTTGCACCAGCAGCCCCCCAGGTTCTCAGGCCTTCAGTCTCAGACTGAGTCACACCTTCAGCTCCCCTGGTTCAGAGGCTTTCAGATTTGAACTGAGCCATGCTCCCAGCAGCCCCAGGTCTCCAGGCGGCCTGTCGTAGGACTTCTCAGGCCTCCATAATCACGTGGAGCCAATTCACCTAATAAATCCCTTCTCATCTATCTGTCTGTCTCCTATCTCTATCTATCTATCTATCTATCTATCTATCTATCTATCTATCTATCTATCTATCTACCTACCTACCTACCTGCATGCTATAGGTTCTGTCTCTCTGGAGAACCCTAATACGGTTGGGATGCAAATTGGAAGGCACACCACCTGTTAAGTAGTCCTGCTGAAAGAATCAATCCTAAATCTTATCAAGACTTGAGATCCAGGCGGGGCGCAGTGGCTCAGGCCTGTAATCCCGGCACTTTGGGAGGCTGAGGCAGGCAGATCACTTGAGGTCAGGAGTTCAAGACCAGCCTGGACAACATGGTGAGACCCCGTCTCTACTAAAATACAAAAATTCGCTGGGCACGTTGGCTCATGCCTATAATCCCAGCACTTTGGGAGGTGGCTGGATCACCTGAGGTCAGGAGTTCGAGACCAGCCTGGCCTACTAAAAATACAAAAATTAGCCGGGCGTGGTGGTGTGCATTTGTAATCCCAGCTACTTGGGAGGCTGAGGCAGGAGAATTGCTTGAACCTGGAAGGCAGAGGTTGCAGTGAGCCAAGATGGTGCCATTGCACTCCAGCCTGGGTGACAAGAGCAAAGACTTCATCTCAAAAAAATAAAAAATAAAAATAAAAAAATTAGGGAGGGCGTGGTGGCTCACGCCTGTAATCCCAGCACTTTGGGAGGCCGAGGTGGGCAGATCATGAGGTCAGGAGTTCAAGACCAGCCTAGTCAACATGGTGAAACCCCGTCCCTACTAAAAATACAAAAATTAGCCAGGTGTGGTGGCGCACACCTGTAATCCCAGCTACTCGGGGGGCTGAGGCAGGATAATTGCTTGAACCCGGGAGGCAGGGGTTGCAGTGAGCCGAGATCGCACCATTGCACTCCATCTGTGGGCGACAGAGCAAGACTCCATCTCGAAAAAAATAATAATACAAAATTAGCCGGGCATGGTGGTGTGCGCCTGTGGTCCAGATGAGGCAGGAGAATAGCCTGAACCCAGGAGGTGGAGGCTGCAGTGAGTTGAGATTGTGCCACTGCACTCCAGTCTGGGGAACAGAGTGAGACCCTGTCTCAAAAAAAAAAAAAAAGAGTTCAGAACAGTGTGGATACTGTGCTGCCTTTTATATGAGAGCAGGAAAAAATATATATATTTGCTTTTGTTTATTTTGCATAAAGAAACACAAGAAACTAAGCCTGGTGGGAGAATGGGTGGGATGGGAAAGAGGACAGTGGAAAACAGAGGTGGATAGAAGCCTTTCGAATGTGTTCCTTTTCATACTTTTTGAATTTTTGAAATGTGATTGTATATAGATTCATTTTAATTTTAAATGTAATTAAAATTTAAAATTCATTACGGCACTACTCTCTCATCCTGTACTATGGGCTCTACCCTTTTTTGTTTGTTTGTTTTTGTTTTGTTTTGAAGAGACAGAGTCTCGCTGTTTTCCCCAGGCTGGTCTAGAACTCCTGGGCTCTAGCGCCCCGCCTGGGCCTCCCAGAATGCGGGACTACAGGCGCCGCCACCACCCGGCGTCTACTCTAAATGCATAGAGGCCAGGATGACCCAAGGTCACCAGCGGCCGATGCTGCCTGGCAGGGGCTTGAGGCCGGGAGGGGACCCTGCGGACAGGCGAGACCATGTGTGATCTGTGGGAAGCAACTAAACCGGCGTATTCGCGGCAGGGGAGCTCTGTGCCGTCCCGCGGCCCCACCCCGCTCTGCCATGGGAAGCCGTAGCTTGGCGCTGCCCACAGTGACGCGAGGGACTCCGAGGGCACCCGGGCCGGGGTGGACACGGGAGTGGGCCCGGGCGCGGCCGGCAGGGGGCAGCAGCGCCGCGCCGCCCGCGCAGTTCCACAGGTGCGCCGAGCCTGGGGCCATCGCCTCCCTCCGGCCGCCGTCCCCAGCGAATCGCCGCCTGCGTTCTGCCGTTTCCCCGCCACCGCAGCCACCCGGGGCCCGGGGGGCCGCAGCCATCCGCAAGCCGCGGGGCGGCGGGACCGGGCGGGCCGCTAGGGACGCCGGACGAAGGGAGCCCGCGGGCGGGGTCTGGGCGCCTACATCCTTGCTCCCAGGGAGGAAGGGACAGGAAACTGAAGCTGTTTCCGGGGCTGACCCCGGCCAGAGAGAGCAGGGCTCGGGAGAGTCGGCGCGTCCCGGAGGCGGCGCCCCCTGGAGGCCGGTGTGCTTTGGCTCTGCAGCGGGGGAGATTAGGGGTGGAGGCCGACCGATCCCACTCAGCCAGGACTGGCAGGCGCCGGGAGCTCACTGGGAGGCAAGTGCCGACCCCCGAAACCCACTCCAGACAAGCGAAGAAAACAGCTCTGTGTCCCAGGACGAGCACATACCTACTGTCACCCACTGTGCGACCTGGAAGAGTTACTGACCCTCTCTGGGCCTTAATCAGTCATCAGAAACACAAACGCGTAGATAAGATGGTCTTTAGGCCTCTCCCAGCTCTGCTATTCTGTGAATCTAAGAAACTCTAGTCCCTCCACCAGTCCCCACCCCGGGCTGGCTTCGCTTCAGGGAGGCCTGGCTGAGCTGGGGCCCTCATCCAAGGTCTTTGCACGGTTCCTCAGCAAAGGTGTTTTGGAAGGCTGGGTCCCACCCCTTCCCGGCGGAGGAAGAGGCTATTGGCTAAAAAGCCTGGACAAATTCAAAACCAGCAGCTCGGCCCCGGTTTTTTCGGAGCACAGCCAAACCCAAATCACACCTCTGCACCTACCTAGCTCCAGAGATCTAGACAGCATTTACAGCCCCCAAATGTTATTTTTACACCCTTTCCAGGCAGGGAAGGACAGAGGAGGGTAAGCTATTTTTAGGATGACTGCTATTTAAAGTAACATACTGGCCTGGCAAGGTGGCTCTGGCCTGTAATCCCAGTGCCTTGGGAGATACAGGCAGGAGAATCACGTGAGGCCATGAGTTCAATACTATCCTGGGCAACAAAAGGAGACCCCCATCTCTATTAAACAGCCGGGCGTGGTGGTGCGCGTCTGTCGTCCCAACTACTGGAGAGGCAGGCTGAGGCGGGAGGGTCCCTTGAGCCCAGGAGTTCAAGATTATAGTGAGCTATGATCACAGCACTGCCCTCCAGGCTGGGCAGTGAGACCCTGTCTCAAAACAATAAATTAAGTAACCTAGACTATGTATGTGAAAATAATATTTCCAACCCTAGCATGCTGACTTCATCTGAGCTTACAGATGCATTTTCATACAGTCCTCCCCAAGGGATCAGTTCCTGTGAGAGCCAAGGATGGCACCACTCATTGAAATCCTGACCATGGGAAGGCGTCATTTGGGATTCCGGAATGGGTGGCTGAAGCAGTTTACAGAATCGCGTTCTGGTGAGCTTTAAGAATGGAACAGGCGCCGGGTGCGGTGGCTCACGGCTGTAATCCCAGCACTTTGGGAGGCCGAGGCAGCCAGATCACTTGAGGTCAGGAGGTCGAGATCAGCCTGGCCAACATGGTGAAGCCCCGACTTTACTAAAAATACAAAAATTAGCCAGGTGTGATGGCGCGTGCCTGTAATCCCAGCTACTAGGGAGGCTGAGGCAGGAGAATCACTTGAACTGGGATGGTGGAGGTTGCAGTGAGCCGAGATCATGCTACTACACTCCAGCCTGGGCGACAGAGTGAGACTCAGTCTCAAAAAAAAAGAAAATAAAAAGAAACAGGGACATCTTCCTGAGGAAGTCTCGGGCTGCTCTTCCTGAAGGTGAGGCTGGTTGCATAGTCTTTCAAGGTCCCTCACAAGCTGAGGCTCCTGTAAGTTTTCTCTTTTCAGCTAGTCTTTTCAAACGAACACACCTCCACCTCGCTTTCCTCCTTCCAAATGAAGAGCTGATCTAGAGCAGGCGCAGATCCAGATTTTGGGGCAGTCCTGAGGTTTATACATATTTGAAGGGTCTTCTTAAGGAAAAAAGAATAAAATCTGACTAACACACATTTCCTCTGAAATGGCAGCTTCGGGAGCACTGCTAAGGTAGCCGAGCCCTCCATTCCAGTGGCCACTTCCAGTCTAACAATTCCACCGTTTTCTCTTCTTTTTTCAACTCTTTCCATTCCAGTGGCCACTTCCAGTCTAACAATTCCATCGTTTTCTCTTCTTTTTTCAACTCTTTCCATTCCAGTGGCCACTTCCAGTCTAACAATTCCATCGTTTTCTCTTCTTTTTTCAACTCTTTCCCTCTTCCTGCCCATTTTTTTTATTTGTTTTGTTTTGGATGCTTGTTTGTTTGTTTTTGAGACAGAGTCTCGCCCAGGCTGGAGTGCAGTGGCATGATCTTGGCTCACTGCAACCTCCGCCTCCTGTGTTTAAGCGATTCTCCTGCCTCAGCCTCTTGAGTAGCTGGGATTACAGGTGCCCACCACCATGTCTGGCTAATTTTTTTTATTTTTAGTAGGGACGGGGTTTCACCATGTTGGCCAGGCTGGTTTCGAACTCTTGACCTCAAGTGATCCACCCGCCTCAGCCTCTCAAAGTGCTAGGATTGCAGGGATGAGCTACCATGCCTGGCCATAATATTCCCATTTTAATATGCATAAATTGTATTTCTGTGTCTACACACACACACACACACACACACACACACTCCAGTAACAATGAGCACATCTAGTGCCTAGATCAGGGCTACTAAATATTATTCTCTACTGAAAGGAACAGAGCTCCCTGGAGAAATGGCTGAGCTCAGGCATGACACAGGGAAAGTACAAAATGAAGGTAGAACATTTTATTGCGTAAGGAAGAATGGCCAGATGCAGTGGTTCACACCTATAATCCCAGCACTTTGGGAGGCTGAGGTGGGCAGATTGCTTGAGCTCAGGAGTTTGAGACCAGCCTGGGCAACATGGCAAAACCCCATCTCTACAAAAAATACAAAAATTAGCCAGACGTGGTGGTACGTGCTTGTAGTCCCAACTACTAGGGAGGGTGAGGTAGGAGGATCTCTTGAGCCTGTGGGGTCAAGGCTGCAATAAGCTGTGATGGTGCCACTGTACTCCAGCCTGGGGGATGGAGCAAGACCCTGTCACAAAAAAAAAAAAAAAAAGGAAAAAGTAAGAAAGTTCTCAATTATAGAACTTTATCAGCAGCCAACTTAACAGGGCTCCCATGGCCAGATCTGGAATAGTGTAAGCATCACAATAAATAGTGCTAGTAATGGATTATAGCTCATTGAATACAACCTGAATCCCTGAGTCGTACAGCTAGAAGGAAAAAAGGGGCCGGGCACAGTGGCTCACGCCTATAATCCCAGCACTTTGGGAGGCCGAGGCGTGCGGATCGCCTGAGGTCAGGAGTTCGAGACCAGCCTGGCCAACATGGTGAAACCCTATCTCTACCAAAAATACAAAAATTAGCTAGGCGTGGTGGTAGGCGCCTGAAGTCTCAGCTACTTGGGAGGCTGACGCAGGAGAATCACTTGAACCTGGGAGGTGGAGGTTGCAGTGAGCCGAGACTGCACCATTGCACTCTAGCTTGGGCAACAAGAGCAAAACTCTGTCTCAAAAAAAAAAAAAAGGAAAAAAGGAAGCTGGGAGGGAAGGAATTGTTCTTCCTTGCAGCAAAATGGCAACTAATATGGAAGAAATGGTAGAATTAGAAAATCACCATTTTGGCCAGGCACAGTGGATCACGCCTATAATCCCAATGCTTTGGGAGGCTGAGGTGAGAGGATTGCTTGAGCCCAGGTGTTTGAGCCATATTGGGCAACATAGTGAGACTTTGTTTGTATCAAAAAAAAAGTTTTAATTAGCTGGTTGCGGTGATGCATACCTGTAGTCCCAGCTACTTGAGACGCTGAGGCTGGAGGATTTCTTGAGCCCAACAGGTCAAAGCTGCAGTGAGTCGTGATCATACCACTGCACTCTAGCCTGGGTGACAGAGCGAGACCCAGAAAAAGAAAAAAAAAAAAAAAAAAAGAAGGAAGGAAGGAAAAAAAAATCACCATTTGATGGTTGTATTTTCCAAAATATTTTCCAACGACTTCTCTTATCCTATATATTCTTTTTTATAATGTGACTTTGACAATCTTCTATCAAAAGTTGGGATCTCTGTCTCCTCCGCTTAAAACCAGGAGGTGTTTTTTGTTACTGTTGGGACCAACGAAGTATGGCAGAAATAATGCCATGTGACTTCCAGAATCTTCCATTTATTCCGTGGAATACTTACCCCAGAAGTTGAGGCCAATGGGAAGAAGCCCAAACTAGCCATAGGAGAGCACCAGCTGAGCCCTGGGGCTGTGCAGAGAGGTGACCCCTGGCGGCCCGTCAGCTCCAGCTCTGCCTCCACTGTGACAAGGACCTCATGAGAGACCCAGAGCAGAACTGTCCAGCTGGGCTCTGCCCAAACCCCTGACCCACAGACACTGGGAGAGATCATAAATTTGTTTGTTTGTTTTGGGTTTGGTTTTGAAATGGAGTTTCACTCTTGTTGTCCAGGCTGGAGTGCAATGGCACCATCTCGGCTCACTGCAACCTCCGCCTCCCGGGTTCAAGCTATTCTCCTGCCTCAGCCTCCCAAGTAGCTAGGATTACAGGCGTGCGCCACCATGCCTGGCTAATCTTGTATTTTTAGTAGAGACGGGGTTTCCCCATGTTGGTCAGGCTGGTCTCAAACTTCTGACCTCAGGTGATCCGCCCGCCTCGGCCTCCCAAAGTGCTGGGATTAAAGATGTGAGCCACCACGCCTGGCCCCATAAATTTTTATTTTTGTTTCAAACCACTACGTTTTGGGATAATTTGCTACACAGCAATAAACGGAACAGCAACCATGATAGTAATAGCAGATTTAGACAAAAGTCCTCAGTGGATGCAAGCACTAATGGGTAAAGTTTTAAGGAGGAGTGAAGACTTTTACATAAAGTGTCTCCTCTCCAAATATGTGTTAATTACTAAGGGAAAAATGGTAACTTCGCAATGGCAAATTCTGGCAGAAATCAACTTAAGCGATCAAAGTCAGTATCATATTGAGACAAATTAACATTGTATGCATCAGTATGCTGGCAAATGTGTAACAGCTGGCTGGTGGGGACATGGATTTGTAACATTTGCTGATTTTTGTGGCACAAAAACTCCCACAAGCCTGGTGTCGTGGCTCATGCCTGTAATCCCAGCACTTTGGGAAGCCGAGGCGGGAGGATGGATTGAGGCCAGGAGTTTGAGACAGGCTAGACAGTATAGCATGATCCCATCTCTACAAAAAGTAAAAAGAAAGAAAACTTAGCCGAGGTGGCGGTGCACGCCTGTAGTCCCAACTACTTTGGATGCTGGGCAGGAGGATTGCTTGAGCCCAGGAGGTAGTGGCTACAATGAACAGCGATCCTGCCACTGCACTCTAGCCTAGGCAATGGAGTGAGACCCCTGTCTCAAAAAAAAAAAAAAAAAAATTCCCATCAAGACCAATTCCAGACTCCTAAAGGTTTAACAACAAGCTGGAAGTATAACACTTGGCCCCATTCATGTGCCCCTGGTGTGTACACTGAGAAGGACAAAGCCTCGCTGCCAAGGTGCTCCTCTCAAAAAGGTATCCCCTGAGCCTCTTCCTAGGGAAACATTAGATGAACCTGAAATGAGGGATAGTCTATGAAGTAACTGGCCTGTACTCTTCAAAAATGAGGTTCCAAAACACAAAGGAAGACTAAGAAGCTATTTCAGACTGAAAGAGACTAGAGAGTTGACAGCTAAATGTAACTTGTGATCCTGGATTGGGTTCTGGACCAAGAACAAAACAAAACAAAGCTCAGCAGGGCCAGAGCCAGATACTAGCGTCTTTTCAATGTTAATACTTTTCTGATTTGATTGGATGTACTGTGGCTCCATAGGAGAATGTCACTGTCTTTAGGAAATGTGCACTGGAGAATCTAGGAATAAAAGGCATAATATCTGCAACTTAGTCTCGAGTGGTTAAAAAAAATAGGATATATAGAGAGAGCAATTAGAAACAGAGAAAGAATGATATATGGAATCAAATGTTGTAAAATGTTAATAACTGGGGGAACCTGGGCAAAGAGAATGTTAGAGGTTTGTGTTGTTGTTGTTGTTATTTTTGTTTGTTTTTTTGAGACAGGGTCTCGCTTTATTGGCCAGGCTGGAGTGGAGTGGTGTGATCTCAGTTCACTACAACCTCCTCTTCCTGGGCTCAAGCAATCCTCCCACCTCAGCCTTCTGAATAGCTAGGACCACAGGCACACCCCACCATGCCCAGCTAATTTTTGTATTTTTAGTAGAGATGAGGTCTGGCCATGTTGCCCAAGCTGGTCTCAAACTCCTGGGCTCAAGCAATCCACTCGCCTCGGCCTCTCAAAGTGCTGGGATGACAGGCGTGACCCCCTGTGCCTGGCCTGGTAAGAGTTTTTTGTACTATTCTTGCAACTTTTTGAAATTATTTCAAAATGATCAGATAAATGCTCCATGGACATTTAGTTCAATAGGACTAGGCCTATGCAATGAGGAATAAAGTCAAGAAGGAAGAACTAACAAGCTTTGTAAGTTGAATTTAAAAGCTTAAAGACTGGATGTGGTGGCTAGTGCCTGTAATCCCAGGTATCCAGGAGGCTGAGGCAGGAGGATAACTTGAGGCCATAGTTTGAGATCAGTTGATCAGCCTGAGCAACATAGTGAGACACTGTCTCCAAAAAAAAAAAAAAAAAAAAAAAAGGCCGGGTGTGGCAGCTCACACCTGTAATCCCAGCACTTTGGGAGGCCGAGGCGGGCAGATCATGAGGTCAGGAGTTCAAGACCAGCCTAGCCAACACAGTGAAACCCCGTCTCTACTAAAAATACAAAAATTAGCCAGGCGTGATGGCAGGTGCCTGTAAACCCAGCTACTCGAGAGGCTGAGGCAGAAGAATTGCTTGAACCCGGGAGGCAGAGGTTGCAGTTAGCCAAGGTCGCGCCACTGCCCTCCAGCCTGGGCAACAGACACTCTGTCTCAAAAAAAAAAAAAAAAAAAAAAAAAGAAGGAAGAACTGGACACAAAGCACAAAGGCAAGACTATTGCTGGTTCATTTTGCCAAATCAGAGATCACAGCAAGTCCAGGCCAGAGGCTGTTTGCGTCTGCCTGTGTTGGAGGTCCCCTGCGCAGTTGGGACCTAAAAGATCTTCAGGGATTGGGTAAGGCACTGAATCACCTGCAGAGTTAGACAGGACCCTAGAGGTTGTCTTCTTCCATCCAGGCACAGCTTATGGTTGCTGTTTTTTCCCAGTTCCAGGAACCAAATGGTGATAAACTAGGAATGGAGAGAGGGCTTGCTGCTGTCTGAGAGCTCAGGTACAGGTCATGGAAGATGGATGAGAGGACATTCGCCTGGGGCTTTTGAGGAATTCTTTGATTCCCTGCCATCCTTGAGTTGGGTGAGGACAGAGGTGGCTTCTTGCATCCTTCTTCCAAGGCCAGGTGAGGAGCTGGACTCTGATCACATGAGGTCTTTTATTTGGGGCGGCTCTGCTCTACTCCCCTCTGCCTTGGCAGCTGGCTGAACAGACACAGTGACAGCCACTCATTCAATGCATTGTTTATTGAGTACTAACTAGCTTTGGGCCCAGGCTCTGGGTTAGCAGCATGCGTGAAACAATCAGAAACAATCATGAGCGCCTGCCCACATGGGGCATACAGTCTGGCAGGGCAAGACTGTAGACACAGAAATAAATATCCGATTATAAGCTGTGATTAGAGGCATGATGGAAAAGAGCAAGGCTTCCTGAGAGAAACAGGGCGAGCACAGGAAAACCTCTCTGAGACAGTGACATGAACTTGAAACTTGAAGGGTAAACAGGAGTGGGCAAGACAAAAGGGGAAAGAAGGAATCTTCCAGGCAGAGAGAAAGAGAAAAGACCCAGGCACGGTATAGAGCCGAGGACATTTGAGGAAGAAAGGGCCGCCGGGGTTGGGGCCCTCTGGGTGACTGGGAGAGGAAGGCGCCGGAATGGATCCAGATTAAATCGGATGCTGTATGCCCTGTGGAGACATGGGGTGTACCTCTAAACGCACTGCGTTGTAAGCAAAGGAGTGACCTGATTTAATTTGATCTTTTAAAAGTCATTCTAGGCCAGGCCGGGTGGCTCACGCCTGTAATCCCAGTGCTTTGGGAGGCCGAGGCGGGTGGACCACGAGGTCAGGTGTTCGAGACCAGCCTGGCCAACATAGTGAAACCCCATCTCTACTAAAAATACAAAAATTATCCGGGCATGGTGGTGCATGCCTGTAATCCCAGCTACTCAGGAGGCTGAGGCACGAGAATCCGCTTGAACCCGGGAGGTGGAGGTTGCAGTGAGCCGAGATCGCACCGCTGCACTCCACCCTGGGCAACAGAGCGAGACTCCATCTCAAACAAAACAAAACAAACAAACAAAATGTCATTCTACACTGTGAAAAATGAGCTGGAGGAGGCAAAGGGAAGAAAGGGGAGATCAGTGAGGAGGCTGTTGTCATAGCTCAGGCAGGAGTATGGTAGCTTGGACTTGGCAACAGCGTGCAGGTAGAGCACCACCGCTGGAGTCTGGATGCGGGATGCATTCTGATGTAGGGAGTGGGGGACCGCGCAGCATCAAGAAGCCACCGCTGGAGTCCAGATGAGGGATGCGTTCTGATGTAGGGAGTGGGGGACGGCGCAGCATCAAGACTTGCACTGAAAATTTCTGCTTTGAGCAACTGCGTGGAATGGATGGAGGTGTCCTTCACCAGCTATGGGAAAGGCCAGGGAAAGGTTTAAAGGGCTGAGTGTGGTGGCTCATGTCAGTAATCCCAGCACTTCGGGAGACTGCGGCAGGAGGATCACTTGAGTTGGAGACCAGCCTGGGCAACATAGCAAGACACTCTTTAGAAAAATTAAAGTAGAGAAAAAGAAAGGTTTAAAGGGAAGAGACTGAGGGTTCAGAATTGTACCTCATCAGTTTCTGAGATTCCTGTGAGCTCTCCAAGTGCATAAATAAATGTGGGAATCATTAACAAATAAATGGTATGAAAAAGCAAAGGAATGGATGAGACCACCCAGGAAAAGTGTACAGAGAGAGAAGAGAAATAAAGAGGAGAGAGTTAAAGAGACCAGAATAGGCCAGGCATGGTGGCTAATGCCTGTAATTCCAGCACTTTGGGAGCCAAGGGGCGAGTGGATCACCTGAGGTCAAGAGTTGGATACCAGCCTCGCCAACATGGTGAAAACCTGTCTCTACTAAAAATGCAAAAATCAGCTGGGTGTGGTGGCACATGCCTATAATTCCAACTACTCGCGAGGCTGATGCAAGAGAATTGCCTGAACCCGGGTGGCGGAGGTTGCACTGAGCTGAGATCGCACCATTGTACTCCAGCCTGGGCAACAAGAGCAAAACTCCATCTCGAAAAAATACAAAAATAAAAAAATAAAGAGACCAGAATAGAAGAGAGCCCAGGACTGAGTCCTGAGGAAACAGCACAGAGATCAGAGAGAGGAGAAGACTCTGAAATAGGGAAACTGGAAGAAATGGCCAGAGACAGGAGAAAACCAAGAGGGTCAATGTCACTGTGGCTGAGAGAGAATATTTCCAGAGGATGAATTTGCTCAGCCAGCCAAGTGCTTCTCACAGGGTCGCTCCATACAGAGGCCATTGATTTCATGGGCACATGGAGCTGATTCAAGAACGAGTGAGAGGAAGTGACAGCGTGTGCAAGAAGACAGCTTGTAGAGGGCTGGCTAGCTTCTCCTCACTTTGTAGCCACATCTGCTATGAACTTATCCCATCTCTTCTTCCAGATTTCCATGAAAGTATTTTTCTCACTCTCCAACAGGGTACTGTACCTGCAGGAAGAGGAGGAGCCCAGGTCAGCCTCAGGGCAGGGGTTGGGGAACGGGGCAGGGAGCCTGAGAGGACATTAGAGCCTTGCAGAGCACTCTCCCCAGGCCAGCAGCAAGGACTAAACAGCCATGATGAGAAGGAACCCACAGGAACCATCGAGGCATCTGCCTCAAGCCTCCAGAGAGGCAAACACAAGCTGCGGGCTGGAAGGAGGCGGGGGACCTGGGAGGACACAGGACACTCACTTGATAGAGTTCATGGCCAGCTGTTTGAGGGTCCTCAGGTCAGCCTTCATCCCCCCAATGCCCATGAAGACCTCATAGAAATCATAGGACAAGCCTTTGGCACCAAACATAGCTGGGTCATCAGAGCTGATCACCATGGGGTGCCCAGTGGCCATCAGAGTGGCTACAGGGTGGTTCCTCAAGTCAGACACCAGTTTCAGCACCTGCGCAATAGGAGGGAAGGGAGAAAGATGAACTCTGATCCCTAAAAAGAGTAGTCACAAGTGAGGTGAGACCTTGAGCCCCATCAGCTCCCTTCATCTTCCCATCACTATCTCCCCAGTATGGGGATGACTTCTGGGCAGAGTCACAAGGAGACATAAGGAACAGAGCCAGTCCTTATGCTCCTCCTCATGTTTCATCAGCACTGCAAACATCGGGTCACTTCTGTTCCTGCTCAGAGAAGCGCTAACTGAACACAGACACAAAGGACCCCAAGAAACCATGGGGAGCAGCATCCCATGGTCCGTCCCACTTCACTGGCCTCCCCCCATGTCCTTTTTGCTTTGTCTACAGTCTTGCCCAAAATTCCACCCCACTGGGGACCCTCACTGCTGCCTCATTCTTATTGGTGGCTTAGGCAAAAGGCCCCTCCTGAATAACTTTACTAACAGGGGTAGGAGAGTGGAGGGATGTAGGTAACAAGAGAGTTAAGGAGAGATAAGTTATACAGCAAAAAGTTTAAGAGAGCAGAGGTTGTGGTTAGGGGAGATCATATGGGATTAGCCACATGGGTCACACATACCTGGTTAGAGATGGGACAGACTTCTATGGGGATGTCCTTTTTCCAGGAGTAAGTCCTGACTGCGGGGTGTTTGCTCAAAGCAAATCCATGGCCGATTCTGGTAGTGTTCAGCATCAGAGCATCCAGAATGTTCCTGTCTATGGAAGTACCCTGCCAGTCTGAACACACGGGAATGGTCTTCCATGGGGGATGGATGGGTCTGGTCTTCCATGGGGGATGGATGGGTCTGACCCACCCGCCCCCCGACCATCCTCAAATAAACAGCCCCCCAAGCACAAAAATGAAGAGAAATTAACATTAACACAAATACACACACACAGTTTCCTTTTAACAATGCTAAAGAGAGGTATGATATGGCTTTATTAAATTAATCATCTAATTTATTAATTTATCATTCTAATGAGAAAGTTGAAACTTAATAGCTTCTATAAATTGACCAAGGATGTTCACACAGTAAGTAGCAAAACCGAGTTTTTTGTTGTTGTTGTTGTTGTTTTTTGAGACACAGTCTTGCTCTGTCGCCAGGCTGGAGTACAGTGGCACGATCTCAGCTCACTGCAACCTCCACCTCCCAGGTTCAAACAATTTTCCTGCCTCAGCCTCCTGAGTAGCTGGGACTACGGGCACACGCCACCACGCCCAGATAATTTTTTGTATTTTTAGTAGAGACAGGGTTTCACCATGTTGGCCAGGATGGTCTTGATTTCTTGACCTCGTGATCCACCTGCCTCAGCCTCCCAAAGTGCTGGGATTACAGGCGTGAGCCGCCGCACCTGGCCTGCAAAACTGAGTTTTAAACCTTCGTCTCTCTGACCCCACAGTCCGCTTTCCTTCTTCCTCTTTTGTGGCACTCTTTTTTTTTTTTTTTTTTTTTTGAGACGGAGTCTTGCTCTGTCGCCCAGGCTGGAATGCAGTGGCGTAATCTTGGCTCACTGCAACCTCCGCCTCCCGGGTTCAAGCGGATTCTCCTGCCTCAGCCTCCTGAGTAGCTGGGATTACAGGTGCCCACCACCATGCCCGGCTATTTTTTGTATTTTTAGTAGAGACGGGGTTTCACCATGTCGGCCAGGCCGGTCTCAAACTCCTGACCTCAGGGGATCCACCCGCCTAGGCCTCCCAAAGTGCTGTGATTATAGGCATGAGCCACCGCACCGGGCTCTGGGACTCTTATGCTTATGATCTTTACAACAATATGTTACAGGTTCTCTTATTGACAACATCAGTATAACTACCTGTATGTGCTCACTTTAATTTATATATTTAATAGTACTGTCAAGATGTTATCACTCGCTAGATGACCGCAGACAGTCTTGTGGCCTCCCTTCTCCCCTGCCATCCCCATCACACCTTTCTTTTTTTTTTTTTTTTTTTTTGAGATGGAGTCTCGCTCTGTCACCCAGGCTGGAGTGCAGTGGTGCAGTCTCGGCTCACTGCAAGCTCCACTTCCCGGGGTTCATGCCATTCTCCTGCCTCAGCCTCCCAAGTAGCTGGGACTACAGGCGCCCGCCACCACACCCAGCTGATTTTTTTTTTTGTATTTTTAGTAGAGACAGGGTTTCACTGTGTTAGCCAGGATGGTCTCGATCACCTGACCTTGTGATCCACCTGCCTCAGCCTCCCAAAGTGCTGGGATTACAGGCGTGAGCCACCACGCCCGGCCCCATCACACCTTTCTTGCAGCTAGGGCCCTCGGTAGAGGATGAAAGGTCAGATGTGCCTTTCTCAGTCTCCCTTACAGCTAAAATAGCCTTAACGCTGGACTGGGAGGTTATTTGTTGGGGAGCTTTGGGGGATTCCTCCCTGATAAAAGGGGATCCACTGGGAGGCTGTCTCCTATTTTGCTTCACTGGATGTGGTCACCCCAAATGTGATTCACCATCCGACAACCAAGTGGGGCAGAATCACCCACACAATGGGCATAGCACAGATTGCTTCTTACGTGAGATAACAAATGTCCTTATTGTAAAATCGGTGGGATGCATGTACTCTATTCTTGCAGCCATAAGCATTCTAATGGATTCACATATAAAATATGAACATCTGGCTGGGTGCGGTGGCTCACACCTGTAATCGCAGCACTTTGGGAGGCTGAGGCAGGAGGATTGCTTGAGCCCAGGAGTTCAAGGCCAGCCATGGGCAACATAGAGACACCCTGTCTCTACAAAAAATACAAAAATTAGCCAGGCATGGTGGCATGTGGCTGCAGTCCCAGCTACTTAGGAGGCTGAGGTGGAAGGATAACCTGAACCCAGGAGGTGGAGGCTGTAGTGAGCTGTGATCACGCCACCACACTCTAGCCTGGGTGACAGAGGTGGAGGCTGTAGTGAGCTGTCATCACACCACCGCACTCTAGCCTGGGTGACAGAGTGCCCATGTCAAAATATATATATATATATATATATATGAAAACTCCACTTTCCTGATAGAAATAAAACTCAAGAATTTCCATTGCTATGTAGCACATGTGTTTTGGTGGATTTTCACTGGTTTTTAAAGATTTCTTTTTCTTTTTAAAAATAAGGATATTGGCCGGGTGTGGTGGCTCACACCTGTAATCCCACCACTTTGGGAGGCCGAGGTGGGCGGATCACGAGGTTAGGAGTTCCGGACCAGCATGACCAACATGGTGAAACCCCGTCTCTACTAAAAATACAAAAAATATTAGCCGGGCGTGGTGGCAGGCGCCCGAGTAGTCCCAGCTACTCGGGAGGCTGAGGCAGGAGAATGGCGTGAACCTGGGAGGCGGAGCTTGCAGTGAGTTGAGATCGTGCCACTGCACTCCAGCCTGGGGACAGAGCGAGACTCCGTCTCAAAAAATAAAATAAAATAAAATAAAATAAAATAAAAAAATAAAAATAAGGACATTACTTTTAGGTATTAGATACCCAAGTCCTGGCAAAATCATCTCCAAGGACCATACATCTTGGAACCTGTTAGGTCCTGAGCTGCAATGTTTTGTAGGGCCAGAATTATTTCACACACATAAGTATGATTTTCCCCAACCAGACCACAAGCTCTTCAAGGTTAACAACACCCTCGCCCAACCCCCTCCCCCTCAAACAATTCTTCTGCTCTCCTAGAGCAGACTTTGATCTAAATTGGATCTAAATTGACTCGAAATGTCAGGAAAAAGAGATTAATGCACAAGGTCCCTTTCTCTGAGAGAAGGTGTGATAGAGCAGAGCTTAAGCCTGGGTGGGAAATGAAATTGCCCACCACTCTCTCCACCCCTCTTTGGTCTTCCGAGGGTGACAGGTGGGATGCTGAAGAGAGCTGCCCTCCTGGTCCCGGCCTCCATGTGAACAGCCTCCTCCCAAATCTTCCTTTGGATCTGAAATTGCAGCCGTGATCTTTCTTAGTTAGGGTTTACACATTTTAAGGACTGGAATACGGGAGGGGCTGAGATGACTGAGCGAGCCCAAGGATGGAGTTCTGGGAAAGAAAGATGTGGCTGGGCTGATGGCGTTTCAGGAGGAACAGCAGCCAGGGCCTGCATGGGGCAGGGCAGGGTTTCCTCTCCTACGATAATGCGGGACAGAACATCCTAAAGACAAGGAGCAGACCTGGTTCTCCTCCCTCTTCTGCCAATTTCCAGCTGTGTGGCTTTAGGCAGATCAGTTAACCTCTCAAGCACAATTCACTCGGAGGATGGAGAGCGTCAGAAAGTGTTCCAATTCATACACATTATATACAGGCATCAAAATATCACATGAGGCCGGGTAATCCCAGCACTTTGGGAGGCCAAGGCGGGTGGATTGTTTGAGGTTGGGAGTTCAAGACCAGCCTGGGCCAACATGGTGAAACCCTATCCCTATTAAAAATACAAAAATTAGCCGGGTGTGTTGGTGGGCGCCTGTAATCCCAGCTACTCGGGAGGCTGAGGCACGAGAATCACTTGAACCTGGCAGCCAGAGGTTGCAGTGAGCCGAGATCGCACCACTGCACTCCAGCCTGGGCGATACAGTAAGACTCTGTCTCAAAAGAATTTTTTTCCGTGGCTCAAGCCTGTAATCCCAGCATTTTGGGAGGCTGAGGTGGGTGGATCACTTGAGGTCAGGAGTTCAAGACCAGCCTAACCAACATGGTGAAACCCCATCTCTACTAAAAATACAAAAATTAGCTAGGCATGGTGGTGCATGCCCGTAATCCCAGCTTCTCCAGAGGCTGAGGCAGAAGAATCACTTGAACCCGGGAGGCAGAGGTTGCAGTGAGCCAAGATCGCACCACTGCACTCCAGCCTGGGTGACAGAGTGAGACTCCATCTCAAAAAACAAAAAAATTGACCAGGTGCAGTGGCTCACACCTGTAATCCCAGCACTTTGGGAGGCCTAGACGGGTGGATCACAAGGTCAGGCGATCGAGACCATCCTGGCTAACACAGTGAAACCTCGTCTCTACTAAAAATACAAAAAATTAGCCGGGCGTGGTGGCGGGCACCTGTAGTCCCAGCTACTTGGGAGGCTGAGGCAGGAGAATGGCATGAACCCAGGAAGCCGAGCTTGCAAGTGAGCCGAGATCATACCACTGCACTCCAGCCTGGGCCACAGAGCGAGACTCCATCTCAAAAAAAAAAAAAAAAAATTTGTTTTCCTTTTTGTGTAGAATGGAATCTTACTATGTTGCCCAGACTGGTCTCAAACTCCTGGGCTCAAGTGATCCTCCTGCCTCTGCCTCCCTAAGTGCTAGAATTACAGATGTGAGCCACTGTACCTGGCTAAAACACTTTTTTTTTTGAGACAGGGTCTAGCTCTGTCACCCAGGCTGGAGTTCAGTGAGCCTGGGCTCAGGCAATCCTCCCACCTCAGCCTCTAAGTAGGTGGGACCACAGGTGTGTACCATCATGCCTGGCTAATTTTTGTATTTTTTTGTAGAGACAAAGTTTTGCCATGTTGCCCTGGCTGGCCTCAAACTCCTGGGTTTAAAGAGATCCACCCACATCAGCCTCCAAAGTGCTAGGATTACAGGCATGAGCCACTGTGCCTGTGCCCAGCCTAAAACGAATTTTTATAGCCAAAGTAGGATGATGTGAGTTTGCAGGATTATGCCCCTACCACGAAAAATTAAAAAAAAAAAAAAAAAGAAGAAGAAGAAGGATTCAAATTCAGACTCCACTGCGCACCAGCTCTTTAACCCTGGACCACTGTGTTTGGAGCCTTGGGCTCTTCATCTATCAAATGGAGATTAAAAACTGGGGAAACAATCAGAAATCAATTAGAAAAGGCCAGGCGCAGTGGCTCACCCTTGTAATTCCAGCACTTTGGGAGGCCGAGGAGGGCAGATCATGAGGTCAGGAGATCAAGACCATCCTGGCTAACACGGTGAAACCCCGTCTCTACTAAAAATACAAAAAATTAGCCAGGCGTGGTGGCAGGTGCCTGTAGTACCAGCTACTTGGAAGGCTGAGGCAGGAGACTCTCTTGAACCTGGGAAGCCGAGGTTGCAGTGAGCTGGGCGACAGAGGGAGACTCCGTAAAAAAAAGAAAAAAAAAGAAGAAGAAGAAAAGAAAACAGGAAGGAAAGAAGAAAGAGAAACTAGAAATAATACATGTAAAGTGGCTGATTCTATTATCCTTGTTATTCCTTCTCCATGGGGCTGTTGTCAGGATTAAGTGAGATAGAGCACAGGAAAGGGCTCTGGAAACGCCTGTAGGCTCTAACCCTGAGGCATGGGCCTGTGGCCAGGAGCTCTCCCATTGACCACCTCCGCTGCCTCTGCTCGCATCCCGCAGGCTCACCTGTTTCTCCGGCGTGGAAGAAGTAAGGCAGCTTAACGCCATCCTTGGCGGGGATCATCAGAGCTTCCTTGTAGTCATGCAAGGAGTGGCCAGTGTCCTCATGCCCCACCTGCAGGACAGAGAGGGACAGGGAGGTGTCTGCAGGGCGCATGCCTCACTTGCTGATGGCGCGCCCTGGAGCCTGTGCACACCCTTCCTTGTACCCTGCCACCACTGCCGGGACCTTTGTCACACAGCCTTTTAAGAATGACCAGGAGCAGGCCAGGCGTGGTGGCTCACACCTGTAATCCCAGCACTTTGGGAGGCCGAGGCAGGCAGATCACGAAGTCAGGAGATCGAGACCATCCTGGCTAACACAGTGAAACCCCATCTCTACTAAAAATACAAAAAATTATCCAGGTGTGGTAGCGGGTGCCTGTAGTCCCAGCTACTTGGGAGGCTGAGGCAGGAGAATGGCATGAACCCAGGAGGCAGAACTTGCAGTGAGCTGAGATCACACCAATGCACTACAGCCTGGCCAAGAGCAAAAAATATATATATATATATATTTTGTAAAGACGGGGTCTCACCGATTTGCTCAGGCTGGTCTAGAACTCCTGGACTCAGGTGACCCTCCCACCTTGGCCCCCCAAGGTGCTGGGATTACAGGAGTGAGCCACTGCCCTGGACTAATCTAGATTCTTTTTTTTTTTTTTTTTTGAGATGGAGTCTTGCTCTGTCGCCCAGGCTGGAGTGCAATGGTGCAATCTCAGCTCACTGCAACCTCTGCCTCCTGAGTTCAAGTGATTCTGCCTCAGCCTCCCAAGTAGCTGGGATTACAGGTGCAGGCCACCAAGGCTGGCTAATTTTTGTGTTTTTAGTAGAGATGCGGTTTCTCCATGTTGGCCAGGCTGGTCTTGAACTTCAGACCTCAGGTGATCCACCTGTCTCGCCCTCCCAAAGTGCTGAGGGCATGAGCCACTGCACCCGGCCTAGATTCTTTATGAGATTGCCGAGCTGTCACCTAAGAAATGTCCTGGTTGTGCTTCGATTTGGTGGGGAGGTGTGGGACAATGACAACACCTATGAATGTGTAGCTTCAAAAACTGGTGTGGCCAGGCATGATGGCTGGAGAGGGAGGGACAAATATCACTACCTTGAGGATTTGCAAAGGCCTGGCTCCATCCTGGACTCTGTTTCCAGACATTACCCCCCAGTCCCCACCCCGCGTGCTACAGGGGCTGGTGAGGGTTTTAAGACCCACACCTAGGTGAGCAGTGTGGGATAGAAAAAAGGGCACAGGCAGGGCCATGGGGAATGAGCCCATAACTGTGGTCCAAACTCCCTGAATGCCATCCTTATTCTGGAACTTTCCTTGTTAGCTTGTTAGAACTGGCTGTCTGCTCTCCCTTCTCCAGTGACAGCCGTCCCCTGTAGGCCTCTGAAGAGGGTCAGCGCTGAGCTCTGAGCAGCCCTGCTGTGTCAGCAGCCTGAGCCTGCCCTGGGATGTCAGGGTACCAACAGGCACATTGCGCTCCCTTCCCAGGGAGTTGCCGCTCCACCCAGACAGGCATCCTCGCATGCCCCCTTAACAGGCAGCCCTTCTGTTCACAGCATGGGTTACCAGGTCAAACCCTGCCACCACCGTGGGGAACTTGATTCGGAGCCCCATGGCCATTCGGATGGATTCTGCGATGACAGCCACATCTTTGGATCTGTGAGACAGACAGAGAAGCCAGGAGACAGTGCCCAGCACCGACAGAGCACAAACCCCAGAGCACACCCTCCGTGCAGGGCTGGGCCAGCCCCAAGTGTGCAGGTCCCGTTTCCCAAACCTGAGGCACCCCTGCCCTCCTGACCCCACCCTGACCAGGCCATTGTGATCCCTGAGAGATATGTAGCCCAAATCCATTCTTATCAAAGACCCTTGCTGGCTCTGGGGGCACCTGTAGTCTCTGAAAAGTAGATGGGGTCAGAGGACCCACGGGAACAGTTTTATTTGTCTGCGTTTAGAGGAGGCCAGGTGGCCTTGTTCCCAGCTCTCCCTGCATCTCTGTCGGGGGTGTAGACATGGATGCAGCTCAGGGGCAGCTCTCTGTCCACTGCACACCTGCAAAGGGCCACAGGTCACCCAAGTCCCTGATGGGTCGGCTGGACCCAGTAACCATATGGCCTCTTGCTGATTAAGTCAGCAAGATCCTGGGTACTGCAGAACCCTACAGGGGCAAGGCAGGCAGCATGACAACAAAAGCCCCAAAACACAGGGTCTGGCGCAAGCCCACGACAGGCTCAAGGTCTTTGCCCTGCCACTGGCTCTCCTGCTCCAATCCTCGGCTCTGTGGGGATAAAGCCTTCCTGGCCTGCCCCACCCATGGCCTCTCCCCAGAGCCTAGGCAAACCTGGGGGCACTGATGCACTCAGCTCAGCCCTCACACCCTCCTGCCACTGGCCCTGGGAAGGGGCACCTGGCACCAGGGAGCCTCTGAGCAGAACGTGGGCCCATCCTGCAAGCTCCCTCCTAGGGGGACCGGCACAAAGCCAGAGCTTAGCTCCTCCAGGCCCCAGGCCCCATGGAAGGGAAGGGGACTCAGGAAGACTGGGCATGGGAGGAGGCTCCTGGGGAGTCAGTGCCCTCCAGAGCCCAGGCTCGTGGGTGAGCTGAGCAGAGGGAGCCGCTGCCGGATCCCTTCGGTGCCCGCCCCGTGCCTGACTCCGAGGGACCCCACTGGCTGCTGCCCTTGCAGCTGCGACCATGGACAGGTCCCAGCCTTAGACTGGCTGCTCTTTAAAGTGAGGGGAGGGGTCTTGTCTGGTAAAGTCAGAAGGACAATTAAGCTGCAAAGCTTTCTGTGCTTCCCTGGGAAAAAGAGTGGGTCTTTCACCCACGTGCCAGGCCACGCACATGGTACTACTGGAGGTCCCCACACGCAGACTTGAGCCAGTGCCACTCAGGGTGTCTCCGTGATCAAGGACTCACACACAACCACACACAGAACCCAGAGGCAAATTGAAACCAAAAACGGGCCAATTATCCAAACATTCAGGCAAAACCATTATGCTCATAAATGAGTCACCAGGCCAATGTGGGGTCACAGCCGAGAATTATCTGGGAAATTCACACATTCTTCATTTCAGTTTGGGGGTGAAGACCTGAACTAGAAGTGGCTTCAGGCAGCAATTCATTGTTGGGTCACCGCACTTACCTAGGACTGTGCTCTCACACAGGCACAGCACAGCTCCTTGGCACCAGTGCTGGGCCTCTCCCGGCCTCCCAGCCCCGCTTCTCACCCCTCCCCTCCCAGCCTAGTAGCTCTGCCTGCATCCCAGCCTCCCAACCCGAGCTTTTCAGCAATATTCTCTCTCACCTGTGATCCGAATAAATGATTTTGATTCCAATAAACTCAGGGTGAGTTTCCACAAACTTCTGAGCTACTTCCTGGTAAGTCTTCACTGACCACTCTTCGTCATGGTGCTCTCCACTGAGCTCATACACCTGGGAAGAAAGCACAACCAGGAGCCGTCAGGTGAGCAGTGAGAGACGCCACCCCCTTCCCAGCCACCCCTGCCCAGCCACCCCTGGCCAGCCACCCCTGCCCAACCACCCCCTTCCCAGCCACCCCTTCCCAGCCACCCTTGCCCAGCCACCCCTGCCCAGCCACCCTTGCCCAGCCACCTCCTTCCCAGTCAACTCCTTCCCAGCCATCAACGAGCTCTGGGAAAAGTAGATGGGGTCAGGGGACCCACAAAACAGTTTTATTTGTGTTTGGATTAGGCCAAGTGGCCTTGTTCCCAAAAGTCCAGCCAGGCTGGACTTGTGCTTCCCTTGTTCAGGTCCTCTACGGCCTTGGGCATTGTCTCTGCTGCTGCATGGGGAATTCCTAGCTGGCTCTGGGATAACCCTGATGCTGATGCCCACCTGTCTCCTTCATTGCTGGGTCACTGCACTTAAAACAGCACATGGCACACGCGAGGGTAGGTGCCCATTAAGCATCTGCATAATGGTTGAAGAGCAGGTCACGGGGGGAGAGGATGAAAGCTAGAAAGAGTGATCTGAGAATGACGTCATTCCCCACTACCTGCTCACCTCCCCACTGCTTCCCTAACTCCAGGTGCAGCAGCTGCAAGGCGGCCACTGCCACCAGGGACAGCAAGGGGGACACAGTGAGAGCAGAGTGGGGAGAGTTGGGAGTGGGCAGGTGACAAGGAAGCTAAGGGAAGGGAGGTGTGTAATGGGGAAAGGTGGCTCACACCTGTAATCATAGCACTTTGGGAGGCCGAGGCAGGGGGATCACTTGAGGTCAGGAGTTCAAGACCAGCCTGGCCAACATGGTGAAACCCCCATCTCTACCAAAAATACAAGATTAGCTGGGCATGGTGGCACATGCCTGTTAATCTCAGCTACTGGGGAGGCTGAGGCAGGAGAATCGCTTGAACCCGGGAGGCAGAGGTTGCAGTGAGCCAAGATCATACCACTGCACTCCAGCCTGGGCGACAAAGCAAGACTCTGTCTCGAAAAAAAAAAAGGGGGGGCCCTCTCTCTTCCTCGGCGCTGCCTACAGAAGTGGCAGCCATCTCCTCTTTGGCATCATGGCCACCCTCAGACCCCTTGTGAAGCCTGATTGTCAAAAAGAGAACCAAAAAGTTCATCTGGCACCGGTCTGACCAATACGTCAAAATTAACCGTAACTGGCGGAAACCCAGAGGTATTCACAACGGGGTTCATAGAAGGTTCAAGGGCCAGATCTCGATGCCCAACAGTGGTTATGGGAGCAACAAAAAAAAACAAAGAACACGCTGCCCAGTGGCTTCCAGAAGTTCCTGGTCCACAACATCAAGGAGCTGGAAGTGCTGCTGATGTGCAACAATCTCCCTGTGCTGACATCGCTCACAACGTTTCCTCTAAGAACCACGAAGCCATCGTGGAAAGAGCTGCCCAGCTGGTCATCAGAGTCACCAACCCCAATGCCAGGCTGCGCAGCAAAGAAAATGAGTAGACAGCTCATGTCCCCTTTTTGTGTTTAAATAAAACCGTAAAAACTGCAAAAAAAAAAAAAAAAAAAAAAAAAAAGGACAGCGCGGTGGCTCACGCCTGTAATCCCAGCACTTTGGGCGGTCGAGGTGGGTGGATCACGAGGTCATGAGTTCGAGACCAGCCTGGCCAATATGGTGAAACCTCGTCTCTACTAAAAATACAAAAATTAGCCGGGTGTGGTGGTGCGTGCCTGTAGTAGTCCCAGCCACTCGGGAGGCTGAGGCAGGATAATCGCTTGAACCCAGGAGGCAGAGGTTGCTGTGAGCCAAGATCGCGCCATTGCACTCCAGCCTGGGTGACAGAGCGAGACTCCACCTTAAAAAAAAACTAAAAAAAAAAAAAAAAGATGTGGGAATTTCTGCAGAGACTGTGGGGTGAAGGAGACAGGGAGCAATAATATGGAGATGTCGATTACTTCCATGGCATCAGTTAAGCCCTTATGATATAAAAGGAACAGGGCTGGGCATTGGAAGGGATGAAAAAATGCTAATAGACAAGATAGCTGCCCTCAGGAGTGACAATAGGGTCAGAGAGATAGACCTGACCCACTAAAAAGAGCTCACGCCTGTAATCCCAGCACTTTGGGAGGCCGAGGCAGGAGGATCACTTGAGCCCAGGAGGTCAAGACCAGCCTGGGCAATGAGTGAGTTCCTGTCTGTAAAAAGGAATGAAAAAAAAAAAAAAAAGAAACAATAGAATAAGTGCTAAAGAGAAGCACATGACCTCTCAAAAGAAGAAGCAGTTTGTTGTGACTGGATGGGTCAGAGAAGGTTGCTAGTCCTGACCAAGGGAATGGTGGCTCCACACAGAGTCAAGAGCTGCCTGGGGGCGGGGGTTCAAGGAGCCGAGGTTGAGAGCTGCAGTGGGAGCCAGGAGCTGTCCCCTCACTAAGGGAGAAATGCCCTTCCTCCTCCCGGGAGTCGGCTCTTGCCTCTGTGGCATCTCAGGAAATGGGCCCTTGGGAGTCCACCTCCTCTGCTCATTTCCCACCAGCCCCTTGCCTCACTCCTGTCTCCCCAGCCTAGGGGCCTCCCACACCCCTCCAGGCTGCGGCCATTGTGTGTCCTTTGTCTCTGGGCAGTCCCTCAGATCCCCGCATTCCCCCAGGCCTGCAGAACAGTACTGCTGCTCTCTCATCTCCAGGGTGCTGCCCCGCTGCCTGGGCAGGCGCAGTGGGGGAGCAGGCAGTGAGGCTCTCCACTGGTCTTTGCTCTTCTGTTTCCTCTGCTGCCCCCATGAAGCCTGGCACGTCACACAGCCCCCCACAACCTGCACCTGGCCAGGCCACTCACTCTGCTCGGGCAGTTTCCCTGACTGCCTGACCTGGCACAGCCATGCTCAGGGGCTACTGAACTTTAAGGCTGCCAGAGCGTGCCAGAAGGAAGAACCTTAGGTACTGTTCATTCAGGATCTAGTATTGTCTATTATTATTATTATTTACTGAAGAGGGTCAGAATATGTCACCCAATAGGCCACTTTAGCAGAAGAAATATTTTTAGCTGAAGGCAATTAAGAAGCAGCAAATGAAGAAAGAGCTCTTTGCCCACCTCATCTGCCTAAATTTCCCTTTGTGAAGGTGTCGCCCTCCCCTCTCCCGTACCAGGAGAATCACCCTTACCACCGGAAACAGAAAGTTGTTACCAAGATGGGTCTGCACAAACCAGCCTTATAAAATTGCCCTTATCTTCCATTAGTTTCCCCCATATGTTTGCCTGCCCACAATTTACTGTCCCTAGAAGCCCAAACCCCTTTTCCTTCATCTTGTCACTTCTTCACAATTTATTACCAGTTGTTAAAATGGAATATAAGCCCTCACTCTAACTTCTTTGGTGCTTCACGTCTTTTCAAGGAAGGCCTGCATCTATCTGTGCACATAGCAAATTCTTAGGCCGGGTGTGATGGCTCATGCCTGTAATCCCAGCACTTTGGGAGGCGGAGGCAGATCACCTCGGGCAAATCACCTGAGGTCAGGAGTTGGAGACTATCCTGGCCAACATGGTGAAACCTCATCTCTACTAAAAATACAACAATTAGCCGGGCGTGGTGGTGGGCGCCTGTAATCCCAGCTACTGGGGAGGCTGAGGCAGGAGAATCGCTTGAACCCGGGAGTTGGAGGTTGCAGTGAGCTGAGATCGCGCCACTGCACTCCAGCCTGGGCGACAGAGCAAGACTCCGTCTCAAAAAAAAACAAAACAAAACAAAAAAATTTTTTTAAACTTTTATTTTGCAACAGTCTTGCCGTGTCGTCCAGGCTGGAGTGTGGTGGTGCAATCTTGGTTCACTGTCTGTTTCACTCTTATTCTCTCATGGATGTACAGTAGAATTTTCCTGAAGCTGCATCATGTGTCATATCATTCTGACCGATAATGCCAATCATGGATTATGTGTTTGTATTTAGAATAATTTCTTTCCTTTTTTTTTTTTTTTTTGAGACGGAGTCTCGCTCTGTCACCCAGGCTGGAGTGCAGTGGTGCGATCTCGGCTCACTTTAACCTCCACCTCCTGGGTTCAAGCACGACTCCCGAGTAGCTGGGATTACAGGCACATGCCACCACGCCTGGCTATTTTTTTGTATTTCTGGTAGAGACGGGGTTTCGCCATGCTGGTCAGGCTGGTCTTGAACTCCTGACCTCATGATCTGCTCGCCTCAGCCTCCCAAAGCGCTGGGATTACAGGCATGAGCCACTGCGCCCGGCAAGAAAATTTCTTAATTTTGGCTGGGTGCAATAGCTCACACCTGTAATCCCAGCACTTTGGGGGGCCAAGGCGAGTGGATCACCTGATGTCAGTTGACCAGCCTGGCCAACATGGTGAAACCCCTTCTCTACTAAAAATACAAAAATTTGCTGTAATCCCAGCTACTCGGGAGGCTGATGCAGGAGAATCACTTGAACCCAGGAAGCGGAGGTTGCAGTGAGCCAAGATTGTGTGCCATTGTACTCCAGCCTAGGCAACAAAAGTGAAACTCCATCCCAAAAAAAAAAAAAAAAAGGAAAATTTCTTAATTTTAACATCTAATACAGGATATATCAATAGATATAATCCACATAAATAAAAGGCGTTTGAAATTAACAAAAATTTTTAAGAATATAAAGAGGTTCTGGGACCAGAAAGTTGGAGAACCACTGTGTTAACCCAACCCACAATTGTTACCTGCAGTTGTCTTGGACTCATCCAGCTGGTTCACAGCAGGGAAGAATAGGGTTCTGTCCTGACCTTGACCACCCTGTCATTACTGAGTCTCCTGCCCACACCCCCCAGCTAGATTGGAGGCTCCTCCAGGGTAGAGTCCTTGCAGTTTTACTCTCCCCACCTCCTCTCCTATGGCACCAGAGCAGGAGCTCCATAAATAAATATTAATTCAAGGAGAGTGCTGTCCACAGGAGTTTTAAAAGTACTAAGGCCCAGGCAGCAAGGGCAAATAGACAGTTGTTGGCGGAGTGGTAGGTGGAGTCATGCCAGCAGAATAGAAGGGAGACCAAAGAAATAACCTTTAAAAAATATTAACAAATGACAACTCTGCTTAAAAGAAGATCTCTGAGGCCTGGCATGGTGGCTTATGCCTGTAATCCCAGCACTTTAGGAGGCCGAGGCAGGCGAATCACCTGAGGTCAGGAGTTCAAGAGCAGCCTGGCCAACATGGCGAAACCCCGTCTCTACTAAAAATACAAAAATTAGCCGGGCATGGTGATGGGCACCTGTAATCCCAACTACTCGGGAGGCTGAGGCAGGAGAATCACTTGAACCCAGGAGGCAGAGGTTGCAGTGAGCCAAGATCGCACCACTGCACTCCAGCCTGGACGACAGATTGGTTCATGGGGAAATTTGGGAGCAGAGTGCTGTAAAGGTCATACAACTGGTTTGTATCAGAACAGAAACAAGGACTCGCAATTTCTTTTTTTCTTTCTTTCTTTTTTTTCTTTTTTTTTTTTGTCTGAGACAGGGTCTCACTCTGCGGCCCAGGCTGCAGTGCAGTGGCATGATCTTGAACAGCCTTGAATTTCCAGGCTCAGGTGATCCTCCCACCTCAGCCTCTTGAGTAACTGGGACCACAGGTGCATACCACCATACCTGGCTAATTATTTTGTTTTGTCCTGTTTTGTAGAGACAAGGGTTTTGCCATGTTGCCTAGGCTGGTCTCGAACTCCTGAGCTCAAGGGATTCACCTGCCACCATCTCCCAAAGTGCTGGGACTACAGGCATGAGCCACTGCACCTGGCCAGTACTGGCAGTTTCACTCAGCTTTCACTACCAGAGTATCATTCACTTAAGAAGTGTTGAGCTTCTACTACATGCCAGGCATATGCAGGGGGCTTTATGCCATAATCTCATTTAACCCTCAAAACTACACTATGAGGTAGGTCTCATTTTACAGATAAGGATTTTGAGGCTTTAAAAGTTTGAGAAGGCTGAGCACGGTGGCTCACGCCTATAATCCTAGCACTTTGGGAGGCCAAGGCGGGCGGATCACCTGAGGTCACGAATTCGAGACCAGCCTGACCAACATGGAGAAACCCCGTCTCTACTAAAAATAGAAAATTAGCCGGGTGTGGTGGCACATGCCTGTATTCCCAGCTACTCGGGAGGCTGAGGCAGGAGAATCGCTTGAACCCGGGAGGCGGAGGTTGCGGTGAGCCAAGATTGCACCATTGCACTCCAGTCTGGGCAACAAGAACGAAACTCCGTCTCAAAAAAAAAAAAAACAAAAAAATTGAGAAACTCAGTACCCCTGCATAATTAGTGGGGCTGGAGGCCGACCACATTTCAGAATTTTGCTTGCCCTGAGTTGTCTCCTGTCATCAGGAGGCCCCTGCCCCCTCCTGTAGAAAGGTGACAGTCACTAGAGTGACATCTCAGCCCTGGCGGCACATTGGCATCACTCAAGGAGAGGAAAAATGCCTGTGTCCCACCCCAGAGCAACCAAATCAGAATCTGTGGGGTAGAAGCTTGGTGTTTGTAATCTCCCAGGTGGTGCTAGGGTGCGATATACAGCTGGGCTGAAGATCTGCCACTGTTCCAATCGACAGACAAGTAAATAGCACAATGACAGCATAGTCGGATGAGTCCTGTCAAAAAGGGAGCAGTTAAGAGGGTGCGTGTTCTCGTAAAGCGACACCAGCAACATGACACAGGGTTCGCTTCATTCAGCAAGGAGCCAAATGGAATTTTGAATGAAAGGTCTGCTAAGAATCCAGGCAAAAGCATGGGGGCTGGGGAGCGCGGGTACAGGGAGCACTAGAAATGCTTACTGTATGAACGACAACGTCTTAGAAAACGTCTGGGAACGACTGTCACAGGTTCTCTGCCACCGACGTGTCTCCCATAAGCTCTCCCCTCCATAAGTGCCAGCAGGGCCATCCCCTGTGGATAACCCTCCGGGGTCTTGGAAGAGCCCCATGCTAAAGACTCAGGGGACCCAGTCTGGGCCTCAGACTCTGCCGTGGGGGAAGGGGCCGGAGCCCAGGAGATAAGACCCGCCTAGCGACCGTTGCTACCGGCGAGCAGCCTTTGTTACTGAGCATTAGGAACACAATGGGAGGCTCAGCGGCCAGGATAGTCCGTCCACAGCAGCCCAGGCCGGAATTAGCCTGCGACCAGGCAGGGGGAGGCGAGGGGGCTCAGCAAAAGGATTCTAGTGAAGACTGTTTTTAGTTGTTAATGTGTTGGTGGCCCCCCAACTCTGGCTAATGGGGGGCATTAAGACCTAGACTCTCCGTGGCAAAAGCCTTTGTTCCAGGGTCAGACCCGAACAAATGGGCACATCCCCTCCCCCTCCCCCTCCACCAGAATCCCAAATCCTAGCAGCCCAGCACCTTCTCCAAAGGTTGGCTGGGGGACGGGCGGAGACGGGCAGAGTGAGGACAGAGGACTGGAGCTGGGCAGGCCCCCAAGTCTCTCCACCTCCGGCTCTGGAAGGAGAAAATGGCCACCTGCAGAACAAGGGGGAAGATGGAACAGGAAGCCAGTGCTCTGGCCCTTCTCTTCCTCCCTCCGATCCAACCGCTCAGCAACTTCTCCCACATGCCTCCCCACCAGGCTCAAGATGAAAGCCTCTGTCTCAGCGTCTCCTCCCTCCCCTCCTCTATCCTCTTCCCCTCCACCCACGAAGATCCCAGGGTTCTGCGAGGGTCGGAGTTCCCTATGCACTCCCACACCAAGACAGTTGTCAGGATTTGCCCAACAGGAAGTTCTCCCCTACCAGAGCCCAGTTCCATTCCAGGGAATCCATCTCCCCTCCGGAAAAAGGAAAATTGAAGCCAGATGCTCTCTGGGATCGCCATTTGAGGTGGGCGTGGCTATTAGGACGCTCAGAGAGCCCAGCGCGGTGAGGAAAGCGACGAACTTAGGAGCCCTGGTCTGGGTCCAGCCACCCCTTACTACCTATTTGACCTTCATCAAGCTCTTTGACCTTTCCAGGCTTTAGTTTCGACATCAATAAGATGAATTAATAGCTGGGCATGGCTCGCGTCTGTAATCCTAGTACTTTGGGAGGCCGACGTGGGTGTATTTGCCTGAGCTCAGGAGTTCCAGACCAGCCTGGGCAATATGGTAAAACCCCATCTCGCCAGGCGCGGTGGCTCACGCCTGTAATCCCAGCACTTTGGGATGCCAAGGTGGGTGGATCACTTGAGGTCGTGAGTTCGAAACCAGCCTGGCCAATATGGTGAAATCTCATCTCTTCTAAAAATACAAAAATTAGCTGAGTGCGGTGGTGTACACCTGTAATCCCAGCTACTCGGGAGGCTGAGGCAGGAGAATCACTTGAATCCGGGAGGCGGAGGTTACAATGCGCCAAGATCACGCCACTTTACTCCAGCCTGGGCAACACAGAATGTCTCAAAAACAACAAACAAACAAACACAAGAATCACCTGCTCTGGGAAGTGCAGTTTCTTCCAGCCTACCTAGGCCAGGAGCAAAGTCAGCTCATCAATTTTTGCCAGCGCCTCCCTTTTCAGAAATTCTTTTCTCAATAAAAGATGAGACCCTCTCTTTTCTTTTAAAAGGATGATTTGTGTCCTGTGTCTTGTCTGTCTGCTCTGTCCACAAAACTGATGAAAGCTCCACTGCAAGGCAAAGTTAATGTTCCCCTCCCACTTCTCAAGAACTCAGAAATGGAAATATAACTCTGCACTCAGAGAGTTAAAATAGAAAACAAGCAACAGATCCAAGTGGAGACATGCAGATCACACAAGAGATCGGACTCTCCAGGATCCAGCCTTGCCGCTAAACTCACCAAGGGTATTAACATATCTAAGGAAAAGGCCGGGCATGGTGGCTCGTAATCTTTGGGAGGCCGAGGTGGGTGGATCACCTGAGGTCAGGAGTGCAAGACCAGCCTAGCCAACATGGTAAAACCCTGTCTCTACTAATAATACAAAAATTAGCTGGGTGTGGTGGTGCACGCCTGTAATCCCAGCTATTCCAGAGGCTGAGGCAGGAGGTTCCCTTGAACCCAGGAGGCGGAGGTTGCAGTAAACCAAGATGGTGCCATTGCACTCCAGCCTGGGCAACAAGAGCGAAACTCTGCCTCAAAAAAAAAAAAAACATATCTAAGGAAAAAGGTGGGTCAGTCCAGGATGCCAAGCAAAGGGAGAGTTGAGACCCACAAACTGGAATAACTTGAATAACGAGTGGATCAGCTGAGGTCAGGAGTTCAAGACTAACCTGGCCAACATGGTGAAACCCCATTTACTGAAAATACAAAAAATTAGCCAGGCATGGTGGTGTGCATCTGTAGTCCCAGCTACTCGGGAGGCTGAGGCACGAGAATCGCTTGAACCTGGGAGGTGGAGGTTGCAGTGAGGCAAGATCATACCACTACACTCCAGCCTGGGCGACAGAAATTCTGTCAAAAAAAAAAAAGAAGAAGAAGAAAGAAAAGAAAAGAGGAGAATTTCCTGATGAAGCATAAGTGTCTGGTCCGAATGATAACAGCATTCTGACTTTCTTGTTTACACATCTATCCCTTATGAATTTGTTCAGTGTGTATTGATCCTGCGGAGTCCTATCACTTCTGGGTCTACAAACAGTAAACTTCGGAGCGTATAAAAGCCTACAGAATATGCTAACAAAACTAAAATACTGCCACCATGTGGGCCTTTCCACAAGCTTAACTGTCAGTCCCCAAGGCATTTGTGTATCCGATCAATATGTAAATGAACGAGCAGACTCTCTTGGATACAATGTGGAGAAGACTCTACCAAAGGTCACTTTCCCCAAGCCACTGATAACCTTTAACCAGCTCAAACCCGTCTGAGCTCACCACATAAAACACCCAAGGATCCTGCCCACTCCCACAATACCCCATCTCCCTCAGCCCAACAAAAACATCCTCAGGAAAGTTCTCTCCAATAAACTCACTGAAATAAAACTCTAGCAGTATTTGAGCACCTAGGGCTGCTCTCCTCGAAAGATCCCTCCCCTACCAACACGGAGCCTGGTGTCAGTCCATCTCAGAGTACCTAACCTCAGTTATCCTTTGCTTCTGGCCAAAATGCAAGACCCAAAAATCAGATTTTTTTGATGATGCTCCCTTCTTTTGGACTCTTTCTACTCCTTTCCATTTCACTCTCTCCAAACTTCCTTCCTTAAAATCAAATTTTTTTTTCTTTTTTCTTTTTTTTTTTTTTTTTTTTTTGAGACGGAGTCTCGCTCTGTCATCCAGGCTGAAGAGCAATGGCGGTATCTCTGCTCACTGCAAGCTCCTCCCCCTGGGTTCAAGTGATTCTCCCGCCTCAGCCTCCCGAGTAGCTGATTACAGGTGCGCACCACCATGCCAGCTAATTTTTTTTTTTTTTGAGACAGTCTCACTCTGTCACTCAGGCTAGAGTGCAATGACACAATCTCTGCTCACTGCAACCTCCACCTCCCAGGTTCAAGCAATTCTCCTGCCTCAGCCTCCCAAGTAGCTAGAAGTACAGGCATGCGCCATCGCGCCCAGCTAATTTTTGTATTTTTAGTAGAGACAGGGTTTCACCATGTTGGCCAGGATGGTCTCGATCTCGACCTCGTGATCCGCCTGCCTCAGCCTCCCGAGTGCTGAGATTACAGGCATGAGCCACCTCGCCCGGCCAACAGCTAATTTTTGTATTTTTAGTAGAGATGGAATTTCGCCATGTTGACCAGGCTGGTTTCAAACTCCTGGCCTCAAGTGATCCACCAGCCTTAGCCTCCCAAAGTGCTGGGATTATAGGCATGAGCCAATGCACCTGGCCTCCCCTCTCTTTTTAACCTCTCCACACTTCTTCCTTCTGTGTGCAAAACAAGTCTCTCCATCCTAAAAAGAAACCTGTGGCCCCTGTGGTTCCCTCCAGCTATCTCGATGTTCTTTTTCTCAAATCACACTCAGAGCCTTTAATCAGCCAAACCTGGCTCCAATTCATCACCTGTATTTCATTTTTCTTTCTCTTTTCCTTTCTTTCTTTTTTTTTTTGTGTGTGTGTGTTTTTTGAGACAACATCTAACTCTGTCACCCAGGCTGGAGTGCAGTGGTGCGATCTTGGCTCAGTGCAATCTCTGCTTCCCAGGTTCAAGTGTTCTCCTGCCTCAGCCTCCCGAGTAGCTGGGACTACAGGCTCATGCCCGGCTAATTTTTTGTATTTTTAGTAGAGACAGTGTTTCACCATATTGGCCAGGCTGGTCTCAAACTCTTGACCTTGTGATCTGCCTGCCTCGGCCTCCCAAAGTGCTGGGATTACAGGTGTGAGCCACCATGCCCGGCCGTCTATTTCATTTTTCTACTCCCAGAAATGGGGTTTCTCTTCTCAGCATGTTACTGAAACTGCTCAAAGGTGACCTTGTAATTTCCAAATCCCATGGACGATTATGCATCTGCATGTCTCTTGCCCTCACCCTGCCATGTGGCTCCTTTTATTTTTCAAACCCCTTGTTTTGGCCCCTAAGATGGCTCTATCCCAATTCTCCTTCTCAGCTTATGTCACGAGGCCCTGAGTATCATGGCAGAGGGGAGAACGGGGAACCATGAGAAACAGGGGGGCAAAGGGCAGCACGGAATGTGTTCCCAGTTTTGCTGGAGGCTGCCCAGTCCATTTCAGGTTTCCTTGCTCATGTTGGCCCCTGGAAAGGCACATGATCCCTTGCACCAGAGACCTGAGTGGTCAATTCATGAGCATTCAGTCTTCTACCAGCTAAGATCTGAGTCAGGCCAGAGCAAAGGAGGTGGGAGGAACAGAGAGGAGAGCTGGGCTCACCGGCAGCAGCCTGGCTCTGATCTCCATGTAGAGCACGTTGTCCTCGTAGAACTCCTGCATGCTCCGGAAGACATAGTCTCTGAACACTGGTGCGTAATGGATGAGACCAGAGATGGTGAAGAAGATGGTTTCAAATTTCGACCAGACAACATTTTGGTTTGTGTAAATCACCTCCGGGTGCTGGGTCACCAGAGTGAAATTCCTCAGCAAGCTGTCCAAGACACGAAGTGGGGAGTGGCAGAGGCATGATCCAGGACACTGCCCCCGGGCGCCCATAGGACTGCTACCCACCTTGCATATCCCAGCTAGCAGCTCACAGGATTCACCCTAGAGTGGAGATAAGGAAGGGGCAAAGGGGAGCATTCCCACGCTCACGATATAAGCATGGGTCCTGTGGCCAGGCAGCCCACTGCCTGCTTAAACCCAAACCCCAAACGCAGGAGACTGCTTAAGATGAGAGCTCACCAGTCAGTCTCTCCTGGCTCCTGTCCTCCCTCTGTATGCTTGGCCAGTCTGACCCCACTGTACTTTCTAGACCAAAAAGCTCTCTCTCTCTCTCTTTTTTTCTTCCTATACCCACTGACAGGAAACTAGACCAAGCTCTTTTTGGGGAATGTTATGGACTAACTTGTGTCCCCAAACCCCCAAATTCAAATATTGAAGCCCTAGCCCTCATTTGGAGAAGGGAATTTTAAAGAGATGATTAAGACTAAATGAGGTTGTAAGGATGGGGCTCTACCCTAATAAGATGGGTGTCCTTGTAAGAAGAGGAGGCCAGGCGTGGTGGCTCACGCCTGTAATCCCAACACTTTGGGAGGCCAAGATGGGTGGATCATTTGAGGTCAGGAGTTCGAGATCAGCCTGGCCAACATAGTGAAACCCCATCTCTACTAAAATACAAAAATCAGCCAGGCGTGGTGGTTTGTCCCTGTAATCCCAGTTACTAGGGAGGCAAGAGAATTGTTTGAACCCTGGAAGTGGAGGTTGTAGTGAGCTGAGATCGCACCACTGTACTCCAGCCTGGGCGACACAGCAAGACTCATCTCAAAAAAAAAAAAAGAAGAAGAAGAAGAGACCGCAGGAGTGCACATACAGAGGAAAGGCCATGTGAGTACACAGCCAGAGGCGCCTTCTGCACGCCAAGGACAGAGGTCTCAGGAGGAACCACCCCTGCCCTGGCACCTTGATCTTAGACTTCCAGCCTCCAGAACCATGAGAAAATCAATTCCTTCTTTTTTTTTTTTTTTTTTGAAACAGGGTCTCACTCTGTTGCCCAGGCTGGAGTGCAGTGTCACAATCACAGCTCGCTGCAGCCTCAATCTCCCAGGCTCAAGCAATCCTCTTATGTCAGCCCCCTGGGGTAGCTGAGACTATAGGTGTACACCACCACATCTGGTTAATTTTTTATTTTTTGTTGAGATGGGGATCTCACTATGTTGCCCAGACTGGTCTTTCTTTCTTTCTTTTTTTTTTTAAACAGAATCTTGCTCTGTCGCCCAGGCTGGAGTGCAGTAGCATGATCTCAGCTCTCTGCAACCTCCGCCTCCCAGGTTCAAGTGATTCTCCTGCCTTGGCCTCCCGAGTAGCTGGGATTACAGGTGGCTGCCAGCATGCACGGCTAATTTTTTTGTATTTTTAGTAGAGACAGGGTTTCACCATGTTGGCCTGGCTGGTTTTGAACTCCTGACCTCAAGTGATCCGCCCACCTCGGTCTCCCAAAGTGTTAGGATTACAAGCATGAGCCACCACACCCGGCCACCAGGCTGGTCTTGAACTCCTGGGTGCAAGTGATCCTCCCACCTCAGCCTCCCGAAGTGCTAGGATTACAGGCATGACCCAGTGTGCCCGGCTTGAGAAAATCAGTTCCTATTGTTTAAGCTCCCCAGCCTGTGGTATTCTGTTATGGCAGCTCGAGCAGGTTAATGAAGGGAGTGGAATGGAAATAACTCGAATCAGCACCCAGGTTTGTATCCCCAACTGGCCATTTACCAGCTGTGTGTCCTTGCATAAGCTAATTAACCTTGCTCAGCTTCACGTTTCTCATTTCATAAAGGGAAGTAACCTCAGGGGGGCACTCTGTAGACATTTCTGTGACCAAATTAATTGTCACTTATAATATTACTATACAATGCCAGGCACAATGGCTCGGCTCATGCCTGTAGTCCTAGCACTTTGGGAGGCCAAGGTGAGAGGACGGCTTGAGCCGCAGAGTTCAAGACCAGCCTGGGCAACACGGCAAAACCCCATCTCACAAAAAATACAAAAATTAGCTGGGCATGATGGTGCACACCTCTAGTGTGCTGACACAGGAGGATTGCTTCAGCTGACACAGGAGGCTGACACAGGAGGATTGCTTCAGCCTGGGAGGTTGAGTCTGAAGTGAGCCGAGATTGTGCCACTGCACTCCAGCCTAGATGATAGAATGAGACCCTGTCTTAAATAGTAATAATAATAATGATACTATACAAGTCTGTTAGGAAGTTGCTGCATCAGATTTTCAAGAAGATTTATCTTCCAGCTAGATTGTCATCACTTCAGAGCTAGGAACTTTTATTCTCTCTGGTTTTATTGAGCATCAGACAAATCTCATTTGCTACAGCAATAGTGTTGCTGACTAGGCATGGTCACTCATGCCTGTAATCTCAGCACTTTGGGAGGCCAAGATGGGCAGATCTCCTGAGGTCAGGAGTTCAAGACCAGCCTGGCCAACATGGTGAAACCCTGTCTCTACTAAAAATACAAAAATTAGCCAGGCATGGTGGCACATGTCTGTAATCCCAGCTACTCAGAAAGCTGAGGCAGGAAAATCACTTGAACCCGGGAGGCAGAGGCTGCTGTGAGCCAAGATCAGGCTGCTGTGAGCCAAGATCACGCCACTACACTCCAACCTGGGTGACAGAGCAAGACCCTGTCTCAAATAATAATAATAATAAATAACAATAATAATAACAAACAAAAATAGTGTTGCTGATAATGCTTTTTGTAGATTTTAAATGCACCAGAAAAACTACTATGGATAGAAAAGGTGTTGAATGCTTTTGTGGAGCAAAGTATCCTGCAAGGTTAAAAGAAAAAGGTGCTCATGCTTTTTTTTTGAGATAGGGTTTTATTTTGTCACTCAGGCTGGAGTACAGTGGCTCCATCTCAGTTCACTGTGGCCTCAACCTCCTGGGTTAAAGTGATCCTCCTGGGTTAAAGTGATCCTCCTGCCTCAGCCTCCCAAGTACCTGGGACTACAGGTGCAGCACCACACCTGGCTAATTTTTTGTATTTTTGGTAGAGATGGGCTTTCACCATGTTGACCAGACTGGCAACTCCTGGGCTCAAGTGATCCGCTCGCCTTGGCCTCCCAAAGTGCTGGGATTATAGGCGTGAACCACCGCACTCAGCCTTGCCTCATGTTTTATTAAAGCCAGATTTTTATCTATAGGTTTGTACCAAGGGAGACACCTACCCACTGCCACCCCATGACAGGCCTGGGACATGTGCTTTCTGAACTACTACTCACCTGTCATCAAACTCAGTGACGTTCTGCACCCGCTTCCGATAATCCTCCAGCAGAATCCACTTGGAACATTTTTCTGATGGACGGGGAGTTGGGTGAGCAAATCTGAACTGCATGATCCCCCTTGGGGTGAAACAGATGTGGCAGTGAGGCCTGTAGGTGACATTCCTCACCAGCCAGTCCATAGTCACGATGCCAATGTCATGGAGGTGCAAGGCAGCCCCTGGAGAGGGAAGAAGAATGGTGAAGACAAAGGGGTGAAGTCCCATCCCAGGACTCCAGGGCTTGGGGACAAAGGAGGGGGTGAAGTCCCATCCCAGGACTCTGGGGCTGTGGGGACAAAGGGGTGAAGTCCCATCCCAGGGCTCCGGGGCTTGGGGACAAAGGGGTGAAGTCCCATCCCAGGGCTCCGGGGCTTGGGGACAGTGTGGATCACAAGAAGACGTGCAAGCAGAAGGATTTCTGTCCAGACATGTTTCTCGGAACTTGTTTAAGGCTCTAGTTTAAGGATGGGGCTTCCATGTCTCACTAATCAGGAGCCAGGGGTGATCTTGTCCAAGAGGGGCAGCATGGGAGAGTGAGAGGGCATCAGGCTTGGAACCAGAGAACTGAGGTTCAAGTCAGGGCTCCATTGGCTTCTAGCTCTCCAATGGGAGCCCAGGCCTTTCAATGAGGCCACCCAACACTGCATGACGGGATACACTGGGATGAGCCCCAGGGCCACGGTCCTTTTCACACACTTGTCCTCCATCCTCTCATCCTGCCCCTCAACTCCTCTCCCACTGGCTTTTCATCCCCTGCGCTGGGCCTGTGTCTGTACAGCTTCTGGCCTGCAGGCTTTGCCAGTTGAATCCCCATGCTTGTCCTCCCCACCAGACACCAGCTGTGCCCCTTGCTCCCCTAGGCACAGTGCATGCTGTCCCTCTGCGCTTCTTGTGCCCATCCAGCCCCTGGCCCTGACACGAGCCCCCAGACACCCTCTTATGCCTCCCAGCAACTGGGGATGCTACTTTACTGACCTCACGATTATTATTATTTTTTAAATCTCTATTTATAACATTAAAAGAAAAAAAAACAGCTGGGCACAGTGGCTCACTCCTGTAACCCCAGCACTTTGGGAGGCCGAGGCAGGCAGATCACGAGGTCAGGAGTTCGAGACCAGCCTGACTAACATGGTGAAACCCCATCTCTACTAAAAATACAAAAATTAGCCAGGCATGGTGGCATGTGCCTGTAATCCCAGCTACTCGGGAGGCTGAGGCAGGAGAATTGCTTGAACCTGGAAGAAGGATGTTGCAGTGAGCTGAGATCACGCCACCGCACTCCAGCCTGGGCGACAGAACAAGACTCCGTCTCAAAAAAAAAAAGAAAAAAAAAGAAAAAAAAAAAACAGGTGTTAAGTCTTTGTAAACTGCAAGCTGCTATTATTTTTACATTTTAAATTAACATTTTTGGCCAGGTGCAGTGGCTCACACCTGTAATCCCAGCACTTTGGGAGGCCGAGGAGTGTGGATTGCCTGAGCTCAGGTGTTCGAGATCAGCCTGGCCAACATGGTGAAACCCCGTCTCTACTAAAAGTACAAAAATTATCCAGGTGTGGTGGTTCATGCATGTAATCCCAGCTACTCAGGAGGCTGAGGCAGGAGAATCACTTGAACCTGGGAGGCAGAGGTTGCAGTGAGCCAAGATCACACCAGTGCACTTCAGCCTGGGCAACAGAGTGAGACTCTGTCTCAAAAAAAATTTTTTTTAATAAAAAAAAAAATTAACATTTTTTGGGGAACAGGGTCTTGCTCTGTCGCCCAGGCTGGAGTGCAGAGGTGCCATCATAGCTCCCTGCAAACTCCACCTCCTGGGCTCAAGCGATACTCTCCACTCAGCCTCCAGAGTAGCTCGGATTACAGGTGCACCACCACCCCTGGCTATTTATATGTGCGGGATGCTAATTATTTCATGTTTCATGGAGGTGTGTTTATACTACTCCAGGATGCTATATCACATTGTATCCTATGTGGTAGCTTAGCCCCTGGGAAAACTAAAAAGGGAATAGCAAAGTCTCAGGGCTGGATGCTTTTCCAATCCTGACTGTCTGCGAGTCCCCCAGGAAGCAGGGGTTTTGGTTTTCAACACCCTTTTCCTAGTCTACCCATAAGGACAGAGGAGCAGAACAGCTGAGTGAGGCTTTCTCTGCTCCATCTAGAATAGCAACAGCCACAAGCACAGTAATAGCCCCAAGATGAGTCCCTCTACCTTCCCAGCACCCCAAGCCACCCCTTTCCAAACCTTACCTTTTGGCATCATCCTTAGAATATTAAACACTTGACTTCTCTCAATGAGATGCTTGGCCTGGAAAAAGTGCATGCTGGGTGGGAATATCAGGGTCCTCATGGCCTCCTTCATCTCAGCGATTTTGAGCGTCATGAGCCTCTCATTGGCCAGCTCCTCCTTGGTGTTCAGCACCAGCCGCCCCCCCAGCCGCATCATCTTTTCTTTCAACAACAGATGCGCCCGTGTTTCATCTATGGATAGAGCTGAGCCGAAGAAAGACATTGCCACAGCCAACAGCAAGAAGCACAGGGCTGGCCGCTCAGATGGGCCATCCACCAACATCGGGATGCCTGGACTAGGAAAGGGCTCAGATGGAGACTCCACGGGACTGCAAAGGAGAGTGGGGGAGTGAAAACCTACAGATTTAAGGGTGGAACTCTGATCTTCCTTTTCTCGCCCTGCTCTCAGATTACCAGAAGGCAAGATATTGAAGGATTCTTCTTCCAGACCCCAGAGAAAAGACCTACAGGTACAGACAGGTAGGGGTTTCCCAATTTTTTTTTTTTTTTTTTTGAGACGGAGTCTCGCTCTGCTGCCCAGGCTGGAGCACGGTGGTGCAATCTCGGCTCACTGCGAGCTCCGCCTCCTGGGTTCACACCATTCTCCTGCCTCAGCCTCCCGAGTAGCTGGGACTACAGGTGCCCGCCACCATGCCCGGCTAATTTTTTGTATTTTTAGTAGAGACGGGGTTTCACTGTGTTAGACAGGATGGTCACGATCTCCTGACCTCGTGATCTGCCCGCCTGGGCCTCCCAAAGTGCTGGGATTACAGGCGTGAGCCACTGCACCACCTGGCATTTTTTTTTTTTTTTGAGATGGAGTTTCACTCTTGTTGCCTAGGCTGGAGTGTAATGGTGTGATCTCGGCTCACTGCAACCTCCGCCTCCCGGGTTCAAGTGCTTCTCCTGCCTCAGCCTCCCAAATAGCTGGGATTACAGGCATGCATCACCACGCCCGGCTAATTTTGTATTTTTAGTAGAGACGGGGTTTCTCCATGTTGGTCAGGCTGGTCTCGAACTCCTGACCTCAGGTGATCCGCCAGCCTCAGTCTCCCAAAGTGCTGGGATTACAGGCATGAGTCACCGCGCCCGGCAGGTTTTCCCAAATTAAAGGTCACCATGAGGTCAAACAAGCCCTGGCTCATGCATAAAGACACTGCAATCTGATTTTTAGTGGTTCACTTTTATTTTATTTTATTTATTTTAATTTTTGTTTTTTTTAAGACAGAGTCTTGCTCTGTCACCCAGGCTGGACTGCAGTGACGTGATCTTGGCCCTCTACAACCTCCGCCTCCAGGGTTTAAGCGATTCTCGTGCCTCAGCCTCCCAAGTGGCTGGGACTACAGGCACGCGTCACCATACCCAGCTAATTTTTGTATTTTTAATAGAGACCATATTGGCCAGGCTGGTCTTGAACTCCTAGCCTCAAGTGATCCACTCATCTCAGCCTCCCAAAGTGCTGGGACTACAGGCATGAGCCAACATGTCCAGCCAGTGTTTTACTTTTAAATATAACCAGCATGCCTGTGGTCCCAGCTATTCAGGAGGCTGAAGCGGGAGCATCACTTGAGCCCAGTACTTTGAGGCTGCAATGAGCTTTGACCTCACCACTGCACTCCAGCCTTGGCAACAGATCAAGACCTTGTCTCTAAAAAAAATATTTTTTTATTAAAAAATAAAAATACGGCTGGGCGCGGTGGCTCACGCCTGTAATCCCAACACTTCAGGAGGCCGAGGCGGGTGGATCACGAGGTCAGGAGTTTGAGACCAGCCTGGCCAATATGATGAAAACCCGTCCTACTAAAAATACAAAAATTAGCTGGGCATGGTGACGCATGCCTGTAGTCCCAGCTGTTTGGGAGGCTGAGACAGGAGAATCACTTGAACCCAGGAGGCAGAGGTTAGAATAAGCTGAGTTCGCGCCACTGCACTCCAGCCTGGGCGACAGAGCAAGACTCAATCTCAAAATAAATAAATAAAATTAAAATAAGACCAGGTGCTGGCACAGCAGGTGGATTGCTCAAGCCCAGGAATTCAAGACCATTCTCAGCAACATGTTGAAACTCCATCTCTACAAAAGATACAAAAATTAGCTGGGCGTGGTTGTGCACACCTATAGTCCCAGCTACTGGGGAGGCTGAGGTGGGAAGTTCACCTGAGCCTGGGAAATCGAGGATGCAATGAGCCAAAATTGCGCCACTGCAATCCAACCTGGGTAACAATGTCATATCCTCTCTAATAAATAAATGAATTGGCCAGGCGCAGTGGCTCACCCCTGTAATCCCAGCACTTTGGGAGGCTGAGGTGGACGGATCACGAGGTCAAGAGATCGAGAGCATCCTGGCCAACATGGTGAAACCCCGTCTCTACTGAAAATACAAAAATTAGCTGGGCGTGGTGGCATGCACCTGTAGTCCCAGCTACTCAGGAGCCTGAGGCAGGAGAATTGCTTGAATCCGGGAGGCGGAGGTTGCAGTGAGCCAAGATCGTGCCACTGCACTCCAGCCTGCCAACAGAGTGAGACTCCGTCTCAAAAAAAGAGGAAAAAAAAATTAATTAATTAATTAATTAAATAGCAAAGAAACAATTAACAGAATGAAGAGACAACCTATTTTTTTCTTTTCTTTTCTTTTCTTTTCTTTTGTGGGGGACGGAGTTTCGCTCTTGTCAACCAGGCTGGAGTACAATGGCGCGATCTCGGCTCACCGTAACCTCCTCCTCCCAGGTTCAAGCGATTCTCCTGCCTCAGCCTCCAGACTAGCTGGGATTACAGACACGTGCCACCACGCCCGGCTAATTTTTTTATATTTTTAATAGAGATGGGGTTTCACCACGTTGGTTAGGCTGGTCTCGAACTCCTGACCTCAGGTGATCCACCAGACTCGGACTCCTAAAGTACTGGCATTACAGACATGAGCCACCGTGCCCAGCCTTTTCTTGGCTCACTGCAATCTCCGTCTCCCTGGTCCAAGTAGTTCTTCTGCCTGAGCCTCCCAGCTCCTGAGTAGCTGGGACTACAGGCATGTGCCACCAGGCCCGGCTAATTTTTTTGTATTTGTAGTAGAGACGGAGTTTCACTATGTTGCCCAGGCTGGTCTTGAACTCCTGACCTCAGGTGATCCTCCTGCCTTGGCCTCCCAAAGTGCTGGGATTACAGGCGTGAGTCACCATGCCCGGCCAATCTCTTGAATAGGAGAAAATATTTACAAATTAGTTATCTGATGGAGAGCTAATATCCAGACTATATAAGGAAATCAAACAACTCAACAGTAAAAGGACAAATAATCTCACTTAAAAAATGGCCAAAGACCCAAAGACATACAAAATGGCCAATACGTATACGAATAAATGCCCAAATTTTTTTCTTTGCTTTGCTTTCTTTCTTTCTTTTTTTTTTTTCCTTGAGACAGGGTCTTACTCTGTTGCCCAGGCTGGAATGCAGTAGCGTGAGTCCACTTGGTTGGACTCCAAAGCTCGCTGCAGCGGCAACCTCCCGGCTTCAAGGAATCCTCCCACCCTAGCCTCCTGAGTAGCTGAGTGTAGTACCACTACACTCAGCTAATTTTTTTTTTTTCTTTAGAGACAGGGTCTCACTATGTTGCCATGGCTGGTCTCAAACTCCTGGGCTCAAGCGATCCTCCTGCCTCTACCTCCCGACATTCTGGGATTATAGATCTGAGCCACCAGGCCCAGCCAACATTTTTTCTAATCACTGGGGGAGTGCAAATCAAAACTACAATGAGATCGTCTCACCCCATCTCAAAAAATGGCTATTACTTAAAAGGCAAAAAATAACAGATGCTGGTGAGGATGTAGAGAAAAGGGAGCTCCTTACACCACTGGTGGGAGTGTAAACTAGTACAGCCACTATGGAGAACAGTATGGATATTTCTTGAAAAACTAAAAATAGAACTACCATACGATCCAGCAATCCCATTACTGGGTATCTATCCAAAGGGAAGGAAATCAGTATGTCAAAGGGATACCTGTACTCGGATGCTTATTGCAGCACTATTCACAATAGCAAAGTTATGGAAACAACCCAAGTGTCCACCAACAGATCAACGGATAAAGAAAACGTGGCAAGTCCATCTACCGAAGCACCGGGGAGTGTCGTGGATGCCTACGAGCAGGTACAAAAAGGACTTCTAAAGCTGAAAGGCGTCGCAGAGCTCAGAGTGACCAAGCGGAAGAAGAAAAAGAAGGACAAAGACAAAGCTAAACTCCCGGAATCAATGGGAATGAACAAAAAGAATGAGGAGGAGAAGCAGCACGGCCTGGACAAGTGGACCCCGGCCCGCGCAGCCTTTGAGAAAATGCAGGAGAAGCGGCAATGGAAAGGATCCTCAAGAAAGCATCCAGGCCAGGCTTGGTGACTCACGCCTGTAATCCCAGCACTTCAGGAGGCTGAGGCGGGTGGATCACCTGAAGTCAGGAGTTCAAGACCAGTCTGGCCAACACGGTGAAACCCCGTCTCTATTAAAAATACAAAAAATTAGCTGGGCGTGGTGGTGTGTGCCTGTAATTCCAGCTACTCAGGAGGCTGAGGCAGGAGAATCGCTTGAACCCGGTAGGGAGAGGTTGCAGTGAGCCAAGATTGTTCCATTGCACTCCAGCCTGAGCAACAAGAGCGAAACTCTGTCTCAAAAAAAAAAAAAAAAAAAAATAGCATCCAAAACCCACAAGCAGAGAGTGGAGGACTTCAACAGACACCTGGACACACTCACGGAGCATTACATTCCCAGAGTCAGCTGGACGAAATAGCCGCCTGCCCCCAGTAGGGAGCAGCATCGAGGGTTGGCAAAAGGCCATGCTGGGGTTGTGTGTGTTTCCTTTGGTATATTCTAGAAACATGGCTTTACACACACCCTCGCATCTTCTGCTACAAACTGCTTTTCGAAGCTGTGTACCCTCATTCTGTAACTTGATTAAAGTAAAATTGTCCTTGTACTCAGTTTAGGTTTCTTGGCAACATATAGAAGATACACCCTTTTAGTTCGGATGGAAAGTTTCTAAGTTTATTCAGAGGTAAAGCCCATTTCTGTGTCCGTACCATGTAAAAATGTTTTTATCCCCGAGTTGCATCTAACGCTCTGAGGCCAGCCAGCTGTCTTCTCCAGGATCAGATGGACTCCAGAGGATAAGGAGCTAATGCCAGGGTGGCCTGTAGTATGCAGAGCTCCGCAGGACCCAGCATGGGTGCCCCTCCAAGCTTCCTCTAGCTTGGGGCCTATGCTGGTCCTGCAGGCCCCAGGGAAGCCATTTGCAACTCTGTGGCCTTCAGACTTCCTCCTCAGCCACTGGCCACTGAGACAGCACAGCCTGGGTGGCAGAACAGCCACCTAAGGCAAGAATGGAAGGAAACACTTTGTTCCTTTCTGAGCCCATTCCCCAAAACCCTCCTTCCAGGTACTCCTAATGGGTATTGCCATGGCAGACATTGCTAATGGATCACAGCATTCTTTGAAATGGAGCCCAGATATAGCCTGCCTGTCAATCCTCAGCTGGGGGCTCCTAGCAGCCTCTTGTATTTATTCAGAGTTGACACATCACACGGAGCCTGTCTGGCATTCCTACCCTAAGGACACCTCAGGGGTGACAGGACCAGGGCAGAGCCCCAGTACAAACAGACATGGGTGCAGTCAAATGGGAGGGCCCAGGCATCCGTCTTGGAGGGCTGGGATTTTGTAGGGCCTGTGTGTCCTGGTTGAGGATCAAACCGCATATGCTATTGGGAGAAACAATCTCTGTGGACATACATACTGAAAGAATAACAAAGGCAGAAGAGAAAAACAAAGTGTGGAATTTGGGGTTCTCCTGTGTAAATTACACAAGAAAGCAGAAGCCAGTTATTTAAAAAAGAAAGAAAATGTGGCATATATACACAATGGAATACTACTCAGCCATTAAAAAATGAAATCACGGGCTGGGCACGGTGGCTTACGCCTGTAATCCCAGCACTTTGGGAGGCCGAGGCAGGAGGCAGGTGGATCACGAGGTCAGGGGTTTGAGACCAGCCTGACCAACATGGTGAAACCCCGTCTCTACTAAAAATACAAAAATTAGCTGAGCGTGGTGGCGGATGCCTGTAATCCCAGCTACTCAGGAGGCTGAGGCAGGAGAATTGCTTGAACCCAGGAGGCGGAGGTTGCAGTGAGCCGAGATCATGCCATTGCACTCCAGCCTGGGCGACAGAGCAAGACTCCGTCTCAAAAAAAAAAAAAGAAAAAAGAAATCACGTCATTTGCACCAACATGCACGGAACTAGAAGACATAATGTTAAATGAAATAAGCCAGACACAGAAGGACAAACACCGTATGTTCCCACTCATGTGTGAGAGCTAAGGAAGTTGATCTCATAGATATAGAGAATAGAAAGATAGACACCAGAGACTATGAAGGGTTGGGGTAGACATGGGGGATGAAGAGAAGTTGGTTATGGGTACAAATAGACAAGCACTTCAAGAGGCTGAGGCAGGAGAATCACTTGAGCCTAGAAGTTGAAGACTGGCCTGGGCAACAAAGCGAGACCCCCATCTCTACAAAAAATTTAAAAATTATCGGCAGGCAGATCACGAGGTCAGGAGTTCGAGACCAGCCTGACCAACATGGTGAAACCCCATCTCTACTAAAAATACAAAAATTAGTCAGGCGTGGTGGCGTGCACCTGTAATCCCAACTACACAGGAGGCTGAGGCAGGAGAATCGCTTGAACCTGAGAGGCGGAGGTTGCAGTGAGCCGATATCGCACCACTGCACTCCAGCCTGGGGAAGAAGCAAGACTTCATCTCAAAATAAATAAATAAATATAATAATAAAAATTATCCATGTGTAGTGGTACACACCTGTACTCCCAGCTACTCAGCAGGCTGAGGTGGGAGGATCACTTGAGTCTGGGAGGTCAAGGCTGCAGTGAGCCATGATGGTGCCATTGCACTCCTGCCTGGGTGACAGAGTGAAACCCTATCTGCCCCACTCCCAGGAAAAAAAAAAACCTACAGTTAGATAGAAGAAATAAGTTCTAATGTTTCATAGTAGACTAGGGTGACTATACTTAGCAATAATATTATGTATATTTCAGAGTAACTAAGACCGGGCATGGTGGCTCATGCCTGTAATCCCAGCACTTAGGGAGGCCGAGGCAGGTGGATCACAAGGTCAGGAGTTCAAGACCAGCCTGGCCAACATGGCAAAACCCTGTCTCTACTAAAAATACAAAAACTAGCCATGTGGCGTGTGCCTGTAATCCCAGCTACTTGGGAGGCTGAGGCAGGAAACTTGCTTGAACCCAGAGGGCAGAGGTTGCAGTGAGCCGAGTTCGTGCCACTGCACTCCAGCCCGGCAACAGAGCAAGACTCCACCTCAAAAAAAAAAAAAACACACACACACACACACATATATATAGAGAGAGAGACTCAAATAAAATGGATTAAAGTTAAAATAAATAAATAAATAACAAATATAACCAGAGCACAAGATCATAAGACATGCTTCAAACTGAGAAAGAAACCAAAACAAAACACACAGAGATAAGGAACTGAGAGGAAACAAAGCAACACAGGAAATAAAAGAAAAACCTGAAAGAACTGTAATTAACATCCTTAAAGACATAAAACATTGTGTGTGTAAAACAGGAACAGGAGGTGATTAAAAAAATGAGAATTAGAAAGAACTTTCAGAAATTAAAAACAGCAAAGCCGAATGTTTAAAAATTTACTAGCAATATTAAAAATGAAGTTAAAGAAAATATTTTTAAAAGTAAAGCAAAATAGGAGAAAAGAAAATGAGATGATTATTGGTTGAAGAAATCCAACACCCAAATAACAGACATTTCAGAAGGAAAAAGAAAAAAAAAACAGGTGAAGGAAATAAGCCAATAAGGAATACAAGAAATTGCCCCAGAACTGACAGTCTTTAGATTGAGTACCTTGCACAGCACAGTCAATCATTCTGTGGCCACACCAAGGTACAGCATCTTGGTATTTCAGAGCATTAGCATTAGAAAGGATTATCAAAACTTGCAGAGAGCAGCCAGTTCAGGGTGGCAACGAGCAGGGACTGAAGGAAGGAAATGTATTCAGCATCTCCTCACACAAGGCTCTATGCTGCTCCTTTACCTGGGTTATCTATTTGAATTACATTTAAGAAGGGGCAGTGGCTCATGCCTATAATCCCAGCACTTTGGGAGGCTGAGGTGGGCAGATCACTGGTGCCCAGGAGTTCGATACCAGCCTGGGCAACATAGCAAAACCAAAATACAAAAATTAGCCAGGCGTGGTGTATTGAACCTGTAGTCCCAGCTATTCATGAGGCTGAGGCATGAGAAGTTCTTGAACCTGGGAGGCGGAGGTTTCAGTGAGCCTAGATTGCACCACTGCACTCCAGCCTGGGTGACAGAGCAAGACTCTGTCTCAAAAATAAATACGTAAATAAAATTTTTAAAATGAAAATAAAACGATTGTTTCTCTACACTTGAAAGTATGATACAGCATACTGGAACATGTCAAGACTGTAAATTAGGAGACCTTAGGAACAGCCTCAAATTAGTATCATTCTAACTGTGCAACCTTGGGCAAATCACTAACGTCTCCAGATCTCAGTGTCCTCACCTACAAAAAAGGTAACTTGGACAAGATCAGTGGTTTTCCAAGTGCAGCATGAATATCATCAGTGGCATAAATACAATCTTAGGTGGCTCACAAATGGATAGGGGTTATGTTGACAGATAGGTAATTTTAAAACATGTATTAGCACATCAAACCCATGATATCGTAACTATTATTGTTTTTGTTGAAAAATTTTTAAGTTAAAGAAAAATATTAAGTAAATAGAGGTGCAAGGATATGACAAAAATGGAAAGTTTGCTACTCATTAAATCATTTTAATATCCAAGATTCTTCCCAGCTCAGTTATTCTGTAGTACATCAGATAGCAAAGAAAATTTTAAGAAGGAACTAGTATCAGCAATATGCAGTTATGGCAGAAGCTGTACCCCCAAAATCAGAGTGCTGGACGTCAGCAGAACCCCTTTAACTTCATTAAGTCCTTGACTCTCTTTTTTGACCACGGTGTTTGCCTGCTACTAAAATCTCTAGGGCAGGAGCACGGTGACTTCTATGTCACCATCCCACCTACCCCATGCCACATTCTCCATCAACAGCCCCGCCCCTTGTCCCTGTCTCCCTGGTGACACATAACAAAGGCCATCAAGCTCCCAAATCTTCAACTCCATCCTCTCCAAGAAGGACCCCAAAAGCATTTGTGTCCCAGCAACTGTGAACTTTTCCAGGCTGCCAGACAGAAGTTTATCTAATGGTGGTCAAGACCTGCCTGGTTGAATACTAGTAAAAACAATCCTTATTCACAATTTATTGCTATATCTACTTCATCTTCTCTCCTCCACAAGATTTTCCTTTTACTTTTAAAAGAGGATGCATGAAAACTTCATAAAGTAGTTTGCTTCCAGACTAAGAAGAAAGGAGGCTGGGTGTGGTGGCTCTGCCTGTGATCCCAGCCCTTTGGAAGGCCGAGGCAGGCAGATCACCTGACGTCAGTCGTTCAAGACCAGCCTGGCCAACACGGTGAAACCCCGTCTCTACTAAAAATACAAAAATTAGCCGGGCGTGGTGGTGGGTGCCTGTAATCACAGCTATTAGGGAGGCTGAGGCACAAGAATGGCTTGAACTCGAGAGGCAGAAGTTGCAGAGAGCCGAGATCGTGCCACCACACTCCAGCCTGGTGACAGTGGAGTAGGCCACATGCATCTGTGGTCCTGAGTAAATGCCCTTGGGCCCATTTTCAAAAGCCTGTTGGGAGAAAGCCTGTTACTCCTCCACTGAGAGTCTCAGACCCAGCTCAGATGGAGACAGGGAGAGGTGCAGGTGGATCAAGCCCAAGCTCCGGACTTCCCAGCTACCTCCTGAACCTCATCATCCCACAGCTCCCAAAGGACCCCAGTTACCTCGGAACAGCTCCAGAAACTGAGGGCTGTTTGCTCAGCGCCCCAGCATCTGTGCAGAGCACCGGAAAAGCTCACCAACTGTTTCACTTCCTGTTGGGGTAGGTTTTATTTCCCTCCAGTGTGCACCAGGGATCCAACTAGAGGCCGGGGAGAGGGGCTCTGCAGTGCTGAGGCAGCCAGAGTGGCAAGTGTGTGGCTTACATGCATGCTTGCTGTGTGCATCTGAGTTTGATGTGGGGGGCTTGTGCGCATGTTCATGTGGGTGTTTGTGTGTTCGTGTGTGTTTCGGTTTATGTGCATGTGGGGTTTGTTTTTTTTTTTTTTTTTTTTTTTTTGTAGACAGAGTTTCACTCTTGTTGCCCAAGCTGGAGTGCAATGGCGCAATCTCAGCTCACTGCAGCCTCCGCCTCCCGGGTTCAAGCAGTTCTCCTGCCTCAGCCTCCCGAGTAGCTGGGATTGCAGGCGTGCGCCACCATGCCCCACTGATTTTTTGTATTTTTAGTAGAAATGGGGTTTCACCATGTTGGTCAGGCTGCTCTCGAACTCCTGACCTCAGGTGATCCGCCCACCTCGGCCTCCCAAAGTGCTGGAATTACAGGCGTGAGCCACCATGCCCGGCCGCATGTGGGTTTATTTGTGTTGGAGGGAGGGTGTGTGTGTGTTTGTGTGTACTGTGTCTTTGAAAGGTCCACAGCATGTTGGTTTTGGAAACAAGCACCGCAAAGAGGCACTCCAAAATCTGTTCATGAACTCTGGGAAGTTCTCCTTCCTCAAAATGTGATTGTGGACTGTGGGGCAACCCATTAGACAGAGAGTAAAAAGTAGCTATAATAAAATATATGTTTTAGGGGGGAAATCAGGGATGCGGGGACAGGACAGTAGAGGGGGCAGGAGGTAGGAGACAAGAGCTGGGGTGTGAAGAGGACCAGCAAGAACAACGCTCCAAGGGACAAGTGGAGCAGACAAGGCTCCTGTACCCAGGACGGTCAGAGTCAGACCTCGCTTTGTAGCTGGCCTTAGCACTGTAGCAGTGGGGCCTCGACCAAGTTGTTTCAACTCTCTATACTTCAGTTTCCTCATCTGAAAATGTGGATAATAAAAGCACCCACCACAGAGGGTCCATTGTCAGAATTAAAGGAAAAACACATGCAAAGTACCTGCCACATAGAAAGCTCTTGATAAATATTAGCCATGACTATTCTTAGAAGTAACTATTGGGATGCCTCATCCAAGCCAATTAGAAATGCAGACATGGGAGGCTACACCAGGGACCTCCATGTCACATGCATGGTCTAAAGACTCGATTGCACCCCACTCCTCCCCAGTCCCACTCAAATCTACCCCCAAGACCCCAAATCTACCCCCAAAAGCCCACGGCAGTTTCAGTTCTGCAGCTCCCATACATCTGGAGCCTTGATGCTCCTTTTTGTCATTTTCTCCAAAAAGTACCAAGGTCATTCATTTAATAAACAGGAAGAAATCCCAAAGTGAAAACACAGAGGGGTCAGGGATTCCCTCATCAAGAGTTCAAGACTAGGCTGGGCTCAGTGGTGCATGCCTGTAATCCCAGCACTTTGGGAGGCCGAGGCAGGTGGATCACAATGGAAGGGGTTCGAGACCAGCCCCTACTAAAATACAAAAATTAGGTGTGGTGGTGCGCACCTGTAATCCCAGCTACTTGGGAGGCTGAGGCAGGAGAATTGCTTGAACCCTGGAGGTGGAGGTTGCAGTGAGCTGAGATTGCACCATTGCACTCCAGTCTGGATGACAGAGTGAGATTTTGTCTCAAAAAAAAAAAAAAGAGTTTAACACTAATTTTTTGAAAGTTAGAGGAAGCAGAATGCACCGCAAGTAATAAGGAGAAACAAGATTGATTCCAGCGCCGCACAAAGGGAAACCACCAATTCTGAAAGTAAATCATGTGAAGGGTTTTTTGTGGGTTTTTTTTATACTTTAAGTTCTAGGGTACATGTGCACAATGTGCAGGTTTGATACATAGGTATACCTGTGCCATGTTGGTTTGCTGCACCCATCAACACATCATTTACATTAGGTATTTCTCCTAATGCTATCCCTCCCCCAGCCCCGACCCCCCCGACAGGCCCTGGTGTGTGATGTTCCCCTTGAAGGGTTTTTTTAAAGACCAGGTCAAAGCTAAAGATCAAGCTTTTCTTTCCAAACGCTTTAGCTAAAAGTAGGAGCTAATTTTCACATCTCCGAAGGTGGCTCCAGGACTCCAAGTCACACCTTGGCAAGGGTGTGGCAGCTGGCAGAGGACTGCAGGTCCTTGTCAGGCAGAACCTGCCGGGTTCTGGGGAGTGGAGACTCAGATCTTGAGGTGGAAGCAGAGACAAGAGCTGGGCACACTTACCTGGATGTGGGGTTGGGAGCGGTGAATCAGAGCCCAGTTAGATCCTGGAGGCTGGCAGCAGGCTCTGCAGAGGTGCAGGGGCACCTCATTCAGAAGGGGCCATTTATTGGCCCTCTGTGGCTAAAACCAGCTCCAAGCAGGACTTTTTATGGCTGGAGTCGCCTCCAAAGGGGCGTCGGCCTCCACTCAGGTGTGACTCTGAGCGTTGCCTAGCTGAAAAGGCGTGATGATAGGGAGCACACGTGAGGCCATTCGGGAAGAATATTTTGCCAAGTGCAGAGGCCGTAAAAACGTGGAACATGGCTCTGTTTTTTATGCTCTATTGAAAATGATCATCAGAAGCAGAAACTGGGCTTGTGTTCAGAACCTGAAAATCTGCAGGGCAGAAAAACAGGACAAAGGCATCTTTTAGTGACTGCAAAACTAAACCTCAACAGAAAGATGCCTGAAGAGACAGGTGGATTATGACCTCAGAATTGGAGACAGGAGAGGTTTTCAGAATTAAAGATCATCTATGGCTACACAAACATTTGAGAGGTATTTTCATTAAAACATCCCTTTCTTCACACCAATATCATGAATTATATGCTATGCACAACCTATAACAGAGTATAGCAGAGTTACCAGTGGTTTAAAGTGCTGCATATATGATTGTTATATGAGGTAAATAAGATTCTCTGACCCAGAGTTAAGAAAATGGAAATAATAATTGCTAAGGCATATTAAGAATTATATATGTATGTGTGTGTGTATATATATATATATATATATATATATATATATATATATATATATATAACATTTAATCCCTACAGCAATACATACCTATAAATGAGTATATACAAATATGTGTGTGTATGTGTGTGTGTGTATATATACTCATTTAATCCTTGCAGCAATCTTATAAGGTAGGGACTATTGCAATCCCCACTTGAGAGAGGCGTACCCTGAAGCACCTGGCAGTAAGGTAACTTGCCCAAGGTCACACAGCTAGTAACAAGCATAGCACGGCCTTGCAGGCCCAGGTGGGTTCCACCACACCGCTTTCCCTGGCAGCAAGAAAATGGAAGGTTTTTGAAGTAGTGGGGGAGTCACCGGGCACAAGGAAGCAGATCCCTGGAGGAACACACAATTAGCAAAAGTGGAGCCCAGGAATAGACGTTACCAGGCATAAGTGATTTTTCCAGACACTGGGAACTTGTGTTTTGAAACACCAAAGTATTTTTAGGAAGCAGAAAAGTTAGCTCTTTCATTGAACTGCTATGTGGTTTTGAAGAAAATGTCCTAATATCCATAAAACTCAAAGCTTTAATCTGCAAGAAGGAAAAAATGTCATGTGCCTCCTACTAAGTTTTTTTTTTCTAAGTAAGTTTTTTGTGTGTGTGTATGTATGAAATAATATATGTGAAAATTTTTTTTTGAGACAGAGTCTCGCTGTGTCACCTAGGCTGGAGTGCAGTGGCACAATCTTGGCTGTCTGCAGCCTCTGCCTCCCAGTCTCAAGCAATTCTCTGCCTCAGCCTCCCGAGTATCCAGGATTACAGGCACCTGCCACCATGCCTGGCTAATTTTTTTTTTGTATTTTTAGTAGAGACGGGGTTTCACCATCTTGGCCAGGCTGGTCTTGAACTCCTGACCTCGTGATCCACCTGCCTCAGTCTTCCAAGTGCTGGCATTACAGGCGTGAGCCACTGTGCCTGGCTGAAAATATTTTTAAAACTATAAAGCAACTATACAATTACACAGCATAAATGATTTTCATTTTTCTTTTTTTTTGAGAAGGAGTTTCACTCTTATTGCCCAGGCTGGAGTGCAGTGGCATGATCTCGGCTCACCACCACCTCCGCCTCCCGGGTTCAAGTGATTCTCCTGCCTCAGCCTCCCGAGTACCTGGGATTACAGGCATGTGCCACCACGCCTGGCTAATTTTTGTTTGTTTGTTTGTTTTGTTTTGTTTTGTTTAGTAGAGACGGGGTTTCTCCATGTTGGTCAGGCTGGTCTCCAACTCCCAACCTTAGGTGATCTGCCCGCCTCGGCCTCCCAAAGTGCTGGGATTACAGGTGTAAGCCACCGTGCCCAGCCCAGCATAAGTAATTTTCCTTGCACAAATCTTTCTAGTATTTTTTCTGGCTTCTTAGGGTGCAGTGAACATAATTTGATCTTTTTTGAGGACTTGGTATCATTATTATGAGCATTTATCATAATACTTTCTATTGCTATTGCATTATCACTCTATTTCCAATGCCAGTGAGGTGTGGAGCTTTGTTTGCCCCTGTCCTAAATGGCTTCAGACTGCTCTGCTTGTATGTATTTTTATATAATTTTTCTGTCCCTTCCTATGCAGTTCACTTGTCATTCTGGGTAGGTCTAAATTCCAGCAATCCTCTCCCTCTAATGCTTTACTTCTTGTGGTCTAGGGACTGAAGAACAAGATACTCCAACAGTACCAGTGAGAGCCCCTTCAATTGCTCTATGAGTTGGGGCATATTCACAAGTGCATGGATGGATTCTCAATTAGAGATTGCAGGCTGAACACATGAATTAACCTTAGTTCCTCTCCAAAACCTGCACTAAAATGACAGTGGGGAAAAAAATTAAGCATATATTCACAAGGTTGAAGAAAGCAAGAAAGGAGAAAATAGCAAAAAAAAACTTGGAAGATGGAAGGTACATAAACAAGTGCTAATAATTTAGAAGACAAAAAAACAAACAAACAAACAAAAAAAACAAACACTGAATCTGAAACCAGCAGTGACGAAAGAAACCTCGGATACCTGTGAAAGTGAGGCTGAAGGTAAGTCCAAAGCAGGAGAAATGGAGGAATGGCTGGAAAGCCTTTTTAACAAAAACCTAGAGCCACAGACATTCCTCCCACTCCCTCTTCAGCAGAGCAGTGAAGATTTGTTTTCAGGGAAAGGTAAAACAGAGTTTCTGGCCTAGTTAAGGATGGGGTTATCATACTAAAAATGAAGACTTTTTTTAAATTTTGCATATTGAACACTGAGTCTTCCAAGCCTTTCTCCCCTATTAGTCTCCCAAACATCAGCAACTTATATCCACAGTCAAGAAGAGGGAAAAGCCTTCTCTAGGGCTTTATCCAGCCTCACTGGAAAGACCTAATGATATTTAAAGGGATGTACCAGGTCACGATCTAGTAAAACTCATGGCAACATAGCTTCCTCCCTCCCTGCCCTTCCCACATACAAAGAGCTTATAACATCCTTTTAGTACCCTACTCTTAAATATAAGTAGACAGCCAAGAGTTACTACCTTTGAGAAATACTATTTTATGACAGAGAAAGAGCATCTCAGAAGAAAAAGAATAAGAGGGAGAAGAAAACTTTATCTAAGATTATTAGCCTTAGAGATATAAAAGATGTTATGCCCACAAAACAACAACAGGATTCTATAGAAAAGGAATAGGCAAAGAATGAAAAAGATGCTCTGGGGCCAGGCGCGGTGGCTCACACCTGTAATCCCAGCACTTTGGGAGGCTGAGGCGGGTGGATCACAGGGTCAGGAGATCAAGACCATCCTGGCTAACACGGTGAAACCCCGTCTCTACTAAAAACACAAAAAATTAGCCAGGCGTGGTGGCGGGCGCCTGTAGTCCCAGCTACCTGGGAGGCTGAGGCAGGAGAATGGCATGAACCCGGGAGGTGGAGCTTGCAGTGAGCTGAGATTATGCCACTGCACTCCAGCCTGGGCGACAGAGCGAGACTCTGTCTCAAAAAAAAAGAATGAAAAAGATGTTCTGGAAACAACAATAAGAGACTAAAAACGAAAAACAACAAAAGAGTTGAATGGTGGCTGGGCGCAGTGGCTCACACCTGTAATCCCAGCACTTGGGGAGGCCGAGGCAGGCTGATCAACTGGGGTAGGGAGTTCGAGGCCAGGCTGACCAACGTGGAGAAACCCCGTCTCTACTAAAAATACAAAAATTAGCCAGGCGTGGTGGCGCATACCTGTAATCCCAGCTACTTGGGAGGCTGAGGCAGGAGAATCGCTTGAACCCGGGAGGTGGAGGTTGTAGTGAGCCGAGATCATGCCATTGCACTTCAGCCTGGGCAACAAGCGTGAAACTCCATCTCAAAAAAAAAAAAAGGGTAGCCGGGCGCCGTGGCTCACGCCTGTAATCCCAACACTTTGGGAGGCCAAAGCGGGCAGATGACCTGAGGTCGGCAGTTTGAGATAGGCCTGGCCAATATGGTGACACCCCGTCTCTACCAAAAGTACAAAAATTAGCCGGGCGTGGTGGCTCGTGCCTGTAGTCTCAGCTACTCGGGAGACTGAGGCAGAAGAATCGCTTGAACCCAGGAGGTAGAGGTTGCAGTGAGCCAAGATGGTGCCACTGCACTCTAGCCTGGGTGACAGAGCAAGACTCTGTCTCAAAAAAAAAAGAGTTCAATGACACAGGTAAGGATATCTCCCAGAAAGTAGAGTGAAAGAACAAAGAAAATAAAATGAAAGGAAAAGATTTTTTAAAAGGATGAACAGTTCAAGAAATCCAATATATGAACACTCTGGCTAGTGTGGTGGCTCACACCTGTAATCCCAGTACTTTGGGAGGCCAAGGCGGGTGGACCACCTGAGGTCACAAGTTTGAGACCAGCCTGGCCAACATGGTGAAACCCTGTATCTACTAAAAATACAAAAATTAGCCAGGCATGGTGGCCCACACCTGTACTCCCAGCTACTCAGGAGGCTGAGAAGGAGAATCGTTGGAACCCGGGAGGCAGGAGGTTGCAGTGAGCTGAGATCGTGCCACTGCACTCCAGCCTGGGCAACAGAGTGAGACTCCATCTCAAAAAAAAAAAAGCGCTGGACGCAGTGGCTTACGCCTGTAATCCCAACACTTTGGGAGGCCAAAGTGGGCGGATCACAAGGTCAGGAGCTTGAGAGCAGCCTGGCCAATATGGTGATACCCTGTCTCTACTAAAAATACAAAAATTAGCTAAGTGTGGTGGTAGCTGGCCTGTAGTCCCAGCTACTCGAGAGGCTGAGGCAGGAGAATCATTTGAACCCGGGAGATGGAGGTCATAGTGAGCCGAGATCGCCCACTGCACTCCAGCCTGGGCGACAAAGCGAGACTCCTGTTTCAAAAAAAAAAGAAAAGAAAAGAAAAGAAAGAAAGAAAATTCCATGTTCCAGAAAGAGAAGACAGACTGGAGAAAATCATCAAATAAATGATTCAGGCCGGGCGCAGTGGCTTACGCGTGTAATCCCAGCACTTTGGGAGGCCAAGGTGGGTGGATCACATGAGGTCGGCAGTTTGAGAGCAGCCTGACCAACATGGAGAAACCTCATCTCTACTAAAAATACAAAATCAGCCAGGCATGGTGGTACATGCCTGTAATCCCACCTACTTCAGGAAGCTGAGGCAGGAGAACTGCTTGAACCTGGGAGGCGGAGGTTGCAGGGTGAGCTGAGATCGCGCCATTGTACTCCAGCCTGGGCAACAAGAGCAAAATTCTGTCTCAAAAAAAAAAAAAGAAAAGTCATTCAAAATAAGATGGTAAACCCGGAAAAAGGAATTTAGGGATCCAGGAAACAGAGGATCCCAGCTACTTGGGTGGCAGAGGCAGGAGGATCTCTGAGCCCAGGAGTTTGAGACCAGCCTAGGCAACAGAGTGAGAAACCATCTTAGGGCCAGGCGTGGTGGCTCACGCCTGTAATCCCAGCACTTTGGGAGGCCGAGGTGGGGGGATCACGAGGTCAGTACATTGAGACCATCCTGGCTAACATGGTGAAACCCCATCTCTACTGAAAATACCAAAAATTAGCTGAGCGTAGTGGCGGGCGCCTGTAGTCCCAGCTACTTGGGAGGCTGAGGCAGGAGAATGGTGTGAACCCGGGAGGCGGAGCTTGCAGTGAGCCAAGATCATGCCACTGCACTCCAGCCTGGGTGACAGAGCGAGACTCCGTCTCAGAAGAAAAAAAAAAAAAAGCCATCTTAGAAATAAATCAATAAATATAAATCAGGCTGGGTGCAGTGGCTCACGCCTGTAATCCCAGCACTTTGGGAGGCCAAAGTGGGCGGATCACCCGAGGTCAGAAGTTCGAGACCAGCCTGGCAAACATGGTGAAACCCCATCTCTACTAAAAATACAAAAAATTAGCCAAGCGTGGTGGTGTACACCTGCGGTCCCAGCTACTCGGGAGGCTGAGGCACGAGAATCACTTGAACCCGGGAGGCAGAGGTTGTAGTGAGCCAAGATCGTGCCACTGCACTCCAGCCTGGGCAACAGTGAGACTCTGTCTCAAAAAAAAAAAAAATTAAAGAAATAAATATAAATCAAAAGAAAAGGCAAAGGAAATTCCCAGATTGGTGATAAAGGAAGATCTGAAGTCCAGAGCTGTCCACCAGACCTAAGAACAATTGGTCCTTGATCAGCTGGAGATGGTAAAAACCCTCAGGAAGAAAAGTTTTTCAAGATGAAATTGGCATAATACCTAAGGTGTTTGATTGTATTCATTATTCATAAGAGTTTCACATAACCAAGGGAGAGTTTGAATAAATGAAGAAGACATAGAAAACAAAGTAAAAGAAAAAATATGACAACTGTTAATTCTATGAAATACAGAGAATTGTGCAGGAAAGCAGAAGTTATCCTTAACTCAGTGGTGTCTACACAGGCACATGAAGATAACCAATGAATATAGAGCTCACAAAATTATGACAAATAGACTGGGATGATAGAGAGTCAGAAAATGTGTTTGTGCTGGTCGGGGTAGGAAGAGGATCTTCATTTCTACAGTTGGAAGCCAGCAGATAATGCCTAAAATGGAAAAAAAATCAAGAATAGCAATATAAAGTTACTGATGATACGGAGGGAGATTGAGTTGAAAGATTCAACTCAAGAACTTGAAAATCACTGCCTCTAAGAAGCTAACAATGTTTGGTATTGGGGTCGACCCTTGGGAACCTGACTCTTTAAACCATGGACGTGAGTGCACAGCCCCAGTTAGGGGCCTTCTTCCTGCTTTTTGGCTGATAAGGAGCAGAATGGAGAAATGAACGGTGTTATACACAAACCACAGATGCTACACCCGAGCAGAACCCAACAGACCATCACTAACCCAGGAGGGGAGAACTCCTGACTTCATGACTCTAAGGGGCAAACTGAAAAGTAAGACTGAGGCCTGCAGCAACTTGTGACTCTTGAAGCTATTTGCTCCCTGTCCAGCTTCCCCATTCGATTGCAACACTCGTTAAATATTTGCTCAAAAGTTGCTCACAGTTAGTGGGCACTTACTATGTGCTGGGCACTGGACTAAAGGTCGTGGTCTACGCCATCTCATGCGGTCCTCAGGACAATTCTGTGAGGTAGGTGATCTGCCCATTTTACAGATGCAGAAGTCCAGGACCCACTAAGTAAAATATTGGAACTGGGGAGGCAGTCTTGGGGCCATGCTGCCCATGGCTCTGTTCCAGTCTTCCTTGTTGCTTCTCCCTGCTGAATTCCCAGAAACTGCCCAATAAATATTTGTTTTGATTGTCCTTTTTTTGGGAATGCAAATGCTCAAACATATACTCAGTGAGAGAGGAGCTGGTGAGTTTGTCTCTGTCCTCATATTGTGACAGTGAATAGGCCAACACTGAGATCTCAAACTCAACTTGGCCCATATTGACTTTTCCATTTTCCCTCCCCACAAAAGCTGTTCTTCTTCCAACTTTCCCCTTCCCAGTGAGTGGCACCTCCATCCACCCAGTTGTTTCTGCCAGAAACCTGATTTCCACTCTAGAAAATGAGGAGGAGTTAGCGGATATCTTCCACATCTCCCACCCCAAATCTCCACCAGGCCCCCATGTTTACCCTTCAACCTGCCCACTCCTTCCATCTCCACAGTTGCAACCCAATGCAAGGCCCCATCATCCCTCAGCTGCTCACTTCAGCAGCTTCTACTTTTGTCCCCTTTCCATTAATTTTCCACTCTGCAGATCTAAAAACACAAATTTCAGCATGCCCCTCATGTTCCTTCCTGCTGAAAACCTTTCAAAGTCTACCCACTACACAGTGAGCAAAATGCAAGCTCTTTTTCTTGGCCTGCTGGGCCAGCCTTATCTGGCCTGGAGACCATGTCTCCACCCTCTCCCCCAGCTCCCGACCTGCTGGCCAGCCTTCCTGTGGCCTCTCAAGTGAGGGGGCCCTTCACTTCCAAGGCGCTGCTGTGCAATCCCCTTTACGGGGGAGCTCCTTCCCCTCCTTGACTAGTGCAGCTCCCACCCATCCTTGAGATCCCGATGGAAATGTGTCTTCCTGGGGAGGGCTTCAGGGAACACCCCTATAGGAAGTTAGCCCCGGTTCCACTCTTCACAATACCCTTTTATCTTCTTCCACAACATGTATCACAGCTTGTGATTTTGTATTCATAGATTTCTATGACTGTTCGTTTCATATATATTCGCATAGCAGATGGAAAGCTGTTGTTTACCTTGGGGTCTTCATAGTGCCAGGCTCAGAGGAAGGACCCAAACGTCTGCTGCGGGAAGGCACGCATGATTGAAAGTATGGAGGAAAAGAGCGGGTGTTTGGGTGTATGAGTGTTTGTTAGACATTTAGGTCTCCTCAACCTGGTGTAACACAGAAGAGGCAAATGACACCAGGGTGCCTTGCAAGGAGTGGCCAATCAGCCCAGCCATTCGCTGTGTGGCTTCTTGTGTGCCATTGGCCAAAACTTGTCATAAATAGATGAGCCTACAATGCCAGCAGTGTACACAGTGCCTCCTGGAATCGGGCAGCACTCTACTTGTGCAATCATACCACAATCTTAGAGATCATGATAAATGCCAACAGCAAATGGATAAGCCTGGGCAAGTTCTTCTTGTTTGTTTGCATTTAGCTCTTCATTTTCTTTTTTTTCTTTTCTTTTCTTTTTTTTTTTTTTGAGACAAAGTTTCACTCTTGTTGCCCAGGCTGGAGTGTAATGGCACGATCTCAGCTCACTGCAACCTCCGTCTCCTGGGTTCAAAGCAATTCTCCTGCCTCGGCCTCCCGCGTAGCTGGTATTATAGCCATGCGCCACCACGCCTGGCTAATTTTGCATTTTCAGTAGAGATGGGGTTTCTCCATGTTGGTCAGGCTGGTCTCGAACTCCCGACCTCAGGTGATCTGCCCGCCTCGGCCTCCCAAAGTGCTGGGATTATAGGCATGAGTCACCGCACCCGGCTTTTTAAATTTTTTTATTTTTTACTTTTATTTTTTAGATGGAGTCTCACTCTGTCGCCCAGGCTGGAGTGCAATGGCGCAATCTCGGCTCACTGCAACCTCTGCCTTCCGGGTTCAAGCAATTCTCTGACTCAGCCTCCCAAGTAGCTGGGATTATAGGCACCCACCACCACACCGGGCTAATTTTTCTATTTTTTAGTAGAGATGGGGTTTCATCATCTTGGCCAGGCTGGTCTTGAACTCCTGACCTTGTGATCCACCCACCTTGGCCTCCCAAAGTGCTGGGATTACAGGCATGAGCCACCGCGCCCGGCCTAGCTCCTCATTTTCAGTGCAACACTGAAACATCCCGAGGGATCAAGCCCAAGCCACTTGCCTCCCATCTTTCTGTTTCTCATCTCCCACACACTCTTTTTTTGTTTTTTTTGAGACGGGAATCTCGCTCTGTCACCCAGGCTGGAGTGCAGTGGTGCCACCTCCATTCACCACAACCTCCACCTCCCGGGTTCAAGTGGTTCTCATGCCTCAGCCTCCTGAGTAGCTGAGATTACAGGCACCCGCCACTAATTTAAAAATTAAATATAAAAATTAGCCTGCTGGCTAATTTTTGTATTTTTAGTAGAGAGGAGGTTTCACCATGTTGACCAGGCTGGTCTCGAACGTCTGATCTCAACTGATCCGCCCGCCTCAGCCTCTGAAAGTGCTGGGATTACAGGCGTGAGCCACCACGCCCAGACTCCCATACTTTGTAAGCACCGACATTTATCTTTACAACTCTCCGTAGTTTTCTTTCTTCCATTCCTATTTTTCATTTTCTTTTCTGCGGGGAAAAGGGAGTGGCTTTTTCTTTATCACTGCTGTCATGCCTGGTGAGACTGTCTGTATTTTGGTCCTTTCCTTTGGCTGCCCCAGGAATCATCATCAATTATGCCAACATCTGTGACTTGCCACCTTCAAAGTGGGCTCTGAATCCAAAGACAAAAGATGGCCCTCTGGGCCAGACGTGGTGGCTCACACCTGTAATCCCAGCACTTTGGGAGGCTGAAGCAGAAGAATTGCTTGAGCGCAGAAGTTTGAGGCTGCAGTGAGCCATAATCACACCACTGCACTCCAGTCCAGGCGACAGAGCAAGACCATATCTCTAAAAAATAATAATAATAAAAACTTAAAAAAAAAAAGTAGGAAAAAAAAGGCCTCTCGTGTGATTGTGCATGTTTTGGCCAGCCTTTTCTATACGTCAGACGTGGGGTCCGTGGCCTTGTTGGGGTGAAGGACTTTTATTTCCACCTGTTGACAGGACAGCAGGAGGACTGCCTGCCCTTCCTGGTCTGACGGTTGCTGTGTTGTTCTCAAGAGCCTTCCTCCAGCAGCAGGGAGGGGAGGACTGGCTGTCTCAGAATCTTTTAAAAGCCCTGCTGTCTGAGGACCTGCATCACCCAGGATTCCGTTTCATTTCTCCAGCCACAATCCCTGCCAGTGTTCTCTGCACTCTGGATGAGAGACCTTAGGAAAGCAAATCAGATCGTATCACTTCCCTTCTGAAAATTCCAAAAGCTCCCCCCGCCCCCGCCGCACCGGCCTCTCTTTATTGGCCCCCTGCACAGCCTCCAGCTCCTCGTACTGACCTCTTTGCAGTTCTCCAAACCGGCCAGGCTCGTGCTTTGCAGAGGCCTTTGCACAGGTGCACACACCCGCTGGGCCTGGAAGACCTTTCCCTTCCCGCTTCACGAAGGCCAGGTGGCCTCCCTGGGCTGAGCCCCTGTCTCAGCATGTGGCGCACTGTGTTGAAATGCTCCAGGACTTGAGTGCGTCTATCACTGGGATACACCTCCCAATGGCAGAGGCAGTCTCGTCACCAAATACTGTGGGTGCCGCTCTCTATATAACTGCTCGGTCAATGTTTGCCCAGTGGTTGAATGAATGGATGCGAGAAGCTGCTTAGTTCCCTTCTCTCCCTGGGGCTCCAGTCCTGCCACGGAGGGAGCATTAGGAACAAGCACTCACAACTGTTCTTTGACAGGTCTTTGTGACTGATTAAGCAGGTCCTTTATCTCTAATGTGCATTTCCTTATCGCTGTTCTACATCTCCTGGCCTCCTCTTTAAACCAAAAGCTCCATCCAGAGCCTCCAAATGGATGACTATTCAGCAGGACCGCAAGAGGAGCGCTGTTGAGGGGAAAGAGTAGTGGGGGGGATGGCGCTGAGACAGAGGGAGGAAGGGCAGAGGAACCCAACTTCTCAGCTGCCTCTTTTGTGCTCTGTCCTTTCCCTTCTAACTCCCTCCCCACTCTGTGCACCACCTATTACTGTCCCTATTGTAGAAGATGTGGAAACGCGGGCCTCACGGGTTCAATAGCCAACAGACACTCAGTTCCGCAGCCATCAAGAGGAAGACCAGGTAAAAACAACAGCCACAGCTGAGCTCCACAGATGACCTGGTGTAAGCCTCAGTCGCCTTATGAGGTGGGCAAGCACTTTCCCCCCATTCAACAGATGAAAAACCTGACTTCAGAGAAGCTAATACCCTGGATCCAGGTTCCAGCAAGTGGCTGAGCCAGGCCCATGACACTAAACCTGTCCTTCGCTTACAGCCTCCTAGGGGAGGAGAGAGAAAACAGAAGCGGGAAAAGGCCAATTGAGAGGGAGAAAGTTCTGGAGCAGGACTGCAAGGCGACCTTGGCTTCCTGGCCCCTGATGGCTGTATTTGCAGGTGCATCACACACCCTTCTCAGCCTCTGCTCCCTGCACTGAACATGCTGGAACTCCAACCACACCTCACCTGCCACCTTCCTACCAGACACTTCTATTTGCCCTTCTCCCACTTTTGCCCAGGGGCCAGTTTCAGCTGCTCACTTTCCAAAGGATCACTTGAGCAGCACCTCCATCTACACAGACTGCAGAAGGCCCAACTGAATGCAGGCTGGATGCAGCCTGGGCTGCACCTTAGAATCACCTGGGAAACTTTTACAAGCCACAGGTGTCTAGGCCCCGCCCCAGGCCCATTAAGTCACATTCCTTGGACTTGGGCTCTGGTATATTTAGGGGTGCAGGGGAGTGGTCTGGTATATTTTAAAAGCTTCCCTAGTGATTATTCTGCACAGAGGACTCAAAGCCACCCCATTTCCGGAGACAGGTTCACATGAAAAAGTTGAATAGCAACATTCGGCATCATCTACACACATTAAGATTCAGATTCCTCGAGAGTCACACCTGGGCGCTGGCGACTCCCTCCTGAAGGCCACCCCGAGGGAGTCCAGGAGAAAGAGGAAGGAGACTCCAGAGGAGGAGAGGATGGGAAGGATGGAGAGCAGCCCCTCCCACCTCTTCCCAGTGGCTCCACCCCTCTTCCTCAAAGAGCATGGGTGTTCCCTGCCCGCCTCCAAGAAGCTCCTGCTTTCACCACCGCGAGAAATCCCTCCGTCTAGCGCATCCAACTGGGAACTGCACTCCGGAGGACAATGCTTGGCTCCCCTTGGCACGGGTATTGTGCCTGTACCCCTGGGCCGGCCTTGATGCACAGTGAACCTCTGTCTTGGGAGACCCACGCTCTCTTTCCTCCCCTCTCCTTGTGATGATGAAAGTGTGCCTTCAGGCCAATGGTGGCTCGAGCCTGTAATCCCAGCACTTTGAGAGGTAGAGGCAAGAGGATCGCTTGAGCCCCGGAGTCCAAGACCAGCGCGGCCAACATAGCGAGACCCCATCTCTACAAAAAAATTAAAAGTGTGCCTTTACCTCCTCCCATGTGAAGAGCAGGTAAGGGGTAGACTTTTGGCCCCGTTTTATAGAGAGAAACTGAGGCTCACAAGGAAAAACAATCTGTGGACAGGGATACACCAGGAAGTTCCAAGCTGAGGGTAAATTACCCTAGAGATCTGCAAAAGTTCAACTGATGGCTGCCATGGAGGAAGTGGGTCCAGATGGGGAACAGGGCCATCTCCGCCTTCAAAACAACCCCAAACAGGGCTTGGAATAAGATCGACCATAGGCCAGGCTCGGTGGCTCACACCTGTAATCCTAGCACTTTGGAAGTCCGAGGCAGGCAAATCACAAGGTCAGGAGTTCGAGACCAGCTTGGCCAACATGGTGAAACCCTGTCTCTAAAAAAAAAAAAAAAAAAAAAAAATCGACCAAAGACCCCCCCTGATATTTCCCCAGCTTCTTGGCCAAGCAGGGGATGAGGTCAGGGTCTGTCTCTGTGGGACGAAGATTAAGGACTGGGGTCTGTGCATGCCTGTGCGTATGGCCCTTGCCACCCCCATTCAACCAAGAACATCAATTTGCATCTGAAACTGTTCTATAGGTATGCCAGAGCAGCCTCCTAGGCGGCATCTCTTCACCCCCAGCGCAAATGGTGAGATTTGGGTGACTCCATCCCCCAAACACAGAACCTGGCGAGGTCTGTGTTAAAATGTAAATTCAGGAGTCATAAATATTTTTAAAGTTGTAATACAAGAAACAGATTGTCCGGGGGCCAAAAGGATGACCTTTTACATGCAAATGAAAATAATGGATCTTTAAACGCAGTTATTGTCAGGATGATGAGCTGACTAAGACTGGAGGAAAAGAGGCCTCCTGGGTGGGCGCCAGCGTGGGATAAAGAAAAGACAACCAGAGCAGAGATGAAAAAGACCGAAAGGGGATGCAAGCACCCAGGAGAGTGGACTGAGAAGTTCTAGGGGCAAGCCGGCGTGCAGAAAGAGGACCAGATTCCTGGGGTCAGTAACTAAGGATGACAATGGAGGACCCCAAGGGGCCCTCTGGGACAAAAATAGGACTGGGATGCACTATCTCAGAAACTGGATGCAGGAGCTCAAGGAAAACACCTTAGCACCGGGGTTTCCATGTCCCCAGCACTTCTCACGCTCAGTGTTTTAACTCTCATTTCCAGACAATGTAATAACATAGCGGGTACTGGGGGTGTGGTCCCTGTCCTCATGACGTTTACAAACAGAACATGAATAAATGATGGATTAAATAAATTACATGGAAATACATTTAGGATATGGAAGGAAAGGAACAACACAGGAGGGAGACCCAACCCAGGGCAGGGGGTGCAGGATTGTTTCCCACCAGAAATGACATTCACAAAGGATGGATAGGAGTTGGCCAGCAGGAGAAGCAGACTTTCAGGCCCAGGGAGAAAGTGTGTTCAAAGGTCCTGAGGTGAAAAGCTTAAGAAACTGAAAGAGGGATGGGGGGATAGCAAAGAAAAGTGGTGTGCTGGGCATGGTAGCTCACACCTACAACCCCAGCACTTTGGGAGGCCCAGGCAGGAGGATCACGTGAGGACTGGAGTTTAAGACCAGGCTGGGCACCACAGGGAGACCACATCTCTACAAACAAATTAAAAAATTAGCCAGGCATGGTGGCACGCATCTATAGTCCCAGGTACTCCCAGCTACTCAGGAGGCTGAGGTGGGAGGATCCCTTGAGCCCAGGAGTTCAAGGCTGTGGGGAGCCATGATCGCACACTGCACTACAGCCTGGGTGACAGAGTGAGACCCCATCTCAAAAAAAAAAAAAAAAAAGGAAAGTGAGTAAAGAATATGCGATGCCAAGTGAGAAGTGACAGCTCATATTAACCCCCATCTGGAAGCTCTGCTCCATCTGATGCAGAGAGAATAGAAAGAAATCCGTCCCAGTGGATTGAAACAGCTCCTTTTTTTTTTTTTTTTTGAGAGGGAGTTTCACTCATTGCCCAGGCTGGAGTGCGATGGCGTGATCTTAGCTCACCGCAACCTCCGCCTCCCAGCTTTAAGCGATTCTCCTGCCTCAGCCTCCTAAGTAGCTGGGATTACAGGCATGCTCCACCACATCCAGCTAATTTTGTATTTTTAGTAGAGACGGGGTTTCTCCATGTTGGTCAGGCTGGTCTCAAACTCCCGACCTCAGGCGATCCGCCCCCCTTTGGCCTCCCAAAGTGCTGGAATTTCAGGTGTGAGCCACCACGCCCGGCCAGAAATAGCTCTTAAATCTATTTTATTGTTTATTAAAGCCATGGTTTGTGCTTTCCTGGTCTTCCCAGAGTTCTAGGCCCTGCCTTGGCTTCTCAGTTTGCTTCTCCCCAGCCCCTGAACCCAGCCTGGGGGACAGCCCTGGTTCTCTGGATGGATGGATGTCTGTCTGCTGATGAATGTGCAGTCACTGCCCACTGTGAGTTTTTTGCAGTGGTGATAGAAGGCTTGGAGGGGTGGGTACTTATCCCCAGTCAGTCATCAGAGAGCCCTTCAGGAGACGTCACTCATTTCTGTCTCATAATGAAACTGAAAGTTGAGACCTCTACGGAATAAAATAGGAAGGACAGAAAACTTCTGGTCCTGGGGCTGAGGTTGGGTGGTGGGGAGGGGGCAGGAAATTGGCTGCAGCCAAGACCCTTATTGTGCATGCCTTGAGAGGCCAAGCCCTGCAGTCAGCTGAGCTTGCTATTTTAGGTGAGGAGATCAGCCTTCAGAATCAGCTTATGAATCTTCAGACACCTGACGACAACCCAGAAAACAGGAGAGGAGGAGGGACTGGCCAGGGAGCCGGAGGCCTCCAAAGGGCCAAAGGAAAGGGCCCTTGTGGGCAAGAGCATAAACACCACCCAGAAGATGAGCGGGGATGACAGTTCAGGCCCCGCAAGAGGAATGTCCTCTGGTCAGAGTGTCAAGGCCGGTGGGTGCAGGGGCTTGGGGCCGAGTGGCAGCTTGCCCATCTGGTGGCTGCACCTGACAGGCACCGTTCACATGGACTGGGTTGGTGTGCACTGGGGCTGACCAGTGTCCTACAGAAAAGCTGAGAATGCTTTGGCAGCACTGAGACAACATTTAGGTTCGGCAATGACACAGATTCACAGATTTAAGCAAAAGCCTCCATTTTGTGGGCCATCAAACTGCCCATGGACAAGTTGTGTACCCACAAGAGACTGTTACCACCCCAACTTGCCTCTAGCCTTAGAGATGTTAGAGTAAAAAACAAAAATCAGTGGTCACATGTAAGCAATGTGTGTGTATGAAGTTAGCACAGGTGGCTACAGAGTGTATGGCAGAATATCAGGAATAGACCAATAGTCTGTGAATAAGAGGCCGGTTAAGTAAATTACGGTACCCATGTACCGAGTCCTATGTTTTATAAAGATAGATGAAGAACTTTTTCTATGCACTATAAAAAAACCTTCGCCGGGCACGGTGGCTCACACCTGTAATCCCAGCACTTTGGGAGGCCAAGGCGGGTGGATCACGAGGTCAGGAGTTCGAGACCAGCCTGGCCAACAGTGAAACCTCGTCTCTACTAAAAATATAAAAATTAGCCGGGCATGGTGACAGGCGCCTGTAGTCCCAGCTACTACTGGGGAGGCTGAGGCAAGAGAATTGCTTGAACCCAGGAGGCAGAGATTGCAGTGAGCTGAAATTGTGCCCCTGCACTCCAGCCTGGGCCACAGAGCAAGACTCTGTCTCCAAAAAAAAAAAAAAAAAAAAAAAGGCGGCCGGGCGCGGTGGCTCGTGCCTGTAATCCCAGCACTTTGGGAGGCCGAGGCGGGTGGATCACCTGAGGTCTGGAGTGCGAGACCAGCCTGAGCAACATGGTAAAACCCCATCTCTACTAAAAATACAAAAAAATAGCCAGGCGTGGTGGCAGACGCCTGTAACCCCAGCTACTTGGGAGGCTGAGGCAGGAGAATCACTTGAACCCTGGGGGGGCGGAGGTTACGGTGAGCCGAGATTGCGCCATTGCACTCCAGCCTGGGCAACAAGAGTGAAACTCCATCTCAAAAAAAAAAAAAAAAAAATAGTAGACACCGGGTTTCACCATGTTGGCCAGGCTGGTCTCCAACCCCTGACTTCAGGTAATCCACTCGCCTCAGCCTCCCAAAGTGCTGAATTACAGGTGTAAGCCACCGCGCCTGGCCTTAATTTTATTTATTCATTTATGTATTGTTTTTGTAGAGGTGGGATTTCACCATGTTACTGGTCTCGAACTCCTGGGCTCAAGCGATCCGCCTGCCTCTGCCTCCCAAACTGCTGGGATTACAGGCATGAGCCACCGCATCTAGGCTATTCATGGCTATGTTTTCAAAAAAGAAACTCTGGAAGGATACACAAGAGACTAATACAAGTGGCAAGCTGTTCAGATGGGTGAAGAATCAGGCAGAAAGGACAGGGAGTTGGAATAAGACTTCACTGTCATCACTTAGATGGTATTCTCATTTTTTTTTCAACCGTGTTACCTATTTGTGACAGGCAGAATATCTTCCTAAAGATCTCCGTGCCCTAATCCTGAAAATATGTTGTATTATATACAGCACAGAGAACTTTGTAGATCTAATTAAGGTCATGGACCTTTAAATGAGGAGATTAGCCGGAATTATCCAGGTGAACCCAATCTAATCCCATGATCCCTTAAAAGCACAGAGCTGTATATGGCTGGAGCCTGAGAGATTCAACATAAAAAGCCAGAGATTTGAAGGGTGGGAGGGACTCACGGCTGACAGAAAGCATGTCAGGGAGAGCAGGCACCCTCCAGGAGCAGAGACTTTTCCCCAGCTGACAGCCAGCAAGGAAAGAGGGGTCCCAGTCCCACAACCTCCAGGAGCTGACGTTAGCCCACAACCTGCATGAGTGTAGGAGAAGACTCCTCCAGAGCCTCCGGTCAGGAATGCAGCCCTGCCAGCACCTTGATCTCAGCCTGCAAGATCTTAAACAGAGAACTCAGCTGAGCCTCCCTGGACTTCTTATTTTTTAATTTAGAGACAGGGCCTTGCTCTGCCCCACCAGGCTGGAGTGCAATGGTGCAAACATTCATAGCTCACTGGAGCCTGGACCTCTCAGGCTGAAGGGATCCCCTCACCTCAGTCTCCCTCCTGAGCAGCTGGGACCACAGGCACGTGCCACCATGCCTGGCTAATTTTTGAAAAAATTTTTTGTAGAAATGAGGTCTCGCTATGTTGCCTAGGCTGATCTTGAACTCCTGGGCTCAAGCGATCCTCCTGCCTTGGCCTCCCAAAGTGCTGGGATTGCCGGCATGAGCCACTGCACCTGCTTTATTGTGATTTATTCTCTACAGTATTTTGTTAGAGTTTGGCTGGGTGTGGTGGCTAACACCTCTAATCCCAGCACTTTGGGAGGCGGGAGGATCACTTGAGCCCAGGAGGTCAACGCTACAGTGAGCTATGATTGTGCCACTGCACTCCAGCCTGGGCAACAGAGCAAGCCCTTGTCTCAAAGAAAGAATAAATCACACTGGATTAAAAAAAAATTTTCAAACATGAGTCAAGAAGCAGCCTGTGAAATATCAGGCTCAGCCCCAACTACATTTCAGGGCTAACTAGGCCCAGAGACCCACTGTTGGTGCTATTTCGTCAGCTCTTATCCAGGACCCTGATCCAGGCTCTCCTCAACATTCGCAAGAGAGTGTTTGAGAAAGAATGGTTAAAAGCAAGTGTTCAGTCGCACACACTCAGAGAGATGGCACAGTTTGTAATCCTAGCTCTGTGGGTCTCAGAGTATGGCCCCTGGCCAGACTCAGCAGCCTCACCTTCCCAGACCTCCCGACTCAGAAACTCCAGGGCGGGGACTCAGGAATCTGCTTTAACCACCCCTCCAGTGATCCTCGTGCATGGTCAAGTTTGAGAAGCATTGTATATCCTAGCTGAATCTTTCTTTAGGATGGATATCTTCCTTGAGGATGGATAATGCCATCTTTCTAGGATGAGTGATGGAGCTGCAGAGGCATTTCAGAAGGTCGGTCACTAGGTTTCAAGGGCTTAAGGTGACACAGAAACTGCAGTGTTGTAGAAGCAAACCAAGGACAACAGTGCACCCAGCTAGGTTAGATCAAAGTGGCGGGTAGCGAAGGGGAGTGGCAGCCTCCCTTTCACAGAAGGTTTGCTATCACACCCCACCCGCAGACAAAGCCCCCTGGGTATCACACTGAGGGGCCATGCACGGAAGGTGGGCACCATGCAATGAGGCAATCCACACCAGCCTCAAAGGTGCTACTCTCTGCTAGTCAAAGTCTACCTAGAAGACACTTCCAGACAAAGGCCAGCCTCAGTAACCAAGACGTGCCTGCAATGATTAACTGAACAGTTTTTTAAAACCTGGAAGGTGTTTGTGTGCTCAGATCACATCCTACGTGGTTGGGCAAAAGCTGGCAAAGTGTGACACATAGCTGACACTGGAAAACGGGAATCCAGGTGAAAAACAGTTTTCTAGGTGCAGGTAGGAGAAAGGGGGCAAACAAAATCTGACAGATACACGAGAGAGAACTCCAGGGTGTTGGCCAGGCGCAGTGGCTCACGCCTGTAATCCCAGCACTTTGGGAGGCTGAGGCGGGCAAATCATGAGGTCAGGAATTTGAGACCAGCCTGGCCTACATGGTGAAACTCTGTCTCTACTAAAAATACAAAAAAATTAGCTGGACATGGTGGCGGGCGCCTGTAATCCCAGCTACTTCAGAGGCTGAGGCAGGAGTATCGCTTGAACCTGGGAGGTGGAGGTTGCAGTGAACTGAGATCATGCCACCACACTCCAGCCCGGGCAACAGAGTGAGACTCTGTCTCAAAAGAAAAAAAAAAAAGAACTCCAGGGCATAAACTGCATGGGAGTCCCCTACCCTCTGCCCCTTGGGCCCAGGTCTCTCAATTCCATACACTCAGAGTTGGATCTCTTAAACAAACAGGCAATTGCCCAGATGGCCCGACCAGGCCTCCACTCATTGGTTTCTTTCTGGTCCTCTGACTGTTGTGCCTCGCCTGTCTTTCTCCCAGACGTTGTTGGAATTCCCACCTCCACATGCCCACCCCTAGATCCAGCTTCCTGGCTGGTGCCTGGGAGCGTGGCTTCTGCCCGCCCACTGGCCTGGCCTCAGAGGTCTGCCCTACCCTGACGCTAGCAACTGCTCAGACTAGGCAGCCCGTGGATGGAACTGCCTGATGCTGTCCTCCCATGCAAAGAGAATGGAGCCCTGGAAGAAGGCTCTCTGGAGTCACCCCAACAAAACACCATGTGAGCCTTGCACTTCCTTGCAGTGTGGCAGGGCACATCTCACATGGGTGCTTGCAGGGATGTGGAGGTGGGAATGTGAGAGGGTGGGGAGGGGTGTGGAGTGGCCAGGATCCAGGGGAGAATGCCCCACGGAGACAGAGACCCTTGGCTTGGTATGAAGGGAGCACAAGAAGGAGTAAATCCAGGACACGGCTAGACTGTGGCACCCCTGTGGGAGTGCCCGCACTTAGGGACACATGACCTTGGGGGAATTCTGGACAGCTTAGAGGCTTACTCCATGACAGAAGATACTTCCCTTCTGGAGACCTCAACTTCTCTCTGTGTTAGTTGGCTGAGGCTGCCATCACACAATATCACAATCTTGGTGACTCAAAAAACAGAAACTTATTTCCTCACAGTTCCCTGGGCTGGAAGTCCAAGATCAAAGTGTTGACAAGCTTGGTTTCTTCTGAGGCCTCAGTGTGCCAACAAGGACCCTTGCTGTCTCTTCCCACTCCGAATTTCCTGTTCCTATAAGGACGCCAGTCAGATTAGATTAGGCCCACCCTAAGGGCCTCCTTTTAATTTAATCACCTCTTTAAAGGTCCTATCTCCAAGTACAGTCACCTTTTGAGGTACTGAGCATTAAGGCTTCAACACACGAGTTTTGGGCCAGGAGTGGTGGCTCACAACTATAACCCCAACACATTGGGAGGCTGAGATGGGAGGATCCCTTGAGCCCAGGAGGTCGAGGCTCAGTGAGCTATGATCGTGTCACTGCACTCCAGCCTGGGCAACAGAGCAAGACTCTGTCTCAAAACAAAACAAAACAAAACAAAACAAACCCATGAATTTTGGGGGAGACACCACTCAGCCAGCAACACTGTAAGTATGGAATACTAATACCAACCTATTTCACTAGTTGAGGGAAGTGATTTCAGAAGAGGGGGCTGAGATTTGTCATAATCAGCAGACCAAGTTTAGATGTAAGTACCTCCTGCAAAATTTCAGAAAGATCTGTCTTGTCCTTTGTCAACAGAAAAAATCACTCCTTCATGCAAGCATTTATTGAGTGCCTCTCTGTGCCAAGTTGGCTCACTGCAATGCAGATATTATCTGATCTAATCAAGGGGTATTTATTGAGTGGCGTTGGAGGTTAAAGGAGTATCAAACAAACTTGATCCCAGTCCTGAAGGAGCTTGTAATTCTTGCTGGAAAGGCAAGACCAACTCATAGGAAACAACAGGAACAGCAGCAGGTGATATACAACTGAGTTCTAAATTGTGTGGTGCAGACTTCAATTGCTGCTGGAATTGGGAATGAGGAAGATCAATGAGGGAGCGGGTCAGCACCAGCTAAATCACTTAGACTGAGGCATTCATCAGCCTGAGCCATTGTTCACGCTGCAGACTTTCTGTTCAAAATGGTAAAAGCCAGTCCGAGGCTGGGCACGGTGGCTCACGCCTGTAATCCCAACATTTTGGGAGGCCGAGGCGGGCGGATCACATGAGGTTGGGAGTTCGAGACCAGCCTGACCAACATGGAGAAACCCTGTCTCTACTAAAAATACAAAATTAGCCGGGCGTGGTGACGCGTGCCTGTAATCCCAGCTACTCAGGAAGGCTGAGGAAGGAAAATCTCTTGAACCCAGGAGGCAGAGGTTGCAATGAGCTGAGATCACGCCATTGCACTCTAGCATGGTCAACAAGAGCTAAACTCCGTCTCAAAAAAAAAAAAAAAAAAAAGCCAGTCCAAAAGCCTCAGTCACAGGGATGACTCAGGACCTTGAGTTTCATTTCATGTTTCTAATGTCATGAGACAACCGTGGGCCTCGCCCTGCTCAGCAGAGTCCTACCCCCCACTTTCTCCACACAGCTTCCCCTACTCAGGGTACATGAAAAAGGGGTTCCCCACCACAACTCTATGGCCACACCCCAGGGGGCAAGTTCAACCAACAGGCCAGGCGAATGAGCCCCATCTGTGCCCCATTCCCACCTGATCGGACCCCACAGCCCTTTGGGAGCACTCAGATACTGGTGAGAATGCCCCTGTTTGCTTGGGGGGCCCGTGGCTACTTATTGACGGCACAGGGCATCTGTTGAGAAGATGCAGGCAGGGGAGGGAAGGAGAGAAAGACAAGAGGAGCCTATGCAATTGGCGAGAGACACAGAGGACAGAGAACATGGGGAACTGAGGACTAGAACGGATTTCTGGCCTGACCCGTTCTGGGGGACTCCTTTTAGACCAGGGGTCTGTGTTGGCCCGTGAGTGCAGCTGGGCTCTCTCCACCTCTTTTCAGCCTCCTCTGCCACTCTGAAAGGCCCCAGGTTTTATTCCCGGTTCACATTGCCGCACCCATAACCCAGGGAATGTGGCAGCCCCTGCTGGGGTTTCACAGGCGTGCAGAGGGTGCCTCTGGGTAGGGCTTCATTCCTCTATGGGCAGGAGTCCCTGGGCACTGACCACGCCCTAGTGACAGCCAGAGTGCCTTCATTCCAAGTGCTATATTAGCAGTATCTTAAAAACCTGTCTGAGCCGGGCGCGGTGGCTCACACCTGTAATCCCAGCACTTTGGGAGGCTGAGGTGGGCGGATCACGAGGTCAGGAGATCGAGACCATCCTGGCTAACACGGTGAAACCCCATCTCTACTAAAAGTGCAAAAAATTAGCTGGGCGTGGTGGCAGGCGCCTGTAGTCCCAGCTACTTGGGAGGCTGAGGCAGGAGAATGGCGTGAACCCGGGAGGCGGAGCTTGCAGTGAGCCGAGATCGCGCCACTTCACTCCAGCCTGGGCAACAGAGCAAGACTCCGTCTCAACAAAAAAAAAAACCTGTCTGAAACAAGTACGTGAGAATTCACTTCTTCTTCTTTTTTTTTTTTTTGAGATGGAGTTTCGCTCTTGTTGCCCAGGCTGGAGTGCAATGGCACGATCTCAGCTCAACACAACCTCTGACACCCAGGTTCAAGTGATTCTCCTGCCTCAGCCTCCTGACTAGCTGGGATTATAGGTATGCATCACCATGCTGGGCTAATTTTGTACTTTTAGTAGAGACGGGGTTTCTCCATGTTAGTCAGGCTGTTCTTGAACTCCCACCTTCAGATGATCCACCCGCCTTGGCCTCCCAAAGTGCTGGGATTACAGGCGTGGCTACCTCGCCCAGCCGAGAATTCACTTTTGCTGAGAAAGTAATGGAGGTCCCACGGCCATTTTAGGAGCAACATTTGTTGGGGTGGAGTGGAGATCGGTAGTGCAAAATTGACCCTCCTAGATTACCCAAGAAAAATGAGCCCAAATCTGAACTTCTGAAGACACAACTTGAATTCACCACCTTTTTAAAATCTTTTTTTTTTTTGAGACAGAGTCTAGCTCTGTCGCCCAGACTGGAGTGCAGTGGCGCGACCTCGGCTCACTGCAAGCTCCACCTCATTTAGTTCAGGTACTAAACGGGTCACTGGGCTTAGTGGCAAGAGTTCCTAATGAGAAATACTACTTGAGGACTTACATTGTGCCAGATGCTTTACATGTGTGGCATCATTTAATCTTCCAGATATTATAACCATTGTCATTGTAGAGATGAGAAAACTGAGTCCTGAAAAGCTGACTAGTCTGGGGACATCACTTGTTCAAGGTCACATGGCTAGTCGTTGAGGAAAGCAGAATTGAACTCAGGTGACTCCATGGCCCATGTATGAACCACTGGGCCACACTCCCTCACTTATAAGCTGATGTTGTCAGTTCTCACTATCAGCAGGGTTGGTGCCTCTACAAAACCACAATCAGGAAGGGAGAAAGGCCTTAGGAATAATATTCTAGGCCTTCGACTACAAACTACAGCCTGCAGGACAAATTTTTTTCAACTTTATTGAGGCATTTTTTTTTTTTTTTGAGATGGAGTCTCGCTCTGTCGCCCAGGCTGGAGTGCAGTGGCGCGATCTTGGCTCACTGCAACCTCCGCCTCCCAGGTTCAAGCAATTCTCCTGCCTCAGCCTCCCGAGTAGCTGGGACTACAGGCACGCACCACCACACCCGGCTAATTTTTGTATTTTTAGTAGAGATGGGGTTTCACCATTTTGGTCAGGCTGGTCTCGAACTCCTGACCTTGTGATCCGCCTGCCTCGGCCTCCCAAAGTGCTGGGATTATAGGCATGAGCCACCGCGCCTGGCTGAGGCATATTTTATATATATAATTCATCCCTTTCAAGTGTACAATTCAATAATTTTAGTCAATTTACCAAACTGCACAGCCATTACCTTAATACATTTTAGAACATTACCAGTAAGACCATACTTTCAGGGATATCACTTCTAGAGTTTATTATAGAACACTGTCAGTATCCCAAAAGGATCCCTCATGCACACCTACCTGGAGGTCAAAATAGAACCTTCAGATGTTGTGCTTGGTCCACCATATTTAGAATATTCTTTTGATGGCTGGGAGGAGTGGCTCAAATCTGTAATCCCAGCACTTTGGGAGGCCGAAGCAGGCGGATCACATGAGGTCGGGAGTTCGAGACCAGCCTGACCAACGTGGTGAAACCCCATCTCTACTAAAAATACAAAAATTAGCCAGGTGTGGTGGCACATGTCTGTAATCCCAGCTACTCTGGAGGCTGAGGCAGGAGAATCACTTGAACCCGGGAGGCTGAGATTACAGTGAGCCGAGATCACGCCACTGCACTCCAGCCTGGGTGACACAGCAAAACCCCGTCTCAAAATAAAATAAAATATTATTTTGAATTTTTTGCTAGCTTTAAAAAAAGGAGACAACATCACATAGTATTAAAATTTTTAAATTCTCCTAGAAAAAAAAATCAGAATATTGGGCAAAAGGGGACTCTTCTTCATACAAGGCAAAACCAGTAGCTGCCCCCTTTAGACAGAGCTGGTGCTCTCGGGTCCACTCCATAAAATCAGTAAGAGGGTGCAAGTGGGGTCCCCAGAACCATGGCCTTCTAGCCTCCAGCCCAGACCCTTGGTTCCACAGCTCTTGGCAGATGGCAGAGCAGTCACGGCACTTTGTTATTAGAAAAAGCAAGTGCTGCCGGGTGCCGTGGCTCACGCCTGTAATCCCACCACTTTGGGAGGCCGAGGCGGGTGGATCACAAGGTCAGGAGATCAAGACCATCTTGGCTAACACGGTGAAACCCCGTCTCTACTAAAAATACAGAAAAATTAGCCGGGAGTGGTGGCAGGTGCCTGTAGTCCCAGCTACTTGGGAGGCTAAGGAAGAAGAATGGCGTGAACCCTGGAGGCGGAGCTTATAGTGAGCCGAGATGGCGCCACTGCACTCCGGCCTGGGTGACAGAGCTAGACTCTGTCTCAAAAAAAAAAAAAAAGAAAAAGAAAAGAAAAAAAAGAAAAAGAAAAAGCAAAAGCAAGTGCTAGGCCAGGCACAGTGGCTCACGCCTATAATCCTAGCACATTGGGAGGCTGAGGCGGGCGGATCATCTGAAGTCAGAAGTTCGAGACCAGCCTGACCAATATGGTGAAACCCCGTCTCCACTAAAAATACAAAAGTTAGCCAGGCATGGCGGCGTGCACCTGTAGTCCCAGCTACTCAGGAGGCTGAGACAGGAGAATTGCTTGAACCCGGGCGGCAGAGGTTGCGGTGAGCCGAGATCCCGCCATTGCACTCCAGCATGGACGACAGAGGGAGACTCCGTCTAAAAAAAAAAAAGCAAGTGCTTCATCCTCACCAAAAAGGAGCTATTCTTTTTACTTGGGCAACCTTCTCTGAAAGCAAAGTCACCTGTCTTGTAATGAAGCTTCGCAATTAGGGTTTACACACGATGTGGCAAAGGAACGCTCACAGTTTGCTGTCTCTTTGGCATCAACTTCTCCCTGCACATAAAGCGGGCATTTCTCGAGCCTGGCTTTTTGGCTTTCCTTTGCTAGGCTCCATGTAGACACACTGCCCTTTGGGGAGCTGTTGACAGGGTTGATTAGAGAATGACTATCTTCGGTTACTATGGGAGACACTGCTGGTTGTCCACCCAGTTCCTCCTTTGTTCCTTACTATTTTGTTCACAGTGGCAATATTTTCAGGGAAGGTGAACCCAGCCCTAAGGAGTGAACTATGATTGGATAGCTCACTCTGCGGATTCCAGGTTTCCTTGTGATTGGATAGAACGCTGCGGATTCCAGGCTTCGTTGTGATTGGATAGAACTTAGCGGATTCCAGGCTTCCTTGTGATTGGCTAGAACTCTGCGGATTCCAGGCTTCCTTGTGATTGGATAGCTCACTCTGTGGATTCCAGGCTTCCTTGACAGTAACTGGCTTAGGAGTAGGCATATGACCCATTCTACTCAAAGAGGCATAAGCGGACACTGACGTTTGCTGGCAGGGGATGAGGAGCTTGGAAAAGATCCTCCTCCCGTTTTGCCATCTTTGTTTCTTGCCACAATAGGATGTAACCATTGGCGCTGCAGCAGCCACCCTGCGACCATGAATGGAGAGCCAAGAGAATGGCAGAGGGTAAAACACAGCTTTCCCATTGTTTTGTTTTCTTTTGTTTTGTTTTGTTTTTTGTTTTGTGACAGTCTCAAACCGTGAGACGAATAAAACCTCTTTTTTTTTTTTTTTTTTTTTTTTTTTTGAGATGGGGTCTCGCTCTGTCACCCAGGCTGGAGTGCAGTGGCATGGTCTCGGCTCACTGCAAGCTCTGCCTCCCGGGTTCACGCCATTCTCCTGCCTCAGCCTCCCGGGTAGCTGGGACTACAGGCGCCCGCCACCACGCCCGGCTAATTTTTGTATTTTTAGTAGAGACGAGGTTTCACCATGTTAGGCAGGATGGTCTCGATCTCTTGACCTCGTGATCTGCCCACCCCGGCCTCCCAAAGTGCTGGGATTACAGGCGTGAGCCACCGCGCCCAGCCAGAACCTCTTTTCTTTATAAATTACCCAGGTATTCCACTATAGCAGTGCAAACACATTGCTCGCCACTAACACAACCCTGTGCCTTTCTTTTTCCTTTTGAGACGGAGTCTTGCTCTGTCACCCAGGCTGGAGTGCAGTGGCACAATCTCGGCTCACTGCAACTTCTGCCTCCCGAGTTCAAGTAATTCTCATGCCTCAGCCTCCCAAGTAGCCGGGACTACAGTTGTGTGCCACCAGGACTGGCTAATTTTTGTATTTTTAGTAGAGACAGGGTTTCACCATGTTGCTCAGGCTGGTCTTGAACTCCTGACCTCAAGTGATCCGCCTGCCTCGGCCTCCCAAAGGGCTGGGATTACAAGTGTAAACCACCACACCCAGCCAAGCCTGTGCCATTTTAAAGGTAGGGAAACCAAGGCTCAGGATCTTAAGTGACTTGTCCAAGATCAAAAAGCCGAAAAATTGGCTGGATGTGGTAGCTCACCCCTATAATCCAGTACTTTGGGAGTCTGAGGTGGGAGGATCACTTGAGACCAGGAGTTCCAGACCAGCCTGGACAACATAAGGAGACTTCATCTCCATAAAAATTTTTTAAAAATTAAGCTGAACATGATGGCAAATCCCTGCAGTCCCAGCTACTAAGGAGGCTGAGGCAGGAGGATGGCTTGAGCCCAGCAGTTTGAGGCTGCAGTGATTCATGATTGCATAACTGCACTCCAGCCTGGGAAAAAGAGCAAGACCCTGTTTCTAAATAGATAAATACTGAATAAATAAAATGAAATGTTTTAAAAGCTGAAAAATTAGGCTGGGCACAGTGGCTCACGCCTGTAATCCCAGCACTTTGGGAGGCCAAGGCAAGTGGATCACTTGAGGCTAGGAGTTCAAGACCAGCCTGGCCAACATGGTGAAATCCCATCTCTACTAAAAATACAAAAATTAGCCAGGCATGGTGGCGTGTGCCTGTAGTCTCAGCTACTTGGGAGGTTGAGGCAGGAGAATCGCTTGAACCCGGGAGGTAGAGGTTGCAGTGAGCCGAGATGGCACCACTGCACTCCAGCCTGGGGGACAGTGTGAGACTCCGTCTCAAAAAATATTGAGACTCTGTCTCAATAAAAAATAAAAATATTGGCCGGGTGGCTCACGCTTGTAATCCCAGCACTTTGGGAGGCTGAGGCAAGTGGATCACCTAAGGTCAGGAGTTCAAGACCAGCCTGGCCAATATGGTGAAATCCCATCTCTATTAAAAATACAAAAATTAGCCGGGCATGGTGGTGCGTGCCTGTAGTCTCAGCTACTTGGGAGGCTGAGGCAGGAGAATCACTTGAACCTGGAAGGTAGAGGTTGCAGTGAGCCGAGATGGCACCACTGCACTCCAGCCTGGGCAACAGTGCGACACTCCGTCTCAAAAAATAAAATAAAATAAAATAAAATAAAATAAAATAAAATAAAATAAAATAAAGCTGAGGCCAAGTGTGGTGGCTCACGCCTGTAATCCCAACATTTTGTGGATTACCTGAGGTCAGGAGTTTGAGACCAGCCTGACCAACATAGCGAAACCCCATCCCTACTAAAAATACTAAAAATACAAAAAATTAGCTGGGCATGGTGGCAGATGCCTGTAATTCCAGCTACTTGGGAGGCTGAGGCAGGAGAATCGCTTGAACCCAGGAGGTGGAGGTTGCAATGAGCTGAGATCGCATCACTGCACTCCAGCCTGGGTGACAGAATGAGACTCTTTCTCAAATAAAATTAAAATAAAATAAAAATAAAATAAAATAAAATAAAATGATAAAATAAAATAAAATATAAAATAAAATAAAATAAAAAATAAATAAAATAAATAAAATAAATAAATAAAATAAAATAAAATAAATAAAATAAAATAAAATAAAATAAATAAAATAAATAAATAAAAAGCTGAAAAACTGCAGAGCTTAGTCTGTGTCCAAAGTCTGTTGTTTCCTTATGTGATGCCACATCACCGCTACTCAGTTCCAGGACAAGGAGACCAGAGCTGTTGTCAAGCTCCTGGTAGGTCCTTCAGCTGCAGCCCATGCTCTCTGGGTGACTGATTTCTGGCTGTGGGTTCTTGCCCCAGAATCTGAGCCTGAGCCGGCCTCCTGAGCATGGTGGGGAAGTGGGACTCCCTGCTTTGGTGCACATCCAGAGATTAGTTATAGGAGCTTGCCGAGGGAAGTCTCCAGGCTCCACCTACTGCCACTTCTGTCTCTCTTTTGCCTTTTCTCCACCTAGGAGTGGAAGCCTGACCCAAGCCTCCACCCTGGAAATGGCCTGCCAGTGACAGCCTCCAGTGGAACGGCAGAACCACAGGCAACATCCAGGATGTGTTCTTGCCAAAAATGTTTTATCAGCATCAAATCAAGCATCTTAGATCTAAATTTCAGTTTGCAGGAAATATGCAGATAAAGAAACAAGTTAAATAACATGGCAGGGAAATAATTAGACAAATTCACAATGTGGATCATTAAAACAGCTCTTTCTTCAAAAGTCTATAGGTGAAGGGATTGTTCTAGATTAAAATAGATTTAAGAAAAATAACAATAAAATGCAACGTGTGATCCTTGATTAGGTCCTGGCTTAAGTAAACCAGCTACAAGAGATATTTAGGGGTAAACGGGGAAACTTGAATATGGCCTTGTTATTCGATTTAATTAAATAATTATTTTGGGCCCAGCCACGCCTGTAATCCCAACACTTTGGGAGGCTGAGGAAGGTGGATCACTGGAGCCCAAGAGTTTGAGAAGAGCCTGGGCAACATGGCAAAACCCTATCTCTACAAAAAAAAAAAAATCAAAAATTAGTGGGTTGTGGTGGCGCATGCACCGGCCTGAGCAACATAGCAAGACCCGATCTCTAAAAATATAAAAATTAAAATATAGGCCAGGCATGGTGGCTCACGCTTGTAATCCCAGCACTTTGGGAGGCCAAGGCAGATGGATCAAGAGATCAGGAGTTTGAGACCAGTCTGACCAACATGGTGAAACCCTGTCTTTGCTAAAAATACAAAAATTAGCCAGGCGTGGTGGCATGCACCTGTAATCCCAGCTACTCAGGAGGCTGAGGCAGAAGAATCACTTGAACCCAGGAGGTAAAGGTTGCTGTGAGTAGAGATCGGGCCACTGCACTCCAGCTTGGGTGACAGAGCGAGATTCTGTCTCAAAAAAAAAAAAAAAAAGAAAAGAAAAGAAAAAAAGAAAAAATTAAAATATAAAAATAAAAAAATTAGCCAGGTGTGGTGGCACACACCCATAGTTCTAGGTATTTGGGAGGCTGAGGCGGAAGGATCTCTTTAACTTAGGAGTTCAAAGCTGCAGTGAGCTATGATCACACCACTGCACTCTATCCTGGGCAACAGAACAAGACTCTATCTCTAAAAAATATTTAAAAATAGGCCAGGCACGGTGGCTCACACCTGTAATCCCAGCACTTTGGGAGGCTGACGTGGGTGGATCACCTGAGGCTGGGAGTTTGAGACTGGCCTGACCAACATGGAGAAATTCCGTCTCTACTAAAAATACAAAATTAGCCAGGCATGGTGGTGTGTACCTGTGATCCCAGCTACTCGGGAGGTTGAGGCAGGAGAATCGCTTGAACCTGGGAGGCAGAGGCAAAGGTTGTGGTGAGCCTGGGCAACAAGAGTGAAACTCCGTCTCAAAAAAAAAAAAAAGAAAGAAAACAAAAATTAAAAAATAAATAAAATAAAATAAAATGGCTAATATGGTCAATTTAAAAAATAAATATTTTGGCCAGGCGCGGTGGCTAACGCCTGTAGTCCCATCACTTTGGGAAGCCGAGGCAGGCGGATCACATAAGGTCAGGAGTTCAAGACCACCCTGGCCAACCTGGTGAAACCCAGTCTCTACTAACAATTCAAAAATTAGCCGGACATGGTAGCACGCCTCTATAGTCCCAACTACTCAGGAGGCTGAGGCAGGAGAATTGCTTGAACCCGGGAGATGGAGGTTGCAGTGAGCCAAAATCCCGCCACTGCACTCCAGCCTGGATGCCAGAGCGAGACTCTTTCAAAAAATAAAATAAAATAAAATAACAGAGAGAAAGAGAGAGGCCAAATAGGCAAATATTGTAAAAAGTTTATCTTTGTTGAATCTAGGTGGTCAATTATGTGCATATTCTTTCTAACTTTCTCTATGTTTGAAATTTGCCGTAATAATAAGTTTGAAAACTAGATGGAGATGTAAAGACAGGGCCTCTCAGCTGATGGTGTTTGCCTACCTGGTTCCCTCTCTTGGTCTTCTGCCCAGATATTGGCCCCACTGCTATTCCAGCCTGGATCCCCTGAGGCTTGAATGAGTTTAGGGACTTGCTGGGCCCCTAGAATCAGACCAGGAAACACTCGATCTGGGGCTGGACAACTAAGGCAGGATTCTTAATTGGTATATTAGAGATGAAGACAAACATGTCTCCCATAAGGGCAGCCTTTGGGAGACACAGCCCCTACACAGAAAAGCGAGAGTCCCTCCTGGGCATTTCTCCCAGTGTGAAGAGGAACACAGTAAAAGGATTAGCAGCAAGGATGGACCCAGAATTTAGAGCCATTTACAAGGGTACAAAATCATTCCTGGCTACAAAGGGTAAAAATGAGAAAAGAGGGTAAAATGAGAAATGAACACGGTGGCTCACGCCTGTAATCCCAACACTTTGGAAGACCAAGGCGGGCGGATCTCTTGAGGTCAGGAGTTCAAGACCAGCCTGGCCAACATGGTGAAACCCCTGTCTCTACTAAAAATACAAAAATTAGCTGGGCGTGGTGGCACGCGCCTATAATCCCAGCTACCAGGGAGGCTGAAGCAGGAAAATCACTTGAACAAAGGAGGCAGAGGTTGCAATAAGCCGAGATTGTGCCACTGCACTCCAGCCTGGGTGACAGAGTGAGACTGTCTCAAAAAAAAAAAAAAAAAGAGAGAGAGAGAAAGAGAGATAAAAGAATAAAAGTTTAGGACGGGCGCAGTGGTTCACGCCTGTAATACTAGCACTTTGGGAGGCCAAGGCAGGCAGATCACCAGGTCAGGAGATCGAGACCATCCTGGCTAACATGGTAAAACCCCATCTTTACTAAAAATAAAAAATAAAAAAAATTAGCTGGGCGTGGTGGCGGGCGCCTGTAGTCCCAGCTACTTGGGAGGCTGAGGCAGGAGAATGGTGTGAACCTGGGAGGCAGAGCTTGCAGTGAGCTGAGATCGCGTCACTGCACTCAAGCCTGGAGAACAGAGCGAGACTCCGTCTCAAAAAAAAAAAAGAATAAAAGGTTAGCCGGGTGTGGTGGTTCACGTCTGTAATCCCAGCACTTTGGGAGCCCAACACGGGCTGATCACCTGAGGTCTGGAGTTCCAGACCAGCCTGACCAACGTGGCAAAACGCCATCTCTACTAAAAATACAAAAATTAGCCAGGCATGGTGGTGGGCGCCTGTAATCCCAATTACTTGGGAGGCTGAGGCAGGAGAATCGCTTGAACCTGGGAGTCGGAGGTTGCAGTGAGCTAAGATCGTGACATTGCACTCCAGCATGGGTAACGGAGTGAGACCCTGTTCCAAAAAAAACCAAAAAAAGTGGCAAAAATAGACTTAAAGAATTTTTTTTTTCCTTGAGATGGAGTCTCTCTCAGGCGTGATCTCGGCTCACTGCAACCTCCGCCTCCCGGGTTCACACCATTCTCCTGCCTCAGCCTCCCGAGTAGCTGGGATTACAGGTGGCCGCCACCATGCCCGGCTAATTTTTGTATTTTTTAGTAGAGACAGGGTTTCACCATATTGGCCAGGCTGATCTCGAACTCCTGACCTTGTGATCCACCCACCTCAGCCTCCCAAAGTGCTGGAATTACAGGCATGAGCCACCGTGCCCAGCCAAGAATATTTTTTGAGGATTGTAAGCTCCTTTAGGAGGAGAACCACGCCTGGCTTGCTATCTCCCCACCAGAACCCCCATCTCTATCACAGGGTCTTACACAAAACAGGTACTCCAAAAAAAAAAACTTTAAAAATTCATCAGTTCTTGATTCTCTCATCTAACCTGGTGTAAATGGCTGAAGTAGAGATGGGTGGGATCTAGGCCTTTGGACATTTGACTGCATCACAGATGCTGAGGCAAAACCCACCCGCCAGGAGACTGCTTGAATTTTCACTAGAATGCCAGTCCTAGCCTTGGAGTTATGGCTTGAGCCTAGGAGTTCAAGCCTAGCCTGGGCAACATAGGGAGACCCCGTCTCTAGAAAAAATTTAAAAAATTAATTGGGTGTAGTGGTGCATATCTGTAGTCCCAGGCAGCCAGGAGGCTTGCCTAAGCCCAGGGGTTTAAGACTGCAATGAGCTATGATTGTGCTATTGCACTCCAGCCTGGGAAAAAGAGCCAGATCCTGTCTTAAAAAAAAAAAAATGGTTAGGGCCAAGTGGGGTGGCTCACGCCTGTAATCCCAGCACTTTGGGAGGCTAAGGCAGGTGGATTGCCTGAGGTCAGGAGTTCAAGACCAGCCTGGCCAACATGGTGAAACCCCGTCTCTACCCAAAATACAAAAATTAGCCAGGCATGCTGGCGCGCGCCTGTAGTCCCAGCTACTTGGGAGGCTGAGGCAGGAGAATCGCTTGAACTCAGGAGGCGGAGGTTGCAGTGAGCTGAGCATCACGCCACTGCACTCCAGCCTGGGCAACAGAGTAAGACTGTCTCAAAAAAAAAAAAAAACAGGTTAAAACATAATAAAAATGGAGATTTTAATAGCGCCTCCCTCACTAAATAATCCCATAGGATAAAGGATGTAAAACTTCTGCCACAATGCATGATACATATATAGCAGGCACTCAAGAAAGAATAGCTGGTATTATTCTTGTTATTATTGCAACTATAGTCGATAAAGCCTTTGTAAGTACAATCTACCAGAATACATTTCTTAAGGCTAAGTTTCTTAAATGTAACAAATAAATTCCACTATCACCTTTGAAATCCATTTATCAGTCCGCTTGGTTTATTTTCCCATGTTCTTTAGGTTGAAGGGAGAAATGGGAGATGTTTGACAGAATTTTTTTTTTTTTGATGGAGTCTCGCACTGTAGCCAGGCTGGAGTGCAGTGGCACGATCTCAGCTCACTGCAACCTCTACCTCCCAGGTTCAAGCGATTCTCCTGCCTCAGCCTCTCAAGTAGCTGGGACTACAGGCACGCACCACCACGCCCAGCTAATTTTTGTATTTTTAGTAGAGACGGGGTTTCATCATATTGGCCAGGATGGTCTCAATCTCCTGACCTCGTGATCCATCCGCCTCAGCCTCCCAAAGTGCTGGGATTATAGGCACGAGCCACCGTGCCCAACCTTGACAGAATTGTTTTCGGAGAGTTCCATTAAATTTGGCCTCACCAATAGGTGGGTCCACTCTATTCGGATAAGGACTAAGTCAACCGTTATCTCTGTATTCCTTTGGGTCCAGCAATGTCAGTCACAGAGTAAGTGCTCAAAGAAACGTTTGATAAATGAAATGGAATCCATCTGAAGCCCAAGAGCACTTACCTTATATAAAGCAGAGCTCAGGGAGCCTCCCTGGGAGGTAGAAGGTGCAGGAGCCATTAATCCCATAGAAATCTGAACCGGAAATGCTCAAGAAGATGGTATGCTGGAGCTTCTGCCCTTTGGAACCCCTGACCTGCAAGAGGCAACTCCCAGAGCTTCCCTAAGATAAAAGTTTTAACTGGTGCCTCAGCCAGGGAATCTGGGTTTGGGAAAAAGACAGCAATTCAAGCTGGCTGTCTGACCAACCAACCACCATTAAGGGGTAATTTTTCGTTGTTGTTGTTTTTGTTTTATACAGAGTCTCGCTCTGTCGTCCAGGCTGGAGTGCAGTGGCATGATCTCAGCTCATTGCAACCTCTGCCTCCCAGGTTCAAGTAATTCTCCTGTCTCAGCCTCCCAAGTAGCTGGGACTACAGGCACCTACCACCACGCCCTGCTAATTTTTCTATTTTTAGTAGACATGGGGCTTCAACTTGTTGGTCAGGCTGGTCTCAAACTGCTGACCTCAGGTGATCCACCTGCCTCAGCCTTCCAAAGTGCTGGGATTACAGGCTACAGGTGTGAGCCAACACACCCCACCTAAGGGGCGATTTTATTGGGTTATCCTGTCTCTGGAGAAGGAAACAGGCCACAGTCAATGAAATTAGCATTCTAAAAGCAAGAGAATCTGTAAAGTAGAAAAGGACCTTGAGATGGGAGCATGCGTTTTACACAGGAAGGCCCAGATTTGGCCCAGTCTGCCCCAAGACCACCTAACTTGTCAGTAGCAAAGCTGGGATGAATAAAAGCTCAGCTTCCTGACTCCCTGTCCCCAGTTCTTTCCACCACTCCAGCTGGCCACTCCCAATCCCCCTGCTAAGCCAACCCACCTACAGTGTCACTGTCCCTCATTCCCAAATCCCTTACTCAATCCCCCACAGCCTTTTCCATCCTTCCTGCCTTCCTAGCGCTATAGGGTTGGCGGGGCAGAGTGCTCAGAGACCAGCAAGCTGGGATGTGGGGTCTTCCCGAGGTGGTGCAGGATGTTTTGGCTGCTTAGAGGAGGAGCAGGGCAGGCATCTGCAAAAGGCATCTGCATTTCTTACACACTCCCTAACTGCCAGGCCCAGTGCCAGATCGCAGACCCTTTGTCAACAGAGATGCCCTGGCTTTGTAAACCAAGAGGGAGGCAGAAAAAGTCCTCTAGCAACACAGACTGGCCTCTGGGGGAGGCGGGAGAGGGAATTGTCTACGAAAGTTCTCATTTAAACAAACAAACAACAAGATGAAAATAATAAGCTAGGCAAAGAGCCAAGGGGGAACAGCAAGCAAACTCCTGAAATTGCACTGTAATTAAAGCATAGCTGCCTTCCAGATTCTCAAGTGCTGAGATGGGCTGGAGGGATGTTTACTAACCTGGTCAAAAGACATCAGGGCAAATTAAGCTCATCCCAGCCTTGCCTCCAAACACTTTAGAATGCAAATGAGACATGCCAAATTTGCATCTGGGGCATGAAGGGGACCAATAAGTAACCTGTACAGGTCTTGAGCGTTTGGTGAGAAGAATCCAAACTGGCCACTGTGAAGGGAGGCACTGGGGAATGCTGAGCAGGGGGTGGGGTGGCTATCCTGTTTCACCAGAGATGATTTTTTTTTTGGTTTGGTCCAGGCCGATCTCGAGGCTAGGAGCTAGCTGACTAGCCCTCCAGGACCATGCCAATTCACATATGAGAGTACACCAGACTTAGGCCCAGGAAGATTTACATGAGTTTGTGCCAGTATTAACCCCCGGAGATGCCTACCCAATCAGAGCCATTGCGCCAAGGCAAGGAAGGCATTGCCAGGGCGTTTGCATGACAGAAACTAGCATATGGGCTCAAGAGAAACCTTTCTGGGCAGGGGGAGGGAGGGCCATACCCACATGAATCACTCTCTGGTGGTTTTGCTTTGGTTTCAGAACCTGTGGCTAAGGCAGAAGGACCAGTAGGGCCCCTGGCCGCGTTGATTTTTCTCCTCCCAGCTGCTTCTGTCTCTCTCTCAGGCTCCTGGAAACAAAACAGCTGAGCAGATAAACAAGTCACCACCTGCACCCTCCTCCCCCGTGACACCGCCCCTGTCCCCAAGTCCCACCCCTTCTTCTTGCACTCTCTCCCTCCATTCCTCCCTGAAGCCAAACTTCCGGCAGCAGCTGCAGCTGCTCTCTCCCCTCCCATGCCTGCCTCCCCAGCACAGTCCCCTGCCGCAGCCCCTGCCCCACCAATGGCAAATGAGGAACATGTGTATAGAGCCCTGGGCTCTCCCTCCTCCTGAGGCCATTTCCAACAAAACACTTGTGCTTTCTGAAAGTAAGATGTGGAGCTCTGGAGTCCCCAAGGAAAACGGGTTTATGGCATCCGCCAGCCCTGGAGCCAGTGAGTGTCTGGCCCCTTGGCCCAGAGCCCCACTGCCAGGCACAGGCAAACTGGGAGGAAGGGGTTAATCTGAGCAGAGGAGGCCAGGAGGGGCCCAGTTCCATTCCCGACTGCAGGGGATGCTCATCCCCGGGATGGAGGTCAGCAGGAAGCAGCTCAAAGAGGCCAGGAGGCCAAGGCCCAGTTTAAACACTGAATGAAGGCCACCTTTTCAGTAGCATGCACATGTGTGCATGCACACACACGTACACACTCATACACACATGTTACCATGCACATAGTATCCTCTTATTAACAACGTTAAGGTTGTCACGACAGACTCTGGGTTTGGTGTCGGAAGCCCTGCATCAGGGCTGTTTAATAAGTCCCCAGCGCCAATGGTAGGCACTATGGAGGCCCAAACTGTTGGGGAGGGGAACCTCAGAGTGCCTTCTCCCAGGGAGGGGTGTGTGTGCCAGGAGCTGGGTGATGGAGCTCCTCCAGAGCTTTTCTTGGAAGTTCAGAGTTTAACTCTGGGTTAGTAGGGCTCACCTTAGTTCTGAGGCATGTAGGTGAAGACACTGCAATTAGGAAGGTGATGGGGCAGGGGACTAGCCTGTCTTCACCCCCAGGCTTATGTCTGTCTTTCTTCCTTTCTTCCTTTTCTTTCCTTCCTTCTTCCTTCCTTTCTTCCTTTCCTTCTTTCCTTCTTCTTTCTTTTTTTTTTTTGAGATGGAGTCTAGCTCTGTCACCCAGGCTGGAGTGCAATGGTGCGATCTCAGCCCACTGCAACCTCCGCCTCCCGGGTTCAAGTGATTCCCCTGCCTCAGCCTCCCAAGTAGCTGGGATTACAGACACCCACCACCACGCCCAGCTAATTTTTGTATTTTTAATAGAGACGGGGTTTCACCATGTTGGCCAGGCTGGTCTTGAACTCCTGACCTCAAGTGATCCACCTGCCTTGGCCTCTCAAAGTGTTGGGATTACAGGCGTGAGCCACCGTGGCTGGCCCTTTTCTTTTTTCTTTTTTTTTTTTAAGAAGCAGAGTCGGCCGGGCGCAGTGGCTCACACCTATAATCCCAGCACTCTGGGAGGCCCAGGTGGGTGGGTCACGAGGTCAGGAGTTCAAGACTAGTCTGGCCAACATAGTGAAACCCTGTCTCTACTAAAATACAAAAAATTAGCCAGGCATGGTGGCGTGTGCCTGTAGTCCCAGCTACTCAGGAGGCTGAGGCAGGAGAATCGCTTGAACCCAGGAGGCGGAGGCTGCAGTGAGCCAAGATCGCACCACTGCACTCCAGCCTGGGCGACAGACAGAGTGAGACTCCATTTCAAACAAACAAACAAAAAGAAAAAAAGAAAGAAAGAAAGAAAAAGTAAGAGTCTCGCTCTGTCTCCCAGGCTGGAGTGCAGTGGGGTGACCTTTCCTCACTGCAGCATTGAACTCCTGGGCTCAAGGAATCCTCCCGCTTTAGCCTCCTGAGTCTATAGGTGCACACCACCACACCCAGCTAATTTTTAAGTGTTTTGTAGAGACAGGGTCTCCCTATGTTGCCCAAGCTGGTCTCAAACTCCTGGCCTGAAGCGATCCTCCTGACTTGGCCTCTCAAAGTGCTGAGATTACAGTTGTGAGCCACCATGCCCAGACCACATTTCCCCAGAACTCTATCTTTCCTGCTTGTGGACAAGGCAGGGGATGGATTTGGCGTCTGAGAAAGACAAACACAACCTTTAATTTGCTGACTGTCTCATACCTGTCTGCACAGCCTGCTGCTGTTTCGTGTGGAAAGTAACAGTAGCCTGGATAGCTCACAGCTGGGTTTGAAACAGTTAATGGCTGAGTGACCTTGAACAAATTACTTGACCTCCCTGAGCCTGTCTTCTCATTGGTAAAATGTTAACAATATCTGGCTCTGACTCAGAGTTAAATTACTCTTTTGTTTTTCAGGTGGAATTAAGTGACAAGGCAAAGCTAATGTAAGATACATAAAACACCAAAAACACCAAGCATTCTGCCGTGAACCCATTTGGTGCTCAATAAAATCATTGCCCTTTTTTTGGTGTTTTGTTGGAGACAAAACGGAAACACCAAATGGCTGGTGGAAGTGGTAGGAAAAAAGGAGACCAAAAACCCAGTGGCTCTGAAGAGGTACCTGCAGACCCACTGGGCAGGGTAGAGAGGAGCCCAGTGGGAACTTTTCTGCCAGGAGGAATCAGCGGGCAGAGCTCTTCTTCCCATTTGTCCAGCAGGGCTTCTCATCCTCAGCACTGCTGACATTTGCGCCAGATATTTCTTTGTTTTGGAGGCTGTCCTGTGCACTGTCGGATGTTTAGCAGCATCGTCAGCCTCTACTCTCCAGGTGAAGTAGCAAGTTGTCTGCCTCCCGCAGTTATGACAATCAGAATGTCCTGGTGGAGGGGGGCAGAATCACCCTGTGAGCTCCGCTATAGAGCTCAGAGCCCCACCTCCTTTAGGAGTCTGAGCCAAGGCTGCGTCCACAGGAGGGAGTCACTGACGGTTGGAGGACTGATATTCACCAATACCTTTCCCACAAACAAGAGATGCCTGAGAAAGACCTGGTCATGCAGGAGGTGGTGAGTGGCTACTGGAAGAAATATGGTGGCTGGGGGAGGGGCAAGGGAGAAGTCTGCCTGCGGTTGAGCAGGCTGGCTGGAGAGCCAAGGCCAGTGCCCACTAGTGACTCTCCCGAGGGGTGTTGCCTTGGTGGGCTTCCCCGCTCTGGCCTTTTGTCACCTTGTTTGCTGAATCCAGGTAAAATTTTTGACCAAATTGGAAAGCAATTCCGGGGAGTTGGAGTCAGATCTGTCCCTACCCTTGCTGTTGCTAATGAGCTGTATGACCTTAGTTGAGCCATTTGATCTCTCTGCAACTGTTTCTTGGGCTGTGAAACATGGGGGTTGGAGTCTCTGATTTCTAAGGTCCTTTTCAGCTGTAAGTTCTAAGGCCTGTGAATACCACAGTGTGATGAAGCCAACTGGGTGGTGGTGAGGGCCTTGTAAGTTTCAGTCTTACTGCAAGCCGGCGATAGAATTCTCCCCATGTCTTTGTTAAGAACTCTTGGCCGGGCACAGTGGCTCATGCCTGTAATCCCAGCATTTTGGGAGGCCGAGGCAGGTGGATCACCTGAGGTCAGGAGTTTGAGACCAGCCTAGCCAAGATGGTGAAACCCCGTCTCTACTAAAAATACAAAAACTAGCTGGGCGTGGTGGCTAGCGCCTGTAATCCCAGCTACTCGGGAGGCTGAGGCAGGAGAATCATTTGAACCCAGGAGACGGAGGTTGCAGTGAGCCGAGATTGCGCCACTACACTCTAACCTGGGCGACAAGAGCAAGACTTCGTCTAAAAAAAAAAAAGAACTCTTGTTGCTGAGAAATACTTCAGGAGTTCCTACTGTGTGCGAAGCAACGTGCTCTCTGCTGTGCATGTGGGGAGGTCTTTCCCCCTTTCCTCTGAGGGCTCATAATCTAATAACAGATAAAAATAATTCCAATAAAAGGCCATAAATGCAAAATGTCTCATCCTTTCCACCGGCTTCAAAGTCAGGAAGATCTGAGTTTGAGGCTAGGTCCACCATTAGGAGTCCTTGGGTTACTCGGCTCATTTAATCTCAGTTTCTTTACCTGTAAAATGGTCATAATAACAACTGTGTCACAGGGTTATTTTAAGAGTTAAATGAGATTATATATGGGCTGGGTGCGGTGGCTCACGCCTGTAATCCCAGCACTTTGGGAGGCCAAGGCGGGTGGATCACGAGGTCAGGAGTTCGAGACCAGCCTGGCCAACATGGTGAAACCCCATCTCTACTAAAAATACAAAAATTAGCCAGGCGTGGTGGTGCACGCCTGTAATCCCAGCTACTCAGAGTACTGCTTGAACTTGGGAGGCGGAGATTTCAGTGAGCCAAGATTGCGCCACTGCGCTCCAGCCTGGGCGACAGAGCAAGACTCCATCTCAGGGGAAAAAGAAAAAAGAGTTAAATGGGCCTGGTGCAATGGTTCACACCTGTAATCCCAGTACTTTGGGAGGCCAAGGCGGGCAGATCACTTGAGGTCAGGAGTTGGAGACCAGCCTGGCCAACGCAGCGAAACTCAGTCTCTATCAAAAATACAAAAAGTAACAGGGCTTGGTGGTGCACACCTGTAATCCCAGCTACTTGGGAGGCTGAGGCAAGAGAGTTGCTTGAACCCAGGAGGAAGAGGTTGCAGTGAGCTCTGGCCTGGGCAATAGAGTGAGACCCTGCCACAAGGAAAAAAGAAAAGATAATATTTGTAAGACAATTACCATGGTGGTTGTCACATCATTAAGTGCAAAATAATTGTTAGTGGCAAGTATTTATTGGCTATAGTGCAGCAGGCACTGTGCTAGGCCCTGAGATAGTGGAGATGAGGGACAGGACTCCTGGTCTGCAGCAACTCACCAGCAGGTAGGGAAAGAAGCAGGGAGCAATGACAGTACCCTGAGAGGGCCGTGACAGAGCCAGGTGGGAGAGGCATCGACACGGGGAGGGCAGCAGGCGCTGACTGCGGGCTCAGGCAGGCATGTGAAGTAGTGACCGCACTGCCTGTTGAAGCAGGGCCAGTGGTGTTCACCGGAGTTAAGCAGACAGAGCAGTGGGGAGGTGGGAGAAGCTCAGGTGCCAATGAGCCCGACCCTCAGTGCTTCTGCAGAAGTGAATGCAGTCAAGCAAGGTGGAGTGTGCATGGGATGATGGTAAGAAATGAGCCTGAAGGTTGGCGTCAGAAAGAAGGGACGTACACAAGAAATGTTTCCTTTATATTAGACACACTATTTCCCTTTTTGACCTAACCACCAGGCAGCTCGGAACCAACTTTTAGGTTCAAATGTTGCAGCACTTCCTTGAATCCTACTTTTCTGATGGGCTTATTCCTTAGCCCCAGCTTTCTCTAGACCCTGGATCTCAACCTTTAATCTGGTTTTGGGGTTTCTGGCACTTGTGCCATTAATGATAAACTGCCTTGAATCTTTTTGGATACACTGAACATATGTGGTGTGTAAATAAACAAATGAACTATAAAATACAAACATGCACAGATAAGAGTGAAGTCAGAGCCTTTAGAGTGCGCTACGCCAGGGCGGCAGCATCCCTGGTGCCCGGTCAGCGCCTGGCACATCATAGGAGCGCAATCAACAGCGGGTGACACAGAATGGCGGCAGAGAACATTTCACCTAAAAGAAGGCTTCTCCACAGAGCACACCAGGACGGACCCCCAGAACCACTGGCTGGCTGTATCCCACCTTCAGGTTCTTGATTGGAGACTCCTTCATGTATCGTTCACTGATCCTTGTGGCTGAAAGTCTTGTTGCTCCAGCCAGATGGCAAACTACACCTCAAGGACAGACACTTGTCATACATGCCTGTGTCCCCCAGAGCTGCACCCAGCACAGAGCTGGTCACAAAGTGGCCTCCCCAAATTTCTGTGGCTTTAGCCTAACAAACACCTGCAATTCCTTATAGCTGAACAAAGATGAATGACCCTAACCCGTTCAAGTCAGGCTGGACTCCTTCCACTCTGATCATACATTTGGTTTTACAAAGCGCTGAGCGACAGGAAGAAAGAATGGCTCTTACTGGCCGAGTTGAAGGGCTTCGAGCACATTTTTCTCAACAGCACAATCTGGCTCCCTGACACAAAAGGCAGGGAAAGGAAGGGGCAGCGGCTCCCAATGAACAGAGACGGATGGCGGCCGGGCCTCTGCCGCCACTGCTGTGCCCACTGGGCAGACCAGCCACATCTCCTGGCTCAGGCCAAAGACTAGGGCAGATGACACATGGGGTACTCACAGGAGAGCTGTGCTCAGGGCTTCCTGCTGGCCCCGGAACCTTCCAGAATGGCCTCTCACACACTCCCCGCCCTCCCTCCTTCTCTCTGTCTCTCCCGGAACCTTCCAGAGTGGGCTCTCACACACTCCCCTCCCTCCCTCCTTCTCTGTCTCTCTCTCTCTCTCAGTGAAAGGACTTCCTTGGCAAGAGTGTCAGGTTTCAGTTGTCTGTGTCCTGGGAAATTACAAGATCTTTCCCCTTTCTCTTTTTAGCTAGGATTACACATGCAGAGCCATTTGGCTCCCCTGGCCTGCGCAGCTGCTGCCGGCCGGGCCGGGGGATCATGCCAGGCAGCCCAGCCAGAGGTGAGCTGGGTCACAGGGGTGAGCTGCCAGGCCTGCTCACCCCTCTTCTTGGTGTGATCCCCTCAAGTCCAATCCCCAGGGACCTTCCCCAGGAATGCTGAGAGCACCAGCTGTCCCGGCCATGTCAGGCATCTGGCCACCAGGTCTCCTTCCACTCCAGGGGCAACCACCGCCAGAGGGAAAAACGGAAACACCAGGTTATTTGTGATCTGCATACTCACTCCTCGTTTAGAGAGACAAGCAGGAGGCCAGGGGAATAGATGGGACTGTGGGAACAGCCAAGGGCAGAGGGTGAAGGGCGGCGATCAGAAGGAAAGACGGAATGCCCACACATTCCCTGCCGCTCCCGGCTCCAGCCGTGGAGGAAGCGGGGCTCGGAGGACATTGCACCAGACAGGTCTTGTTTAGAAAATTGGAAAAGAACAAATATTGATTACAAGAGTGCAGGAGAATGGGCCCTTCCATCATCAAAAACAGGTATTCAGCCAGGCGAAGTGACTCACGCTTGTAATCCCAGCACTTTGGGAGGCAAAGGCAGGAGGATCGCTTGGGCCCAAGAGTTTGAGACCAGCCTGGGCAGCATGGTGAAACCCAGTCTCTACAAAAAATACCAAAAATTAGCTGGGTGTGGTGACGTGTCTGTGGTCCCAGCCATTCGGGTGGCTGAGGTGGGAGGATTGCTTGGGCCCGGGAGGTCGAACCATGTTCACACCATGGCATTCCAGCCTGGATGACAGAATGAGACCCTGTTTCTAATAATAACAGTAATAATAATAATAAAATACATACTCACTAGCTATGACTCTGCTTTACAGGATAATTGGGGCAAAAATGTTCTTGGGTGAAACTGGGTAACCTAATTTGAAAGGTCTGGGAAACATGGCCCAATTTCAGCCTCGCTCGCCACTCACAGGCCAAGTGGAGGTTGCGGTTCATAACATACTGGACACTAGACATCACTAATGCCTTCATTCTACAAATGGGAAAACCATGGCTGAGAGGTCACCTGATCTCCCAAGTTCACTCAGAGACGTGGGGATGGGCCGAGCTCCAGAGCCTGGGCCTTGCCCTGCTCCACCCCATACAGCACGAAGTTCCCTGGCCAACTAAGGAAGGAGTGCAAGGTGACTGAAGAAAACAAAAACAAACAGAACTGACACAAAAAACAAACAAACAAAACTGAGTGCCAAAGAAGGAGAATTTGGGGGCTGAGGCTGTGGCTGCAGAGTGGGAGTGGGGATAATCAACGCTGGGCTCCTGAGTGTCTCTGGAAGGGCGGGCCCTGGTGTCCAGAGCGCCTGGTGCCCACCTTCCCCTTTCCCCCAGGGCCCCTGTCTGAGAGCTCTTCTACCCACTCCTGGCTGCTGGGGCACCTGATATTTTCCAAAACACAATTTTCACACCCTTAATAGTGGGCTGCGGAGGAGTCAGGATCAGAGCCTCTAGCTCAGATTTCCTTCCCTGAAAGGATACGGTCTTAGAAACTGCATGCTGTGCAGAGTCCTATCATTCAGAAGAAACACAAAACCCAAGCCCTGGGGAGTCACGTGGCCACCACGGATGCCCCGGCCTCGGACTAAGCTAAGGGCATTAGCCCGGGTGGCCTGTAGCTGCTCTGCAGCTCTGATCAGTCCTACAGACACATGGCACCCCCCACCTGTCACCTTTAGGACCCTCCAGTCAGGCCCCCTTAAGATGCAGTGTTCCCCATGCTCACCTTTGAGGCTTACTCTGCTGCTAAGGAAACAGCATGCAACTTCCCAGGGTTATGAGAAATAATTTTCCTAGGAATGTCACCAGCTGCAGACGCCCCTGTCATAAACTGTCCCAGCTCTAAGCCGCCTAGGGCTTTTATCCCCTCCTCTTAGCTACTCATTACCCAGCTTAATTAGGCCAGGAAATGCTGGCGCTGAAGACACTCTCGGCAGGAGGCAGGGCTGGAGGAGAGATTCTCAGCAGCGCCACTTCCTGAGGCTTGATCTGGGGGCTGGGGAAGGCTGTGGAGGAGGTCGGCTGGGGATGGCAGGCTGCGTCCTCCAGTGAACAGCTGCTGGGAACGAAGCAGGGATGCACGCATTTGCTCCCCAGGCCCTCCAGGGAGCTGAGGGTTGCACTTGTTTACGGTAACAGCACCGGATCTGAAGGCCTTGGAAGGCTCTGCCTGCCCCCACCCCAACCCTCCCATCTCAATTAACCAGCTTCACCACCCCACCCCCACTCTTTCCTAGGGAAGAGGTTGAAACCTCAGTTACCACTCACAATATTTCAGCCCCAACCCTGACATAATCACAGTCAAAGACCCAGCCTGAGATGCCTTCCATTTTCAGCCAGCCCCTGACCTTCACCCTGAACCACCTTGGTCATGCACAACCTCCTGGTTCTTCACTAGGTGGAACACAGGAATGGGGTTGCCTGCTATAGAGCTGTATGTGCTTCACCCAGTTTTGGAGCTTTCTGCTCCAGTGGCGTTGGAAGGGGAGTAGCAATGTTGAGGGTTCATAGAATGGGGTTTATATCAGACAGATGGGGGTCTAGACTGTAGCTCTGCCCCAGGTCATTCTGTGACCTTGAATATGCTATTTCATTTTTCTGCACCTAAGTTTCTTTAGCTGCAAAAATGGGGGTGCTAATATCGGCTTCTTGGGAGGTTGAGATGATCTTATATCCTTATAGTAGACACAGGCAAATGTTCAGTAAGAAGTGGCCGGTATCTCCGATGTGGGGCACTAGTTCAGAGGCCTGCAGTTACCAACTTTTCTTTGCTGGGAGGTATGGAAAGGGGAAAACTAGTATTAATGAGATCCCGCTATCTGTGGAAGGTATTCATACTTACACGATTTTCCTTTCATTTCCCAATTATCTGTGGAGGCTTTGAGATTTAAATGAGTAAACTGAGGCTCGGAGAGGGTAGGAGGGTGAGTCATGCCTCATGAGTGGCAGAGCAGATCATACAACAGGGCTACGGCAGATGCCCAGGGCTGCTGAGTCTGGGACTGCTTCGTGGCCTGGAAATGTCAGAATGACACCAGTCTAGGCCAGGCGCAGTGGCTCAGGTCTGTAGTCCCAGGACTTGGGGAGGCCGAGGTGGGCGGATCACTTGAGGTCAGGAGTTCGAAACCAGCCTGGCCAATATGGTGAAACCCGTCTCTACTAAAAATTCAAAAATTAGCCAGTTGTGTTGTTGGGCGCCTATAGTCCCAGTACTCAGGAGCCTGAGGCACAAGAATCGCTTGGACCCGGAAGGCAGAGGCTGCAGTGAGCTGAGATCAAACCATTGCATTCCAGCCTGGGCGTCAGAGCGAGACTTATCTCAAACAAACAAACAAACAAAAGAATCACACCAGCCTAGAGCGAGTAGGATGACTAGAATCTCAGCAGCCACAGCACCAGGTGGATCATCGCCCTGGAGAGGGGAATATGAGGGCTGAGTCACAGTGTCATCCAAAAAGGACTTGTCAGCCTCTGCAGAGGCTGCCTCTCACCTGCGGAACACGTACCCACTGTGCTGTAAGTCCTGGAGCAATTTGCTTCAGCCTTCTCAGGTGTATGGTTTTATGCCTTGGCTTTTCCATTGTGTCCACATTTTCTCAGAAAATGCAAACTTCTTGAGAAGTGACCTCATTTCCCTCACCTGCAGCAAGACAAACGTAATTCTTGGCACTCAGATATGCAATAGTGCTGTGATTTTAACTTTTCTATGTAACTGTAACTTTGAAAAGTACTCTCCCATTCCACCAAGCAAAAAAAGAAAAAAAAAAAAAAGCCCCAGGGCAGGGGTGGAGGGATTGGGGCGTAAGGGGAACCTCCAATTCCATCCAGAGGAGGGCACTAGTCCATCTGCTCAGGCCCTCCACACATCGAGGTGCTCCTAGGTCCCCAAGAAAATCTCTTGATCCACCCAAAGAATCCCAAACTACTGACCATTGGTTTCCAAGGTCCATGAGTCATGACACTCTTAGACTTACTTAGCTGGTAAGATGCTTCTCATTTGAAAAACACAAAATCAAGAAAGCTCCTGGCTGAGCAGCTAGAGGCATAAGAAACCTTGGAATCCTAAACCATCAGGGTCTCTGGCTTTGTCAGTCTCTGTTGGGATCCTAGATAAGTGAAGTCAGGGGTAAAGAAAATAAATCGGCAGCTTCCCAGGGTGCTGGAAAGGCTGTCAGGCAGAACTTCCTTCCATGTGGCTCCAGGGAGCAGAACTTGGGTAAAGCTTCAGAAAGGCCGCTGTGGGCTTCACATGCAGCTGTTCCTAACCCCTGGGGCTGTCAGGAATTCTGTCTTGCTAAGGAAGGAAGGCCAGGCAGTGCAGGTGCAGGTGGGGGTTCTGGGGAGGTGGGTGCTGGGGGACTGTGCACCGAGGAAGATGTGGGGCCCTCAGGGTCACACCTCCCACCCCCAGAATTCTACAGACAAAGATGCTGTGATGTATAACTAGGAAAGGTGAAGGTGGGGGGACAGCCACTGAAACAGAGCCAGGATGTTGAGCTCTAACCCAGGGATTTTCCTCTCAACACCATCTGGGGCACGCTTTTAGAGCATCTCCCCTCCCCATTCACTCTACACCTCCTTTCCACCCACCGGGAGGCTCCATCTTCCTCAGTTGACTCCCACACAGAGGCAGAAGAAGGAGAAGCTGCCTCCACCCTGAGGAGCTTGGGGGCAAACATCTGCTCCCTACCATTGTTTCCCCTTATTTAGTGGGTGGGAAGGACCTGGCAGAGCTCTTCAGCCAAATCACACACCCAGGTGGCAGTTTGGTGAACCCTCCTCCAGGGTAACTGGGGAAAGCTGAAAATGCCTGTTGGCCTGACAGGGGTTTTCAGAGTGTCACTCCCATGCTGAGTGGGTGGGGCGGAGAGGTGACATTCACCCTCCTCGGCAGCACCCCTTATGTCCCTCGTGTGTTCTCCGGCTGCAGAGCCCAGTGAGGCTATGCAGTGACAGATAGTCACTTGTGCCTCTCTCTCCCTTCTGCTCCCCCCCGCCCCTGCCACTTCTACCCACCCAGGCTTGCAGCAGAGGGCCTGGAGTCTTGGGTGTGGGCAGGTGTTTATCTCATCAGACAACTAAAGTTTTGCCAGGGCTGGGCTGCGGGTTCACGCATTCACCTGCTGACCTGCTTAGGAAACACAGGGCAGGGTTTTGTTCCAGTGCCTTCCTGGCAGCCACACCCACTTAACACCAAATTCCCAATGCCAGGTCTGAGACAGAGGGGATCGCAGTGGAGACTGCACTCGCTTCAGCAGTTACCAGCTCTGGTAATATCTGTTGAGCAACTGCTCCATGGCAGGGCTGGGGAGGTGGCCCGTGAACAAATTGGCCAGGGCAGGTCCCTGCTCCGACCTGTGGTGCTTGCAGTCACCGTCTGGGGAGGGACTGCAAAACCACACAGACAGTACGACAGACGGTGCACCATGAGGAGAAGGTCTGGCTTCCATGAACATGTGCCACAGCGGGAGCAAAGTAAATGAGATTGGAGGGGGCCAGGAGGAAATGACATTGAAGCTCAGAGGAAGAGAATTTAACCAGGACTGGACTGTCTTCCGGGGGCGATCAGAGCAAAGGCGCTAAGATGACAGGAGCCACTATGCGTCTGAAGAAGCCAGGTGGGTGCTGACTCACAGTTCTTATTCTGGTCTTTCTCATGACTTACCTGTGGCCTGACCCACAGCCCTTCATTTCTCCCTGGACAACGTGGCTGTCCAGAGGAGAGGAGACTGGGCGTCCAAAGTACTGCCAGCCCCTGCGTTGTTATTATCGATTACAACGTGTTATTTCCAGCTTCTACCCTCTCCACAAAAAAAAGAGCCTTCTGGGAGAGGACACCTGCCCAGACATAGCCTGGACTCCGCAGGGGTTCCCACAAGCACATCCAGGCTCTGTCATTCCCTCCTTGTAGATGATCTGGCAAATTTGGAGTTTGACTCCTAATTCTGCTGCCTCAATCCCTGCCCCTCCCCTCACATGAGCACTGTGGACGGTCGCATGTGCGCTTCCCCTGTTGAACTCAGACACGCATGCATGCCAAAGGGAATCATACATTTCTTCTAGAATTTATTTTTCTTTTCTTTTTTTTTTTTTTTGAGACAGAGTCTCGCTCTGTCGCCAGGCTGGAGTGCAGTGGCTCAATCTCAGTTCACTGCAGCCTCCGCCTCCTGGGTTCAAGCAATTCTCTGCCTCAGCCTCCCAAGTAGCTGGGATTACAGACACCCACCACCATGCCCGGCTAATTTTTGTATTTTTAGTAGAGACAGGGTTTCACCATCTTGGCCAGGCTGGTCTTGAACTCCTGACCTCGTGATCCACCCACCTCAGCCTCCCAAAGTGCTGGGATTGCAGGCATGAGCTACTGCACCTGGCCTAGAATTTCTTTTAACTGAATAATTTATCTTCCATTAATACATGTGCTTCTATCCTTGTTTGTTTTTCGTTTTTGTTTTTTTGTTTTTTTGAGACAGAATCTCGCTCTGTCGCCTAGCCTGGAGTGCAGTGGCGCCATCTCGGCTCACTGCAAGCTCCGCCTCCCGGGTTTACACCATTCTCCTGCCTCAGCCTCCTGAGTAGCTGGGACTACAGGTGCCCGCCACCACGCCCGGCTAATTTTTTGTATTTTTTTTAGTAGAGACAGGGTTTCACTGTGTTAGCCAGGATGGTCTCAATCTCCTGACCTCGTGATCCACCCCTCTCGGCCTCCGAAAGTGCTGGGATTACAGGCGTGAGCCACTGCGCCCGGCCCTCTCTTTGTTTTTATTTTTATTATTTTTATTTATTTATTTATTTTTGAGACAGAGTTTCGTTCTTGTCGCCCAAGCTGGAGCGCAATGGCGCTCTCTCAGCCCACTGCAACCTCTGCCTCCCTCATTCAAGCTATTCTCCTGCCTCAGCCTCCAGAGCAGCTGGGATTACAGGCATGCACGACCATGCCTGGCTAATTTTGCAGTTTTAGTAGAGATGGGGTTTCTCCATGTTGGTGAGGCTGGTCTCGAACTCCCAATCTCAGGTGATCCGCCCGCCTCTGCCTCCCAAAGTGTTGGGGTTACAGGCGTGAGCCACCGTGCCTGGCCTCTCTCTTTGTTTTTAACTGCTTCATTGTTTTACTTAGTCTGGATGTCATAATTTATTTACTTGTTTGTTTGTTTATGTTTTTAGAGTCAGGGTCTTGCTCTGTTGTCCAAGCTGGAGTGCAGTGGTGTGATCATGGCTCACTGCAGCCTCGACCTCCCAGGCTCAAGAGATCCTCCTGCCTCAGCCTCCTAAGTGGCTGGGACTACAGGCATGCACCACCATGCCACCAAATTTTATATTTTTGGTAGAGAGGGCCTTGCTGCTTTGCCCAGGCTGGTCTCAAACCCTCAACCTCAAGCTATTCTCCCACCTTGGCCTCCCAAAGTTGCAATTACAGTTCTTATCCACCAGGATGTGATGATTTATTTAATGATTTCCTTATTGATAGATATTTTGGGTCCCCCTTACCTTTTATTTATTTCTCTCTTTTTTTTGTGTGCTATTTTACCTAGGGTTACTTTTTAATAAGGTGAACTTAAGGTGGGTTGGAGTTCAGATTTTTTTTTTTTTTTAGAAAACTTACAACAGATAAAGATGAGGAACCCACCACTAACGATGTTGAATTTGTTTTTGTTTTTCTTGTAATAAGTCCTATTTGGAACCTTGGCCCATTTGCTACTGGGCCAGCCCCCTCCTGCTAGGATGACCTTAGCCCCCTGGGCCAGCCCTGCTTCCCCAGTCCCTACCCCCTGGTGCAGTGGTGATGAGACACCTCCCTCTGCTTCCTCTGAGCCCTCCTTCGACACTGATAGGCCGGGCTCACCCTTGCAGGGCTGGAATTTGCCAAGCTTGCCTCCCTCCCTCTGGGAATGAGCACTCCCCACCCCTCCCCCTTCATTTTCTCTGGAGCCTTTGGGACAAACAACTCTCTAGGACGGAGCTACCTCCTAAGGGAGGCCCCTCTGGCCTCTTCCCTGGCATCTGTGACCACCTGCGTCTGCCACAGCTTCTCTGGTCCAGCCTGACCTGATGAGTCTATTTGTACTTCCTCACTGTCTTCTTTGAACCTTGATTTCTGAGGAAGTTTCCAATCCCACCCCCAGCCAGAGTCCTTCCTGTTCTCTCATGATGTTTCTCCCCAGCTCAGGGCCTTTTGTTTTCCACCCCAACCCTCCCTGCAAGTTTGTCCCCCTTTGCCAGGAGCTCTCCAGCCCAGCAGCCTCTCTTCTTACTAATCTCTTTTCCAAACGCTGTCTTCTGTAGCCAGGTCTACCCAACAGAAAGTGAAGAAGGTTGGCAATTATCTAATGAGTCCACACAATGTAGACAGCCAATTAAAATATCCTTGACACAACCAATCCCCTCCGCTTTGTTGAAAGCTGAACTCCAGTGAGGCCTGCCCCTGACAAAATCTGTCACACAATCTAGATGATTGGGGTGACAAGAACCGATGTTTATCTAACTAGCAAGTGAGAATTTCAGCTTTCTCTAGGTCTGGCTGCCATCTCTCCAAATAAAGGATAGTCCAATGTACCCACAAACAAATAAACGAAACAAAAGAGAAAACACACACCACAAAAACTGCTTTCTTAGAGTTGGTGTCTAATTGTGAACTGAAGTCCACCCTCAAAATAGGAATTTCTGTGGAAGGTACTGTTTTTGTGGTGACTCGAATCCCAGCGTTCTATCTGTAGGTGCACCCTGGTGCAAAACACAGTGCACAGTGGAGTGCTGTAGCTTTCGCGTCTCCAGGGACTTTGACGTCCCTCCCTCTTGCCTTGTTGAAAAATTCAAACTAGAAGAATCCTATGAAATAAAATGCAATTAATAAGCACTCTTTAGGTGTTTAGGGTTGGTTAAAGACAGAAGCCAGGGCCGGACGCGGTGGCTCACACCTGTAATCCCAGCATTTTGGGAGACCAAGGCAGGCAGATCACCTGAGGTCAGGAGTTCGAGACCAGCCTGATCAACATGGAGAAACCCTGTCTCTACTAAAAGCAGAAAATTAGCTGGGCGTGGTGGTGCATGCCTGTAATTCCAGCAACTTGGGAGGCTGAGGCAAGAGAATCACTTGAACCTGGGAGGCGGAGGTTGCGGTGAGCCAAGATCACACCATTGCACTCCAGCCTGGGAAAGACAAGAACAAAACTCTGTCTCGAAAAAAAAAATAGCTGGGCGTGGTGGCGGGAGCCTGCAGTCCCAGCTACTTGGGAGGCTGAGGCAGGAGAATGGTGTGAACCCGGGAGGCAGAGCTTGCAATGAGCTGAGGTTGCGCCACTGTACTCCAGCCTGGGTGACAATGCGAGACTCCGTCTCAAAAAAAAAAAAAAAAAAAAGAAAGAAGCTACTTCTCTGACTGCACAGTTATCTTCTATTTGACAATTTGAGTCAGAACATTTAATCTTCCACTTCAATTATTTACAAAACACTTAAATTATTTTAGTTATTTTCTTTCTTTCTTTTTTTTTTTTTTTTTAGTAGAGACAGGGTTTCACCGTGTTAACCAGGATGGTCTCGATCTCCTGACCAAGGATGGTCTCCATCTCCTGACCTCGTGATCCGCCCACCTCAGCCTCCCAAAGTGCTGGGATTACAGGCATGAGTCACCGCGCCCGGCCTATTTTAGTTATTTTATTAAACTGACACTAGATGTATTATTATTATTATTTTTTTTTCAGATGGAGTTTCACTCTTGCCCAGGCTGGAGTGCAATGGCCCGATCTCAGCTCACTGCAACCTTCGTCTCCCGGGTTCAAGTGATTCTCCTGCCTCAACCTCCCAAGTAGCTGGGATTACAAGCACCCGCCACCATGGCTGGCTAATTTTTGTATTTTTAGTAGAGACCATGTTTCGCCATGCTGGCCAGGCTGGTCTCGAACTCCTGACCTCAGGTGATCTGCCCGCCTCGGCCTCCCAAAGTGCTGGGATTACAGGCATGAGCCACCGTGCCTGACCTCATTATTATTATTATTTCCTTTTATTATTATTATTATTTTTTTATTGAGACAGAGTATTGCCCAGGGTGGAGTGCAGTGGCACAACCTCAGCTCACTGCAACCTTCATCTCCCAGGTTCAAGTGATTCTCCTGCCTCAGCCTCCCCAGTAGCAGGGATTACAGGCATGTGCCACCACACCAAGGTAATTTTTGTATTTTTAGTAGAGACGGGGTTTCACCATATTGGCCAGACTGATCTCGAACTCCTGCCTCAAGTGATCCATCGGCCTTGGCCTCTCAAAGTGCTGGGATTACAGGAGTGAGCCACCGCGCCAGCTATTTTTTTTTTTTTTTTTTTTTGAGACGGAGTCTAGCTCTGTCGCCCAGGCTGGAGTGCAGTAGCACCATCTCAGCTCACTGCAACCTCTGCCTCCTGGGCTCAAGGGATTCTCCTGCCTCAGCCTCCAGAGTAGCTGGGATTACAGGCCAGCACCACCACGCCCAACTAATTTTTGTATTTTTAGTAGAGACGGGGTTTCACTATGTTGGCCAGGATGGTCTCCATCTCTTGACCTCATGATCCACCTGCCTCAGCCTCCCAAAGTGCTGGGATTACAGGCGTGAGCCACTCTGCCCAGCCTTTCTTCCTTTTTTTTTTTTTTTTTTTTCAAGACGGAGTCTCGCTCTGTCGCCCAGGCTGGAGTGCAGTGGTGCGATCTCAGCTCACTGCAACCTCCGCCCCCACGCCGCCCTCCCCGCCCCGCCCCGCCCCGCCCAGGTTAAAGCGCTTCTCCCGCCTCGGCCTCCTGAGTAGCTCGGATTACAGGCACCTGCCATCATGCCTAGCTAATTTTTTTTTTTTTTTTGTATTTTTGTAGCGGCGGGGTTTCACCATGTTGGCCAGGCTGGTCTCTAGCTCCTGACCTCAGGTAATCCGCCCGCCTCGGCCACCCAAAGTGCTGGGACTACAGGACTGAGTCACCGCGCCCGGCCTTATTTTGTCTTGTTTTAGAAAATAAACCAATAGGCCAGGCGCGGTGGCTCATGCCTGTAATCCCAGCACTTTGGGAGGCCGAGGCGGGTGGATCACGAGGTCAGGAGCTCGAGACCAGCCTGACCAACATGGTGAAACCCCATATCTGCTAAAACTACAAAAATTAGCTGGGCATGGTGACACATGCCTGTAATCCCAGCTACTCAGGAGGTTGAGGCAGGAGAATTGCTTGAACCCGGGAGGCAGATGTTGCAGTGAGCCGAGATCATGCCACTGTACTCCAGCCTGGGTGACAAAGCGAGACTCCGTCTCAAAAAAAAAAAAAAAAAAAAAAAAAAAAAGAAAGGAAGAAAGAAAGAAGATAAACCAATACAATAATACAATAGCTGGGTGCAGTGGCGCATGCCTGTAATCCCAGGACTTTGGGAGGCCGAGATGGGTGGATCACTTGAGGTCAGGAGTTCGAGACCGGCCTGGCCAAATTGGTGAAACCCGGTCTCTACTAAAAACACAAAAATTGGCTGGGCATGGTGGCACGCGTATGTAGTCCTAGCTACTCTGGAGGCTGAGACAGGAGAATCACTTGAACCCCAGAGGAGGAGATTGCAGTGAGCCGAGACATGCAACTGCTCTCTAGCCTGGATGACAGAGCGAATTCCGTCTCAAAAAAGAAAAGAGAAGAGGGGAGGGGAGGGGAGGAGAAGGGAGGGGAGAAAAGAAGAGAAGAGAAAAGAAAAGAAACCAGTAGTCTACCAGGCACAGCAGCTCATGCTTGTAATCCCAGCACTTTGGGAGGCTGAGGCGGGAAGATCACGAGGTCAGGAGT